>NC_000017.11:18975959-19278989 GCF_000001405.40 Homo sapiens | reverse complement strand
AGTTTATAGACAGGAGCAGCTTTCGAAATCCTCACTAAGAAATCCTCACTAGGGGCCGGGCACGGTGGTTCATGACTGTAATCCCAGCACTCTGGGAGGCCGATGTGGGAGGATCACTTGAGGCCAGGAGTTCAGCAATAGCTTGGCCAACAGGGCAAAACCCTAATATAAAAATTAGCCAGGCATGGTGGTGCACACCTGGAATCCCAGCTACCTGGGTAGCTGAGGCATGAGAATCGCTTCAACCCAGGAGGCAGAGGTTGGAGTGAGCTGAGATGGCACCACTGCTCTCCAGCCTGGGTGACAGAGCAAGACTCTGTCTCAAAAGAGAAAAACCAAAAGAAATCTTCATGACATGGTTTGGTTGTGTCCCCACCCAAATCTCAACTTGAATTGTGTCTCCCAGAATTCCCACGTGTTGTGGAAGGGACCCGGGAGAGGTAATTGAATTATGCGGGCCAGTCTTTCCCATGCTATTCCTGTGATAGTGAGTAAGTCTCATGAGATCTGATGGGTTTATCAGGGGTTTGCATTTTTGCTTCTTCCTCATTTTTCTCTTGTTGCTGCCATGTAAGAAGTGCCTTTCACCTCCTGCCATAATTCTGAGGCCTCTCCAGGCATGTGGAACTGTAAGTCCAATTAAACCTCCTTTTCTTCCCAGTCTCGGGTATGTCTTTATCAGTAGTGTGAAAACAGACTAATACACCTCACTAGGACCAGGTGTGGTGGCTCATGTCTGTAATCCCAGCACTTTGGGAAGCCGAGGCGGGCAGATCACTTGAGCTCAGGAGTTCAAGACCAACCTGGGCAACATGGCGAGACCCCGTCTCTAAAAATAAATAAATAAACAAACAAATAAATAATCCTCACTAGGAGAAAAGTCACTGGAGGCTTTTCATTTTCTTTTTTTTTTTTTTTGAGACATAGTCTCGCTCTGTCGCCCAGGCTGGTGCAGTGGTGTGATCTCGGCTCACTGCAAGCTCCGCCTCCCAGGTTCACACCATTCTTCCTGCCTCAGCCTCCTGAGTAGCTGGGACTACAGGCACCCACCACCACGCCCAGCTAATTTTTTTGTATTTTTAGTGGAGACGAGGTTTCACCGTGTTAGCCAGGATGGTCTCGATCTCCTGACCTCGTGATCCGCCCACCCTGGCCTCCCAGAGTGCTGGGATTACAGGCGTGAGCCACCGCGCCCGGCCAAAGCTTTTCATTTTCCAGGCCAACTGGACTACGCACCTCACCTAAGCGAGACTTTGGAGGCTGAAACTAATTATTCCAACCGTGAGACAGCCCATGATGCGTGGGCCATGAAGCAGGACTCCAGCAGTGCCAGTGGGCACAAAGCTCCAGCTATTCCAGCTGAACACCTGGACTTCCAATACTTTGACACACTTGACCTTGTACACCTCAGGTCCCCATTTTTCACTGTTTCCCCTCAACCACAGGACAGCCTGTAAACATTTAAACATCTTCTCTCCCAGCAAACATCTGCCATGAGTCCATCCCAAGAGCAAGCTCCAAGCTCCAAACATATACCACCCTCCACGGCAAATCCTGTTATTTCTCTCTTTTTTTTTTTTTTTTTTTTTGAGACAGAGTCTCACCCTTTTGCCCAGGCTGGAGTGCCGTGGTGCAATCTCGGCTCACTGCAACCTCTGCCTCTCAGGTTCATGTGATCCTGGCACCTCAGCCACCCAAGTAGCTGGGATTATAGGCACCTGCCACCTCACCCAGCTAAGTTCTGTGTTTTTAGTAGAGATGGGGTTTCAACATTTTGGCCAGGCTGGTCTCGGACTCCTGACCTCAAGTGATCCACCCGCCTCGGCCTCCCAAACTGCTGAGATGACAGGCGTGAGCCACCGTGCCCGGGCACATTCTGTTATTTCTAGAATCTGAGTTTTGTTTTCTTCTCCCTCTTTTTCGCATAGTTTGCACGCTCCACTTTCCTTCTCAATTTTCCAATTTTCTTGTTTCCAGCTTGCTGAGACTGAACTAATGCACATGCAAATGCAACTAAAACAGGATCATTTGTTACCTTCTGGGCTCCTCACTCAAACCTGAGGAAGTGTGTGATCAGCTCACAATAATTTCTTATGAACCTCTACACCAGATATGGATGTTAGAGGTGGAGGTGGGAGGGTTGTCAAAACAAGGAAAAACAGTATTAAACTCTGTTAAAAGTTTAGACCCAATACAGCAAAAAAAAAAAAAAAAAACTTATTCTCATAAATTACATACTGACAATTGAAAGGATCCTCAGTAACTAGAAACACCTTTAGAAATCCAGTTCTATCATCATATCATCAGTTATTACCTAGAACTATTTGATGCTAATTGATAAATAAAGTACATGAACTTGTACAATTCTGTCAAAACTTGAAATATTTTTAAATGAAGACAGCAAGGTGTAAAGTGAGATTCATTATTCAAGGCAAACAAACCTTTCTGTACCTTCCAAGAGAGCTGTCACAGGAATAGGGCCAGGTGCAGTGGCTCACGCCTATAATCCCAGCACTTCGGGAGGCCAAGGCAGGAGGATCACTTGAGCCCAGGAGTTCAAGACCAGCCTGGACAACATGGTGAGACCTCATTTCTACAAAAAAAAAAAAAAAAAAAAAAAAAAAAAAAATTTTAATTAGCTGGGCATGGTGGTGCACATCTGCAGTCCCAGCTACTCAGGAGACTGAGATGGGAGAATCCCTTGAGCCCAGGAGATGGAGGCTACAGTGGACCATGATAATGCCACTGCACTCCAGCCTGGGTGAAAGAGCAACTTTGTCTCAAAAAAACGGCTGAGCAGGCCCACAGAATGGCCACTTTATTTGCAGGAAGAGATGACCAGGCAGAAGCTCCTGGCCACCACCCCACCAGCCACACCTTCCCCACTCCAGCCCTAGCCCTAAAAACCTGTTTTGAAATTGTATTAATTAATAATTCATTTTACTAAGAAATCAGGGTGCTGACACATGTTAGATAACAATTGTTAACCACACAGTGTCAATAAATTCCAACCAACAGCAAAGAAACTGAATGCTTGAGGTGGCCTGGGGAAGTAGCACCATGAGCAATGCAGAAATTGTCAGGCCTTCTGAAATGCCCTGGGAGCTCCAGAGCCTCCACGTAAAAAGCCATATCTATTCAATATGAAAGCGAATACTCACTTTTCTACAGTTAGTCCCCAGAACTAGGTAAGGTTCTTTAAACCAAATAATATTTCATTTCCATTCTGAAAACTGAATCATTGGTTTTGCCTATGTAACAACCATAATCCCCCTCTTCTTGGAAAGAGTACTTCAGTCATCCTTGGGAAACTGGCCAGGAGTAGGCCCAGGACTCAGACCAGGCCAATCAAAGCCCCACAGTTCCCCCGCCCAGCAGCTACATCAGTGATATGTTAAGAATCCAGACTGGACCACCTGTAGACCCCTCTGGATGGTTCCTAAAACTTCTGGGAAACCAGCAGGGTTGCTAAGCTGCTGGAACACACCACAGGGGCAGAGTCAGAGTTTACCTATGATTGAAGCAGCCACAGAAGAAAGCAAGAAGCCAAGGAAAGGAGAAGGCACAAGACATAACAACACGTGGTCTGCACCTCTATGTCTACCTGTGCATGAAGCCATTTATTCCCTGAAATTCTCATGCTGTAACCTACAGCAATGTGTGCTTTTGATCCCTGCAACTGCAAACCCTGTGCACAAAGCACCTGAGAGAACCAGAGGTAGAAAGGCAACAACAGCCAAACAACAAAAGGACAGAGCATGGGCGCTCCCCTGAACCTCCAACAGGGCCTCAAGTAGGAGTGCAGAGACATCAGTCAGGCTCCCCCCAGCCACAGTTGACCCACAACCCAAGACTGACCAAGGAAGAACTGCATCCTCCCCAGGAGGGCTCGGCACTCCCTGTGAAGGAGGCAACCCCAACCAAAGTCTGGGATCATCTGCTCTTTTTTGAGAGTGACTCATGACGGGAACCACAAAATAACAGCTAGATCCCCATACATGCAGGGGACAAGCTGGGGGAGAATTTTCTGGTAAACTTGAAAACACAGTCAGAATTCAAATGAGAGTAGAGACTGAAAAGAGACTAAACAAAACAGCAAACAGAACAAAACTGGAAAAAAAAATTTCCAAGGCTAGGGTTATGCCCCAGGAGGCAAGAAGTATTCCATAAAAATGTGCTCTGAAGGCTTGAGATGCTGGGTGGGGAAATTCTTTCCAAATCTAGAGTTCCCCATCATGGGAGACAGAGGCTTTTCACAGTTCCAAGCAGTGCAGGTGGGCCTGTGGTGAAGGCACACATCTCTACACCCCGTGCCTCTGTGCCACCAAGGTGTGGCTGATCGTGTGCTGAGAGGAGGATGTTCACCTTTCAGCTGGGGTCTACATCAAGTCCCTAAGGAAACTATGGGGAGCAGCCATCATTGAAGATCACGCTCGGCTGTCAGGGAGCTGTCTTTCCACTCCCCTCCCCAAACCTAACAATCACAGGTCAATCAACATTGTGAAAACCCAGTCCCAATCAATAAATACGGGTGAATTAATTGACCTGAACATCTTCACCTCAGATGGTAGCTCCACCTATGTATGTCTGGCAGCCTCCTATGTTTCTACATGTACTTTATTTTTCTAAAAGCAGATGACAGAGAATGCTTGGGAAAGGGGTACACCCCACCTTTCCCACAGTGTTCCACCAGTGTGGTCCATCAACCAGATACATCAGAACTTCCTGGGAGTCTGTTCAAAAATCCAGTCATTCTGGGGGCAGAGCTGAGGGGGTGCCACTCTCTTAAGCCCCCATGGTGATTTCTAGGCATGCTGGAGTCAGTGTCATGGTGTCCACTGCAGGACACCTGAATGTGTGCAATACTCCGCAATCCTCAATTCACTGGCTTTATCTTTCCTGAGGTGCAGTCCACGAGTGAGGAAACATCTCCATCTTCCTACCGGAGAAAAGGGTACAACGATCATTACAAGGAGGCCCAGTTGGGGTAGCTGAGACCACAGACCACATGACCAAACCACACGGGCTCTCCAGAAGACAACAGGCCAGTTAGGACAATATGGACAGTGCTACATTCTTTTCAACAGTCATCATTTCAGCCAAAAGAGAAAAGACTATTATGACTCTGTTTCAGCCACGCTAGCAATAACTTAAAGCCTAATAACTGTTGCTCATCCCGTAGAGAAATGAAAAGAAAAAAATCCTTTATTTCCCTCATACCAGAAAAACAGTGAGATTCAGCCAAAAAATAAACATCTTCACTAACTGAAAGTGGGCATCTATATTCTGATGACTTCTTGTTGGTTAGAGAAATCAAATTTTATATCAGCTGGGCAGGGTGCTACACACTTGTTTCCCAGCTACTCAGAAGGCTGAGGCAGGAGGATCACTTGAGCCCAGGAGTTCAAATCTAGCCTGGACAACCTAGCAAGACCCTGTCTATAAAAATGAATAGTTTTTTTTTTAATAAAAAATTTATCAGTCTCCAAAAACTGGGCTAAAAAACCTTTATACTCATATACTTAAAGAATTTTGAAGAAAAACAAACATTTCAGACTTGACTTCTAGACAGTAGAGCAGGAAAAGGTAAACTGCCCATGTGCTTACTTGTCTCCCCTGGGACTTTCTTCTAAGGAAGAAAGATCCCTGCAGGTGTCAGTTAACCTACTGCCAAAGGGGAGCCAGGAAGGGCTGACTGCATAGGAAGAACCAACCTCTAAAAAAAAGGCTGAGCAGACCCACAGAATGGCCACTTTATTTGCAGGACGAGATGACCAGGCAGAGGCTCCTGAAGGGGAGTAGGAGGTCCACCCTCAAGAAGCCACCTAGGCAGCTTCTCCCAGGATCTGAGAGCCACTGGAACAGACACAGCAGAGCTCAAATTAGATGTCACTTGGCCTCCTAGAACTTGATATGTACTCAATTTTCTAAAAGCAGAAAGCAAGTACCAAAACATACACAAGGAATTTAATTTCTTGTTATCAACATGCCCTTATCATTTAGTCTCTGGGAGGAGCAGCCTGTGGGTGTAGAATACATGGGCAGGTGAGGAAATGCAGTCTTTTTAAAGACTGTGTGAAGAAAAGATGGGGTCTGGAGACCTGGTTTTGGCTGTTCCTGCCAATCCAGGAAAACAGGGGTATGGCAAGGAGCTGCACCTCCCCCTCAGTGTAGAGGATCAAACACTGTGACAGCACAAAGTGCAGGCAGCAACACTCCATAAAGGCAAATGAGAATTGTTGAATGCTCCCCTACCTCTCCTATTCCTCAAAGCAGTCTTACAAATGACCAAATTATGAACAGCATTCTTTTAAAAATCATGCCAAAATGCAAATAACATGATGTGGTAGTGAGAGGAGATGGGAATCCAGGGATCAGGGCCAATGCTGCGACCGCTCTGTAGCACCAAGAAGCCAGTACCCAGGGTCCTCGCTTCTAAAATGATGGAATTAAACCAGATGCTCACCCCAAATCCTTCAGTCCCAAAGGCCCCCATTCTGACCAGTGATTCAATTCCCTGCCATCTCCATGGTGTCATGAGAAACCCAAGCTTCTGATCAGCCCAGCCACAGGTCACCAACTGAGGGAGTAGAATTCCAGCCACAGCCAAGCAGCAGACGTTTTTGTTAGTCTGTGGGGCTTCATGGTGGGCAAAAAACTAGGGCTTCCCTTCAGCCTTTGGAAATGTGAAAAGCAGCCTTCAGAACCCTTCCCTCCTCTGAGGATGGCCGCTGTGACCCTTAGGCAGAGATTCCCCATTTCTCACACACTGTGGCTGTGCTAGAGAAAACACTGGCTGATGGGAGACGATGAAGCCAACCAGAGACTGGGTGCAGTGAACGGGAGCCTTTGATGGCTACTCACCCCCACCCCACAGGACAGGCCGAGCTATGGACTACCATTTGATCAGCATAATTTTCCAGCTTGAGACATCTGAAAAACATGCAGAGCTGCATGGGAAAATCTACATTCCCATGATCTCGTGTTTAATTTAGACCTGGCTGGTGGATGTGGTGGTGCTAACTGCTGGGCTGTCGCCATCTCGCGAGGAGCCTGCGAGAGTGTGGAAATAAAGGAGGGGCAGTGGATCCCCTCAGGCAGGGCCTGCTGACTTTGGGTTTCGGGCACAGTAGTGATGTAACATATTTTCTCAAAGAGAGCTCCAGATGCTGGCCAAGGAACAGGTATTTTTACACTGTGCATGTACAAGTGCAAGACCACAGCTGTGAGAAAAACAAGCGGTTTGCTCACCTCTGCCTTCCCACCTGTGCCTCCAGGAGGTCACATCTAACTCTTTCCATAGTAGCTTCAGAGGAACACGGTAGATTTCTGAACAATGCAGATTTCTGAGGGAGTTACTTGCAGGGACTGGTGGTAGTGATGGTTGATGTCCGCTGAGCCTCATCTAAGCAGCACTGCGGGATGGGCAGTGAGCCAGGATCTTAGAGACCACAAGAGCAGGCTCACCTTAGCTGAAGCTCAAAGGATGAGCTCCTTCATCCCAAAGGTGGGCTCTGGGGCAGAGCAATCCCTGAGGGTTAACTCTTTATGTGCCACCCACATGCTGCACTCTCATTTCCAGTCACTTTCCCTATGACCGGAAGTGGCTCCTGCCTTGCATTCTATGCACCTGCCATTTCCCCCACCCAGCGTCCTTCCTCTATCTGTCACTAGACTGGCTCCTTGTCACTCAGATCGCATGGCCTCCTCAGAACCCATCAGGCACTCTCTATCAACGTCACCAGCTGTCATCTGGAACAGAGCCCCTCCTCTATCTGACATTTCTTATGTGCCTGTTTATCTGTTTCTCTCCTGCCCCCACACCACCCCCCTGAGACCAAGGCCCAGCCTCTTTGCCACTGTCTAGAACAGTGCCTGGCACACACTCAGCCCTCAACAAACACCTTCCATGTGACACAGAAGCAAAAAATAAGAACACTGTTAAAGATACCCATTATCTCTCTACTCAGAGACTGCCAGAGTTCACACCTTGAGGCTGTTCTCCCAGTTCCTGTTTCCCTTTCGGTCTCCATTTCTTGAGTTAAAGGGCAAGTGCTGTATTGTCTGCCTAACAATAAACTGCCTGGGAACAGGAACAGCCCTACCAGGTGCTTAACACATGCTCCACACGAACCAGCACCTGCCGAAGCCCAGGCACCACGGGGCCTGAGAATCCACTCGATGCCCCTTACAGCTGGACTCAGGAGCGACACCAGCAGCCTGGGCAGCAGCCTAGGGCTGAAATATGTAGTTCTCACTCCGGCCACAGGGATTATGTCCTGCCTTTCCAGCTGCATGGTCCGAGGCAAGCTGAGCTTTCCTGAGCCTCTATTTCCACACCTCTCAAATAGAGGTAACAGGTGCTGCTCAGCATGGCTGTGAGGGTTGGTAAGAGTACGACTGGCAAATAAGAGGTGTCCAAATACCTGCCTCCTCTACTGTGTCCTGCCAAGGTGCAATGTCCACAGGGACATTTCTCAGCAGGTTCCTAAGGACAGCTCGGCAGGAGATGAAAGCCTACAGAGGCATCCCTATGAGAACACACTGGGTGGGAATCACCTACCAGAGGGGTGGGTGGCATTGTCCACAAGCATCTCTCTCTAGACTATACACACAACCTGTTCAAAACCATCAACAATCTTGCCTGCCCTTCTCCTCTGCAGCTGGCATTTCCAAGCAAAGTCTCAGATGTGCTCTTTGATACTAGTAACAGAACAGAATTAAAAGAGCAGTAAGAAACAGAAGGGGCTCTCTAAGAAGAGGCTAGTGAATACTAACTGAGCAGGTCACATGTGTCCACTGATGGCATCTTCATAACAATCCTATGGAGGAGTTATTCTTCTTATTCATATCTTACAGAGGAGGAAAAGTGAAGCAAAGAGAGGCTAAGTAACTGACCCAAGGCTGCACTGCCAGCAAGAGGTGGGACTAGGATTTGCTCTCAGACTCTGACTTCTGATCCCATCCTCTTAATCCCTATTCTTATTCTCATTCTTTGTAGCTTTAGACAAATTCAGTGCTCAAAATCGTAAGAACAAGAAACTTTCCTTTGCTGAATCTGCAGGCCTACAAAGGTCCCTCTTGTCTAGATGTTTGAGGCCAAAAGATGGCATGGAAACAACTGTTTTCCAGCCTCATGTTTTGTGGGCCATAATGGATCCTTTCCCCAGTCTCTCACCAAGTCAAACAAGCAGGAGCAAAGATGCTACAGCTAGAAGGGCCTTGGAAGTCAACCACGTGTAGATGCCAGGACCCAGAGCCATTCAGTGCTAAGCCAGGACAGAACCTGGCATTCCCAGCTCCCTTCAGTGCAGCCAGCAAAAGGGAAGAGGCTTTAACGCTATTCAAAGAAACTTTTACCTTGAAATGTGGAAGGTTCTACACGCTGGCAATACAATGGAGTCAGTCAGGGTGGAGGTCCAAAATAACAACACAGAGACTCTAAAACTATTCCTAAAAACGTGTTCTTCAGAACTCACATCCTCAAGAAATGATGCCTCTTTGGCTATTAACAGTGTCTTCTACTAAATCAGTCACACCGACTTTAACACCCTGAGAAACCTGCACTGTTCCTTTGAAATAGCTGTTGTCATCTGAAATACCACTCAGGAAAAAGAGTCTCTTCATGTTGAAAGGTAAACTTCCTTTTTTGGTGCAGAGTAAAAATATTACTTCCCTCTTTCCTCCTCTGCTGGAGACATTCCCAGTGTTTTATTTACTGTGCAACACTGACTGGATATATTAGGAGGAAATGTTCCTTCCCAACTCTTCAATGTCAGAGTCTACCCCACAAAAGGTATGAGCCAGCCCTAATGTTTTCTTGTTGTTCTTCTGTTTTCTTAAATGTTTTATTATGTAACATTAGGTACATATAAGAGAATATGTGCAAACCACATGTGAGGACAAATAAAATAAGTCCCCATGACTCCACAGTCCCCTCAAGGCCTGGAACATGACCACCATGTCCAGCCACCTGGCTCCCCTCACTTCCCTCTCCCCACCTCCTTGACCTCTAAGGCAAACAGCCCTGGTATTGGGTTTTCAGTCCCTCACTTTTTAAAAAAGAACATAATTGTATCACACACTAGTAAAACTGAACAGTATGCAGTCTTCCCCAGCCTGCCTGTGGCATTCTATACTGCTTCTGAGGTTCTCTCTGTTGTTATGCACAGCTAGCTGACACTCACCCACTGTCACCGCTGTGTACCATGTGATCATGCCAATATTTAACCATGTGCCTACCCGTGTTCCTGTCCATGGATATCTGGGTTATTTCCAGATTTTTGCTACTGTGAAAAGTGCTTCTATAGCCATGCATGTCTCCTGGGACACGTGGGTCAGCTTTTTCTAGAGTCTGTTCCTAGAACAGCTCATTCATAAGATATACAAACTCTGCAATATATTTTTAAAATATTTTTGCCTGATTTATAACATCGTTTTGTCATTATAAAGATGTACTAAGGCCAGGTGTGGTGGCTCACGCCTATAATCCCAACACTTCTGGGAGTGCGAGACTGAGATGGAGGATCGCCTGAGCCCAGGAGTTTGAGGCTGCAGTGAGCCATGATCATGCCACTATACTTCAGCCTGGACGACAGAGCAAGACCCTGCCTCAAAAAAAAAGATGTATTCATAGTTTAGTTGACACAGGTTTGCCAAGTATTTTTCACACACTCACTGTGTGACCAGATCCCCATGCCAGCAGCTACAGGGGATCTGAACAAGCACAGATGTGGCACCCTGTCTAGACTGGGGGAGCAACAAAACACTGCAACTGGGTGCTCCAGGCAGCTCCTGAGAAGACAAGGACAAGACTTGGGGCCATCAAGGGCACTGCAATGAAGAATGAGAGGGATGAGTGCCTGAGTATGGAAGAGGAGGCCTCTGCGGGCAGAGTGAGAACCCTCAGGGAGACACACCTGCCACTAAGGTAGCTGGGAATGCAGAGGCTGCGGCAGGCTGAGGCTGCACCAACAGGGCCTCACTAGGCACACAAGAAATCTGCACTTGCCAAATTGAGTTGTTCACCTTCAAGATTTTTGCCATCTCTTCTCAATAGTAACAATGACTAACACTTACAGAGCACCCACTATGTGCAAGCACTGTCCCGGGAATTAGCCCATTCAAATCCTTACTATAAAAGCTGATTGGCCGGACGCGGTGGCTCCTGCCTGTAATCCCGGCACTTTGGGAGGCTGAGGTGGGTGGATCACGAGGTCAGGAGTTCGAGACCAGCCTGACCAACATGGTGAAACCCCATCTCTATTAAAAATACAAAAATTAGCCGGGTGTGGTAATGCGCACCTGTAATCCCAGCTACTCAGGAGGCTAAGGCAGGAGAATCGCTTGAACCCGGGAGGCAGAGGTTGCAGTGAGCTGAGATTGTGCCATTGCATTCCAGCCTGGGCGACAGAGTGGAACTCTGTCTTTTTTTAAAAAAAAAAAAAAAGCTGCTCTACTGCTTGCTTCATATTTTTCTTCACATCAACTTACTTTTAAATTCAAATACTCACTTTAAGTAACATATACGAAGTCAGGTATTACTGCTATGGCATATGGGGGGATCTTTTTGTTTTGTTTCTATTGAGATATAATTCACATAGCATTAAATTCACTATTTTAAAGTATACGATTCAACGGGGTTTTTTTTTAGTATATTCACAATGTTGTGCAATCATCACTATTTCACTATTATTCCAAAACATTTTCAACACTCCAAAATTAAGCCCAACATCCATTAGTGGTCACCACACACGTCCTCACTCCCAGCCCCTGGCAATGACAAATCTACTCCCTATGGATTTCCCTATTCTGGACATTTCACACAAATGAAATAATATGTGAACATTTAGGCCGGGCGCAGTGGCTCACGCCTGTCATCCCAGCACTTTGGGAGGCCGAGGCAGGCGGATCACAAGGTCAGGAGATCGAGACCATCCTGGCTAACACGGGGAAACCCCGTCTCTACTAAAAATACAAAAAATTAGCCAGGCGTGGTGGCTATCTCGATCTCCTGACCTCGTGATCCGTCTGCCTCAGCCTCCCAAAGTGCTGGGATTACAGGCCTGAGCCACCGTGCCCGGCAGGTTCAGTGTTTTCAAGGTTCATCCGTGTTGCATTATGTACCAGTATTCTATTACTTTTTATGGCTAAATAATGTTCCTTTGTAAAGATGGACCACATTTTGTTTACCCATTCATCAGTTGATGGACATTTGGGTTGTTACTAATTTTTTTGGCTATCATGCCATGAAGAATATTCATATATTCATATTCATAATGCTGAGATGGCCGGGCGTGGTGGCTTATGCCTGTAATCCCAGCACTTTGGGAGGCCGAGGCGGGCAGATCACGAGGTGAGGAGATCGAAACCATCCTGGCTAACACAGTGAAACCCCACCTCTACTAAAAATACAAAAAATTAGCCAGGCGTGGTAGCGGGCGCCTGTAGTCTCAGCTACTCCGGAGGCTGAGGCAGGAGAATGGCACGAACCCGGGAGGCGGAGCTTGCAGTGGGCCAAGATCGCGCCACTGCACTCCAGCCTGGGCGACAGAGCGAGACTCCGTCTCAAAAAAAAAAAAAAATAAAATAAATAATAATGTTGAGATGGACATCTATGGGGTGTTTGTGTGGACAAGTTTTCAGTTCTCCTGGGTATATACTGAGGAGTGAAGCTGCTGGGTCATATGGTAACTACACGTTTAACTTTTGAGGAACTGCCAAAATACTATGGCATTTCTAAGACAAAGATTAAAACTAAGAACATTCAACTGTATGCCACTTAAAATTATGTTGGGAAATACTGGGGAAGGCAAAGCTACTAAGGTTGATTTTTTATTTTTGTTTGGAGCAGGGAACTCACGTCTTCAGGATGGTATTTCTGAATCTTGATCAAGCAGCAGTGGGAGAAAGGATTAGGGCAGAGGCGGAAGTAGGAAGACAGAAAGACGACTGAGAAGCCACACAACACAATGAGCAGAGTCCAGAGCCTGAATCCAGCTGCGGGGGAATGGGAAAGGAAGGTGATGGACATAAACAGAGTGGAAACATGAACCCTGATGACCAAATGTCAGTGTGGGTGGGGTAGAAGGGGTGGAATAGCCAGGAGGACGGAGTCACCCTTAACAGAAAGGGAAGGTGGAGAGGTTCCAGACGAAGGCAGGAGGCAGCATACTTAGTTTTATTTCAAACAAACATGGCTGGAGGTGCTGGCAGGACAGGCCTGGAGGAGAATGAAAATGGCCTAGTGGAGCTGGTGCCCAGGACCAGGGCACAGGAGGGGCACTGTGGCCAACATGTTCATCTCAGAGGAGCAGGTGAGAGGCATAAGGGAGAGAGAGAGAGCAGAGGAAGATGGGGACAAGAATGCAATTAAGGAGGAGGCAAGTAGACATCGGCCAAGTCCAAGAAAGGGCCAAGAGCAGGGCAGGGACACAAGAGAACCATCCAGTGCCAGGGAAGCAGAGAATGAAGAGATCATGCCTTTCTGCCCCATGCAGAGCAGTGCATGCTTGGGAAGTGTCTTCACCTTCTAATGACCACCAACGAATAGTTCAGACACCTTTGTGTGAGACCGCATGTAACTTCCTAGACGTTCTTTTTTTTTTTTTTCCTGAGAAAGGGTCTCACTGTCACCCAAGATGGAGTACAGTAGCACAATCATAGCTGATTACAGCCTGGACCTCCCAGGCACAAGTGATTCTCTTACCTCAGTCTCCTAAGTACAGGTGTGCACCATCAAGCCCAGCTTATTATTTTTTGTAGAGATGGGGTTTCCCTATGTTGGCCAGGCTGGTCTCGAACTCCTGGGCTCAAGCAATCCTCCTGTCTCGGCATCCCAAAGTGCTGAGATTGTAAGTGTGAGCCACCATGCCTGGCCACCGGACCTTCTTGGTCACTGGTACACACCTCTGCACCATGCCACCTTCCCCTCCAGTTTCAGGACAAAACCGAACCTATCATCCCCAGCTCCACACCTGCCCCCTTCTCCTTCCCTCCAGGGATGCTCTGCCCAGGATCCACCACCTGCTGCCCAGCTGACTGAGCCAGAGGCCTTGGAGCTCGCCTGGGCTTCCGGCTTTCCCTCCACCCTCCTTCCTTCCTCCCACGACCTCTGGACTGCAGGCTCTCAAGGGACAGAGACCCCGACTGTCTCCTTGATGCTGCATGCTGGGCCTGGCACAGTGCCTGGCACACATCTGCTGCAAGAATGAATGACTCTACAGGGCACCGAGTCCAGCCCCACCTGCTCACACACTCCCCCCTTTCTCTCTCCCTTCCTCCAAGCTCTCTGATCCTCTCTACACCCTTACCAAACCACAAATGCCCTCACTGAACATAAAACATGGCCTATGAATATTGGTAAGTTTTAAAATAACTACCTGGCAGAATGAAAAGATCACTGCTCTACCCAGCACCTTTTAGTCACCTCACTGAATCTCAGTTTAGTTTCCTCATTTGTAAAATGGAAATGGCAGCCAGCGAGAATCAGCAAGATAAGGAACATGAGAGAGCTGTAGGAAATAAGGCTGCACTTTCTGCTTCACTACAGGTTTCCCCACATGCCTCACATGCTTTTGACGGGCCCTCTTCAGGTCCCACTGGTCCTTTGACCATGCCTCTCAAAGAAAAACAAAAATGGGAGCAAGCTGACATCCCAACAGGAGGGGAATTTTTTAGTTTACTTCGCACTAAATTTAACAGCATAAACAAACTGGAGTTCGCAAACCATATAATTTTTATAATTCCTAAAAGATTAGAAGTATGCTACCAAATGTCAAAACACAAAACCAAAAGGAAATCAAAGTTGTTATTTTCCTTTTGGTTTTATCTCCATTGGCCAAATGCTTTTTGTTCAAACAATGTTTACACTGCCATTGTCCTGCTTTGTTTAGAAAAATAATAATAAAGGGGCGCGTTTCCAGCACTGACAACTGGGTGCGTGTGCAGATCTGCCCAGCTGCTCCTAAACTCAGAAATCGCTCTACTTTAGAAACTTGTGCCGAGAGGCCAAGGAAGAACTGTTTACTTGCCCTCCAAATATACACTGGCTACATCCATGCCCCTAACCCCCCTTCTCGCTCCAGCCCCCCTCTTTCCTTCAGCCACCACAGGGAGGACCAGGCCAAGAAAACAGGGATGTTCTTCAGCATATTTATGCCTCACAAGGAAAACATAAGCCCAAGGCCTCAGGAAGGCCAGGTCTGGTGACTCAGTGACTGCAGACTCAGCTGCTGCTGGTCAAATGCACCAAGGTGACAGCTATAATTTACTGAATGCCTACCATGTGCCAGGCACTGACCCAGGGGTTTCATGGCACTGATCTTGCTGCACTTTTGCAAGGCAGGCATTACACAAGAGAGAGGATAACATACAGCAAATCACAGAACTGGGATGAAGCTCTCAGCCACAATGCCTCCTGTGAAACTCAGAAGTGCTCAATCCTAAACCTCCATTCTACTTATATTACTTCTATGTGGTTGCCCTTCTCTGTTCCAATATCATCATACCCATCTAAGACGCTCCTTGGAAGATGTGAGGTTTTTCCACCAACCAGCTTTCAAGGCCAACCCACGTAATTTCTATCCTGGAACTCCCTCCTTACTAGTGAACGCTTTCCGGAATGACTTGTCCAAACAAAACCACTCTCATGGGCCCCAGGGATGGGCCCCACTTCTCTTCTCTTCTAAAGTACTGATCCTAGTCACCAAGTATTTCCAGTTCACCCACTTCTAGGCCTATGACAGAAGTGCATTTTCCCACCTCCTCTGAAGTCAGCCATGGCACGGCAATGAGATGAGATAGAAATGATGTGTGTCACTCTCTGCTGAACAGTAAAAGGCAGGTGCCACATTCCCTGCGGTGGTGACAGTGGGTGCCTATGTCAGGATGGAGCCTCCTTATCTATCCAGAGACAGGAAAGCATGTCTACACAGGGACTCATGTACCATGTTCACAGCTGTGTTACTCACGACTGCCAAAGACTGGAAACAACTTTGTCCAATTGATGAACAGATCAACAACATGTGATCTATCCACACAATGGAATATTATTCAGCCTTAAAAAGGAAGTTCTGGCCCATTCTACCATATGGATGAACCTCGACAACATTACACTGAATGTAAGAAGCCAAACACAAAAGCCCACACACTGTATGACTCCATTTATGTGGAATGTCCAGAACAGGCAAATCCACAGAGACAGAAAGCAGACTGATAGTTGCCAGGGGCTGGAGAGAATGGGAGGGGAAATGACTGCTTAATGGGTACAGGGTTGCTTTTGGGGGTAATAAAATGTTCTAAAATAAGATTATGCTGATGGTGAACTTTATTGCAGTTGCCAGGGGCTGGAGAGAATGGGAGGGGAAATGACTGCTTAATGGGTACAGGGTTGCTTTTGGGGGTAATAAAATGTTCTAAAATAAGATTATGCTGATGGTGAACTTTATTGCATGGCAAATAAATTATGCATCAATAAAACTGTTTTTGTTTTGTTTTGTTTTGTTTTTGAGATGGAGTTTTAACGCTCCTGTTGCCCAGGCTGGAGTGCAGTGGTGTGATCTCGGCTCACGGCAACCTCCGCCTCCTGGGTCCAAGCGATTCTCCTGCCTCAGCCTCCTAAGTAGCTGGGATTACAGGCATGTGCCACTACACCCAGCTAATTTTGTATTTTTAGTAGAGACAGGGTTTCTCCATGTTGGTCAGGCTGGTCTTGAACTCCCGACCTCAGGTGGTCCGCCCGCCTTGGCCTCCCAAAGTGCTGGGATTGCAGGCATGAGCCACTGCACCTGGCCTGTTTTTTTTTAGATGGAGTCTTGCTCTGTTGCTCAGGCTGGAGTGCAGTGGCACAATCTCAGCTCATTGCAACCTCTGCCTCCTGGGTTCAAGCAATTCTCCTGCCTCAGCCTCCCAAGTAGCTGGGACTACAGGGATGCGCCACCATGCCTGGCTGATTTTTGTATTTTTAGTAGAGATGGGTTTCACCACGTTGGCCAGGCTGGTCTCGAACTCCTGACCTCAAGTGATACACCCACCTTGGCCTCCCAAAGTCCTGGGATTACAGGTGTGAGCCACCACTCCCAGCCAATAAAACTGTTAACAAAACAAAATAAGACAAAACAAAAAGCTTGTGCCACCATCATCCTAGGTTCATGAGTGACTATGAGTGAAGTCTCCTGACTACATACACTGGACATGCCCCATGAAAAAGAAATGAGCCTCTGCTGTTAGGCCACTGAGGTGAGAGGGTTGGCTGTTCTCACATCATGTAGCCCATCCTGATACACCTCAAACACATCCACGCTATCATAAGTTCATACCGAAAATGTGTCTAAGGCCAATTAACTTAAATCCTGGAAGGAAGCCAAAGGTGTGGTTCTGTCCCAAAGCCACTGTCCAAATCTTCAAACATAAGGAGATGGGGCAGAGGGAAGGGGAGGAATAGAATTATTTAAAGACTCTGCCTAGATCAGAATAATTCCTAGCCTGAAAAAAATTTATAACTCATAAGACAATGAACTAACCTTCCAAAAATATAAAAAACACCTTCAGAAATTGAGAAAAAACCAATAACCCAAGAGAAAAATCGAAGAACTGTCCACAGAAAACTATAAATGGTCCTTAAACATATGACAACATGATCAGCTCCTCTTCAGAAAAATACAAATTAAAACTATACTGAGATATTATTTACAAGTGTCAGGCTGGCAGAACTCCAAGCATTTGACTACACCTTGTGTTGACGAGTCAGTGGGGAATCAGGCATCAACACCGCCAGTGGGAGTGCAACATGGAACAAGCCCTGTAGAGGGCAACTGGGCAAAATCTGTCAAAATTACAACTGTGTTTCCTCTTTGACTCAGCAATGTGCCTGCGGGATGCCACCCTGCAGGACCACTGCAATGTGGGAAACGATGTGCACGTGAGACAACTGTCGCCGGCATGTCATGAAACAAGCTGGAAACAGCCAGGTGCCTTTCCTCAGGGGTGAGTATTCAAACAGGGACAACTTCACAGTGCAACACAGCTGAAAGAGAATGACAACCATTCTCCATGCACTGATATGGAAAAATCTCTACAATAAGTTAAAAAAAGCACAAGATGAAGAACAGTACACACAGAATGCTATCTTTCATTTACTGAAAAGGGAGAAATAATAATACACAATTTGTGTTTGCTGTACTTGCATTAAGAAAAACTAGAAGGGTATTCAAACTGCTACAGGTGGTTACCAGGGAGGAGGGAGGACAGAGATGAGATCAGGAGTGAGGGGCAAAATTTCTTAAAATATATTTTAATATATTTTCATTTTAGAAACGTGACTGTATTGCCTATTCAAAAGAGCATTTCATTAAAAAAAAAAAAAGTTCCATTCTCAAAAAAAAGAAAAAATACCAGAGCCACATCAAAGCCTTTGGCCAACAGGTCTCAGATGCCAGGGCCAAGAGCAGCCCAGGAGTGACCACCAGCCCAGGTCCACCTGTGTCCTTCCGCCACCAACCCGTGTAAGAGCCCATTACCAAGACCTGTGAAGCTGGAGGGCAGGGACCCTGCACCGTCCCGCGTCTGTCCCTTCCTTTCTGTGACTCTCTTCCAGGCCCCTCCAGCTTCACATTTGGAAGGCTATAAATGGCCTTTAATGCTTCCCCCACTGTCAATGCCCCCATCCAGCCTGCTATCCACTCAGTCTGGGTTTCCTTCCTCCTGGCCCTCTCCCATGGGCTGTCCAAAGCATCGTGCACAAATCCAGCACAGCCCTGTGTCCCTCCCATCATAAGGTAGCAGATTCAAGAAGGGAAGAACCAGAGCTCCTGGCATCCACTTGTGCAGCAAGTCCTTCCTCAGCTTCTGCTTTCCTGCTACCTGCCAGGCACTGGGCTGGTGCTGAAGGATGGAGGTCAACCTGACACAGTCCCTGTCTGCAGAGAGCTCCAGTGGCACAGTCCACAGGGAGTGTGGAAACATAATCCTACAGTGGAAGTCTAAAGGGCACAGGACAGCAGACTGGGCTTTTAGGCCAGCCATGGAGTGTGCAAGGGGGCAGACGAGGTGGGTATGCAACAGGCAAAGCACATTCCAAGCAAAATGAGGAAAAGCAAGTGAAGAAACGCCACAGGCCAAAGCAGTAAGGCAGAATACCCATGGTAAAGATAAAGAAGTCCGTCCCTTCCTCCGGGCATTTAGGAGCGAGGGGTCGCTCTCTCAAGGCCCATCTGCGAACAAAGTCCCATCCACCTTGCTCTAGGCACCCTTGGCCTTTTCCCTGGAACTAGGCAAGCCTGGCCTTCATTTAATCAGGGAACAGGGAGAGTGTAAAAGAGAAAAAAACAAAAACTGCAAGCAAAGATCAAAAGTTTTGACCCCTAAAGACCCAATACTCAGCCGGGCGCTGTGGCTCATGCCTGTAAACCCAGCACTTTGGGAGGCCGAGGCGGGCAGATCACAAGGTCAGGAGATTGAGACCATCCTGGCTAACACGGTGAAACCCCGTCTCTACTAAAAATACAAAAAGTTAGCCAGGCGTGGTGGCAGGCGCCTGTAGTGCCAGCTACTCAGGAGGCTGAGGCAGGAAAATGGTGTGAACCCGGGAGGTGGAGCTTGCAGTGAGCCGAGATCGTGCCACTGCACTCCAGCCTGGGTGACAGAATGAGACTCCATCTCAAAAAAAAAAAAAAAAAAAAAAGACCCAACACTCAAAAGATGCCAGATCAATAACCTACGACTCTCACATTTGACAAAAACAGCAGCAAAACCATGTTTCCCTATCACCAAAAGGAGAAACACCTGAAGCTAATGGATTCCAAATTGTATTTCCATAAGCCTTATAGGGCGGTTTTCAAAAAATCACAAATTTCCAAGACTTGATTCAGCAGCCGCTATGTTATATAATGAATTTTTTTCTTTGAAGGCAGATAATATTTGTTTCCCCATTCCAAATTATAAACTGATTTTTTCTTCCAAATGGAAAAAAGATTCCTTCACAGTAGCCTTTTAATTCTATCAAATGGATTTCTTAAATATCCACCAGTTGGTAATATGATGTGGCACACACATAGACTTCCAATGTGTATGGGCCACACACGTGGTGGGCCGTCGGCTAGACTCATTGACACAGCGGTCTCACCCCTGTGGCTGCACTCTTGTGGGAAGGCTGGGGTTGGCTCTGTGACCAGTCAGGTGGGCCTAACACCAGTGGGCAGGGAACCAGAGACCTTTCCCTGTGTGGGAACCCTGCTCACAGGGTCTCACAAACCGCGCTGTCCACACGCAGCATCGACGCCAAGGGCCCCCAGAAGGAAATTACTAGACACTGGCTAGACCCACAGCCTGGACTAGCTCTCTAGGTTAAATCACAGTTAGCTGCTGAGTCTCAGGCAAACACATTTCCTGAGGAATTGGCCTGTTTTCCCTTCTGAAAACTCCTGAAAAGAGAGGCAATAAACTGTGTGGAAAGAATATGCTGACACCCACTGCCAATTTCCCATTGTCAACCCAACCCAACCCAACGTCACCAAACGGAGAAGAATATGCTTAGAAACAACCAGATAGCTGCTGACAGGAATGCGACTCTCACCCAGGAAGGCAGAGTCTTAAAAGACAGAATCAAAGCACGCTGGCATTGGGAAGGACCTGGCGACCACTTAGTCCCACTCTCTCATTTATATCATAGATGGGGAGACTGAAGCCCAGAGAGCAGTAAGTGTTTCTGCCCCATTCTGGAAGCCTCTGAAGTGCACACAGGGCTAGCAGTTTTTGGTCCCATTGTCCAGCACTGAAATCATCTTCCTCACCAGACCAATTTTCTCCTCCACACTGTCTCAGCATCAGCATCAGCACCAGCACCAGCAGCCACCTGAGTCAGTGCTTATTCCTCTTCCCTCACCCACATCTAACTGGTTAACACGCCCTATAAGTCCAGCAAAGCCTCTCCCCTACTAGACAGCTCCCTCCTGGCCTCCCAAACCTCTGACGGGCTGCGGGACACCTACCACCTGGAACATGGGAGACTGGGACCAAAAGCTTCCTTGAATAGAAAACAAATCACAGGGGGCAGCTGACCTCTTCCCAGTATAGCCAGTCAAGGGAAAGCTCTGAGCCATCCCATGATGGCTACAGAGGTCATAAAGACCCCTGAGGACTAAACAAACACAATTTACCTAGAGAAAATAAACCGGGCTGGGTGTGGTGGCTCACACCTGTAATCCCAGCACTTTGGGAGGCCAAGGCGGGTGGATCACCTGAAGTCAAGAATTTGAGACCAGCCTGGTC
Organism: Homo sapiens; assembly: GCF_000001405.40. Classification (NCBI taxonomy): domain Eukaryota; kingdom Metazoa; phylum Chordata; class Mammalia; order Primates; family Hominidae; genus Homo; species Homo sapiens. The sequence continues at coordinate 19,257,722 of NC_000017.11, read as the reverse complement.
AACATGCAAAAACCTGTCTCTACTAAAAATACAAAACATTAGCCAGGCATGGTGGCACATGCCTGTAGTCCCAGCTACTCGGGAGGTGGAGGCAGGAGAATCACTTGAACCCGGGAGGCGGCAGTTGCAGTGAGCCAAGATGGCACCATTGCATTCCAGCCTGGGTGACAGCAAGACCCCGTGTCAAAAAAAAAAAAAAGAGAGAGAGAGAGAGAAAATAAATCAAAATATTAACATTGATTACAGACCGAACTAGGACTTGACGTATAGGTCCTAAGGCTATAGGTCAAGTGCTAGTTTGGTCCATCCTACTTAGGCATACTTTCCGAATTTTCTCTGATGACCATTAAAACAGGCATTCCAAACAATCTCCATGGGACCTAGCACAAAAAAGAAACACAGCCTGCAAACACCATGTGGCATATATTCTGTTTTGGTAGACCTGACTTTTACACAGTCTTTGGAAACTACTGATTACCAGAGGGCAAAGGCAAAGAAGGGGGAAAAAGCAAGATTTTTGTTCAAAGACAAAATAGCTAAATGAAAATCTAGGGGGTTTTTTGGAGGGGGAAGGGAGAAATTAGGGTTTCATTTGCTTAAAGAAACATTTTTCTTCAAATGTTAAAATCTACCCAACACTTTGCAGTCAGATTACATAGTAATTTCTTGTGCGACTTGCTATTTTCTTCTACCAGTATTCTTTTAAATCAAGAAAGTCTGTGTTTTCTTTTGTAATTTCTTGTTTCTCTTTAAAGCAGGGACAGTGGGAATTTTTTTCTTTTTTAAAGCACAGGAAGGACCAGATTAGTTGCAAAGACCATGTTTTAAATGTTCTCTTTATTTGTCAAGTCTTCTCTGCAATCACATTATACAGCAAATAGGTATTAAGCACAAATCAGGCTCCAAGTGTGGGACTTGGGTCCTGAAAGGCCCAGAAGACCCTGTTACAAAGCTGTGCCACCATTAGACAGGCCCATGGACTTCACAGCTAAATTTTAAGTCACTCAGCTCCAGGAGCTGAGTCTCTCTCCTGTGGTTCTAGACAAGGAGAGGAGCCCCTCAGAGCTTTCCCACGGGGTGCCACCAGCCGAAAACCACTGGACGCTATATAATCCCCTTTACGAGGCTTCTCTGAGCTCATACCACTGGCCTTTGGTCCCTCTATCCTCCCAGACTCCATCCTTTTTGATTACTTATCCCTGCCTTGATGCTAAAAAGACATGAAATGGCCTAAAGCAGCAGTTCTCAAACCTGGCCACACATCCAAATTGTTAAGGAACTTTTTTTTTTTTTTTTTTTTTTTGAGACAGGGTCCTGCTATGTTGCCCAGACTGGCCTCAAACTTCTGGTCTCAAGCAATTCTCCCCTCTCAGCCTCCTGAGTAGCTGGGATAATGGGTGCAAGCCATCACGCCCAGCTTTTGGAGAATTTTGGAAACATTTTTGCTCAGGCCCCATCCCAGAACAATTACAACAGGAAGGACTGGGGCCAGGCGCGGTGGCTCATGCCTGTAATCCCAGCACTTTGGGAGGCCAAGGTGGGCAAATCACGAGGTCAGGAGATCGCGACCATCCTGGCTAACATGGTGAAACCCCGTCTCTACTAAAAATACAAAAAATTAGCCGGGCGTGGTGGCGGGCACCTGTAGTCCCAGCTACTCGGGAGGCTGAGGCAGGAGAATGGTATGAACCCAGGAGGCAGAGCTTGCAGTGAGCTGAGATCGCGCCCCTGCACTCCAGCCTGGGTAACAGACCAAGACTCCGTCTCAAAAAAAATAAATAAAAAATAAAAAACAGGAGGGATTGGGTTTGGTGACTCATGTCTGTAATACCAACACTTTGGGGGGCCGAGACAGAAGGATTGCTTAAAGCTAGGAGTTCAAGATCAGCCTGGGCAACAAAATGAGACCCTGTCTCTACAAATAAATAAATAATTAGCCACATGTGGTTGAATATGCCTGTAATCCCAACTACTCAGGAGGCTGAGGAGGGAAGACTGTTTGAGCCCAGGAGCTAGAGGCTACAGTGAGCTATGAGTGAGCCACCACACTCCAGCTGGGCAACAGAGCAAGACTCTTTGTCTCAAAAAAAATCAATCCAATCTATCAAACATAAGGGATGGGGGCCAAGCACTGGCACTTAAAAAAAAAAAAAAAAAAAAAACTCTCCCCAGAGGATGCTGATTAAGGTACAGTCAAAGTTGAGACTCACTGGGTTAAAGAAATCCAGAGAACACAAGAAAATAAATAAATAAATAAATAAATAAATAAATAAATAAATAAATAAAGTAAATGAAGAAACTCAAGCAATAAGGAAATAGGGGGTGGAGGAGTTGAGCCAGAAGGCCAGGTTAGAACCCAAAGTGCAGGTCACATTACAGCTAGGAAATGATGGCTCTGAACTGAGCTTCCTAGTGGCCAGAGAATTCACACTCTCCACAAGATAAAAAACAAACCAGATTCACTACAGAAGATTCTCCTTGTCCTGGGACCTGAGATAAATGCCTCCCTCACACCCTCCAAAAGAAGACATACAGCATGATGCGGCGGAGTATGCACCCCAACGCTGTGACCACATCCACCAAAGACGTGACACAGGCTACTTCTTACTGCATCTCTCAAAGCACAGTTCCACAGAAGTAGCCCTTGAGAAGGGTGCCCACCAGTCAGCACTTGGCCACTCATTAGAGGCTGCCCTCTAACTCCTAGCTGGAAACAAACTCTTAGCTGAAACCAATGCCCTGCACATGAAACACACCACCAAATCCACTTCACTTTCCACACTGACAACCATGCCATCACAACAATGCAAACGTAAGACAAAGGCACAGACTCTTTGCCTATGTCGCTGAGGTACATAAACAAAGACACAGACTTGGTATCCAGGAAAACAAGCTCCTTTGTCAATGACTCTCATGAAAACAGAAGTCTGTCCCTGTAACTCAGGAGTGGGGAAAAGTCCCAGAGGCTGTTGATCACCCACCTCCATTCCAGTGCTCAGAAAGGCCACTACTCATCCTCAAACCTCAAGACTAAGAAGGGTGGGGTTTGCCCATCAGACTACCAGTCTGTTAAGCAGGACTAATGGTCACCAGAAACAATCAGAAGAGGCCTCTAAGTCCCTTACATACTAACATTATATATAGTACAGTTTTCTGTTTTTGTTTTTGTTTTTGTTTTTTTTGAGACAGAGTCTCGCTCTGTCCCCCAAGATGGAGTGCGGTGGTGCGATCTTAGCTCACTGCAACCTCTGCCTCCTGGGTTCGAGGGATTCTCCTGCCTCAGCCTCCCGAGTAGCTGAGATTACAAGCATGCATCACCACGCCTGGCTAATTTTTGTATTTTTAGTAGAGACAGGTTTCACCATGTTGGCTAGGCTGGTCTGGAACTCCTGACCTCAAGTAATCCACCGGCCTTGGCCTCCCAAAGTGCTGGGATTACAGGCGTGAGCTCTGTTACATTTACTATACTTCAGTTATAAGTTCTCCTTCCTTCCTTTCCTTTCCTTTTTCCTTTCCTTCCTTTCCTTCCCTCCCTCCCTCCCTTCTTTCTTTTTTTCTTTCTTTCTCTTTCTCTCTCTCTCTCTTTCTTTTTAGACAGATTCTTGCTCTGTCGCCCAGGCTGGAGTACGGTGGCGTGATCATGGCTCACTGCTACCTCCGCCTCCTGGGTTCAAGTGATTCTCCTGCCTCAGCCTCCTGAGTAGCTGGGACCACAGATGTGCACCACCACACCTGGCTAATTTTGTATTTTCAGTAGAGACAGGGTTTTCACCATGTTGGCCAAGCTGGTCTCAAACTCCTGACCTCAAGTGATCCTGCCTCAGTCTCCCAAAGTGCTGGTATTACATGTATGAGCCACCACGACTGTTATAAGTTCTTTCAAAATGTGTTTATTGCAATAAATAGAGTCAAGAGCAGATCACTGTCTTGCCCTCTCACATGTGACATTTTCTTTTTGATCCAGGCAGCACATCACCATATTTCAAATTAAGCAATGACAAGTTAAATTAAAATGGCAACTATTGGCCAGGCACAGTGGCTCACACCTATAATCCCAACACTGTGGGAGGCTGAGGCAGGCGGATCACCTGAACCTAGAAGTTCGAGACCAGCCTGGGCAACACTGAAACATTGTCTCTACAAAAAATACAACAATTAGCCAGGCCTGTAGCCCCAGCTACTCAGGAGGCTGAGGTGGGAAGATCCCTTGAGCCCAGGAAGTCAAGGCTGCAGTGAGCCATGGTCACACCACTGCACTCCAGCCTGGGTGACAGAGTGAGACCCTGTATCAAAAAAAAAAAAAAAAAAAAAAGCAACTATTTACAATAGCCAAATGTGGAAACAACCCAAGTGTCCACCACTAAATAAATAAATTGTGGTATATCCATACAATGGAATATTATTTGGTCATAAAAAGGAATCAAGTTTGGATCCATGCTACAACATGGATGAACTTGGAAAACATACTAGGTGAAGGAAGCCAATACAAAAAGCCAGATATTGTATAACTGCATTTATATGAAATGTCCAGAATAGGCAAACCCCATAGAGACAGAAAGTAGGTTAACGGATACCAGGGGCTGGGGAAATTGAGGAGCAACTACCTAATGAGTATGGATTTTCTTTTGGAGTGATGAAAAAGTTCTGAAACTAGATAGTGGCACAACACTATAAATGTACCACATGCCACAGAATTGTTCACTTTTAAATCCTTAACATGGTGACTGGGTGTGGTGGCTCATGCCTATAACCCCAGCACTTTGGGAGGCCAACACAGGCAGGCAGATCTCTTGCACTCAGGAGTTCAAGACCAGTCTGGAGCAGGGAAACATGGTGAAACCCCATCTCTAAAAAAAATACAAAAAATTTGCCGGCGATGGTGACACGCACCTGTAGCCCCAGCTGCTCAGGAGGCTGAGGTGGGAGGATGGCTTGAGCCCAGGAGGCGGAGGTTGCGGTGAGCAGAGATCACACCACTGTACTCCAATCTGGGGCCAGAGCAAGACCCTATCTCAGTCAATCAATCAAGATTTTGTGTAAATATAATCATTATTCCACAATTTTAAAAAATCAGCTTCAAACACAGAAATATGAAAATCAGAATTAGGAAGGCTGGTGGTCAGTCTTCACTTAAAAATAAGTTTATAAAGAGTCCATTATCTGTTAGAGATATGTATTGAAGCATTTTCCAATAAAGTGAATACTGGGATTTGCTTTAAAATCATCTGAGGTAGGGGGAGCCTAGAATTAACTGTTAAAGCTAAGTGATGGGAGTTCACTAAATTATTCTATTTTTCTGTTTGAAATCCTCCATCATGAAATGTTTCATTTTGTTTTTAAGTAAGTTTCCAAAGATCTTTATCATTAATATACTCTGTAGATAAAATGACAGGCTGCCCTTAAGCTGTCAAACTCTGGTGGCTCAACCAGGTATGCTCCACACTGAGCCCAACAGTGTAGACTCACTCAATGCAGGCCCCTTCACAGAAGGCACACAAAAGGCCCCTCAGAAAACAATCAGAGCCCCAGTTCAGACCACCAGGCAGCAGTGCAGGGAGCTGTGCGGCCTAGTCTCTCTCACATTAGGTATCCCTAATGTGAAAATCCAAAATCCAAAATGTTCCAAAATCAGAAACTTCTTGAGCAGCAGCAACATGATACCACAAGTGGAAAACTCCACACCTGACTTCATGCAACGGGGTCACAATCAAAATGCAGTCAAATCTTTGTTTTGTACACAAACTTATTTAAAATATTATATAAAATTATCTTCAAGCTATGGGTGTAAGGTATACACAAAACATAAATGAATTTCACGTTTAGACTTGGGTTCCATCCCCAAGATATCTCATTATGCATATGCAAACACTGAAAAATCCAAAAAAGTCTACTATCTAAAAGATTTCTAGTCCCAAGCAGTTCAGACAAGGGATACTCAACCTGTATGATATCCAAGCTTCCAAGTTGCCTGCTCAACACTCAACTACCTGGCCGGGTGCAGTGGCTCACGCCTGTAATCCCAACACTTTGGGAAGCCAAGGTGGGCAGATCACCTGAGGTCAGCAGTTCAAAACCAGCCTGGCCAATATGGTGAAACCCTGTCTCTACTAAAAATACAAAAATTAGCCAGGAGTGGCGGCGTGCACCTCTAATCCCAGCTACTCAGGAGGCTGAGGCAAGAGGATCGCTTGAACCTGGGAGGCAGAGGTTGCAGTGAGCTGAGATTACACAACTGCACTTCTCAAAAAAAAAAAATTCAACTACAAGCTGGGGGTCCAGGCGATGTCTGCAAACTCAGGGATCTTCCACTGAAACGCTTTTAACAGAGCCCCACAAACAACCCCACCCAACACACAGTGCAAAGAGAGCTCACCTCCAGGCTTGGGAGCTGAAGGAAGCAAGATCCTGCCTCTCCAGATGCAGTAAGAAGCTGACACTGTGATTGCCTATCCATTTGTTTCCCCTATCCCTCTTCTAGAACTAGAGGTAGGGCAGGAGTCCCCATGGCATTCCCAATGTCTAGGAGAGTGCAAGGCACACAGATGTTCAACTACATGCTTGTTGTGTGATCCTGGTTTTTAATGGATATTGCTCTAAAGGTACACTATAAAGACTTGCTTTTCACAAACACCAATGCAAGACATAAAAGGGAAGGCATCAGAATGTACTAGTGTTGGGTGCCAGAAAAGGAGGGGACAAGAGACAAGGAATCATGGCACAAACAATCCCACCTAAAATAGCACCAGAGATGCTGCAGAATGTAGAGCCCTGGGTCAGAGAGAGAAGGGCACAGAGAGGAGGAGGGACAGTGTGTGCCAGGCAGAGGCAGAAGAGGCTTCAGGGAAAGGGTATAGAGGCAGTAAGTGAGGGGGGAGGTGCAGGGGGGCAAGTAGCAGGGTATGAACAGAAAGGTAGACAAACTCAGCCACCCTGCGTTGGGGATTCTGCCCTGACTGGACTCTGTGTAAGCCCCTGTGTCCCCAGAGCAGGGACCAGACAACCAGGGGAAATAAGCAGGCACCATGTGGAGGGTGGAAGTCTGTGGAGAACTGGCACCCGCAAGCCCCAACTAGAGATGGCGCCGACACTGGCTCTGACCCACTGTTACCAGGCAACAGTACAGGCCCCAGGCTGCCAAGTGTTCTGATTTGTCAATGAAGCTGCAAGACTAGGAGGCTATGTAAGATCTCCTGTTTTTAATATTGGCAACTATGACCAACAAATAGTGGCCTCCCAAAGATAACCACATCTTAACCTCAGAACCTGTGAATATGTTAGGTTTTGTGGCAAAGGAGAATTAAGGTAGCAGTTAGAATTTAAGTTTCTAGGCAGGGCATGGTGGTTCACGCCTGTAATCCCAGCACTTTGGGAGGCTGATACAGGCGGATCACTTGAGGTTAGGGGTTCGACACCAGCCTGGCCAACATGGTGAAACCCTATCTCTATTAAAAAATACAAAAATTAGCCAGGCATGGTCGCGCACACCTGTAATCCCAGCTACTCGGGAGGCTGAGGCAGGAGAATCCCTTGAACCAGGGAGGCGGAGGTTGCAGTGCGCCGAGATAGGCATCACTGCACTCCAGCCTAGGAGACAGAGAGAGGCTCCGTCTGAAAAAAAAAAAAAAATTCAGTTTCTAATCAGCTGACTTTAAAACATAGTATCCTGGATTATTCAGTGTGCCCAACGTAATCACAAGGATCCTTAAAAGTGGAAGTGGGAGGCAGAAGAGTCAGGGTCAGAGAGAAACCACGTGGGAAAGAGTGGAAAACCGCAGCTGGCTTTAAAGATGGAAGGAGCACGAGCCAAGGAACACAAAAGGCCTCAAGAAGTTGGAAAGGCAGAGAAAACGGGTTCCCCCCCAGAGCCTCCAGCAGGAACCAGCTCTAACTACACCATGACCCCAGCCCATTAAGACCTGTGTCGGACTTCCCGCCTATACAACTGCATTGTTTTAAGCCACTGCATTTGTGGCAATTTGTCACAGCAGCCATAGGAAACTGACAGAGCAACCAATTTCAATGTTTAGAAAGAGGCACAAACAAAACACATCTGTGAGCTCAATCCACCTAAGGACCACTTTTCTAGTCCAGACTGGGCAGAGTCAAGGGCAAGGACTATTTCCTGGGTGCCCAGCACGGAGCCTAGCACACAGCAGCTCTCTGACATTCACCCCAAGTTAACGCAAGGTCCCTTACCTTTACCACATGGTCATAAAATTATCCAGGGATTTCTGGAAAATAGAGCTGCTTAACTGAAAGGAGTTCTATTCCCAAGAGACTGTTTAATCACATAGACATTACCCAGAGGCCTTGGGAAACTGGCCTGGAGTAGAGGAGGGAACATCCATCTCACTGCAAACAGAAAAAAGTGAGGGCTCTTCAGGTCCTCTGGAAGAAACCTCCAACCTCTCCCTCCCAGCCACCCTCAGGGTGCCAGCTTGCTCACTGCAGCTCCAGATAACTTCGGTTGTTCTTCAACAGCAGAGGAACACTTCTCAAGTGGGCTCTTTTTAGCTCCCCACTTTCACCAGCACAGAGATGCTCTGATTAGAGGTGGGGTGGAAGGCCCACAGTCCTGCCCACTCACCGCCAAAAGGCTACGTGAAAACCACAGCCCATGAGTCAAACCTCACCAAGCTCGCCTGTCCTGCCTGGAGAGTCTGGTCAGCAGGCAGCTGGGCCTCTGCCACATGTCCAGCTCTTCCTCCTCTGCGCCCTCCTTGCTCAGCTCAGGCCTCTGCATAATGCAGCTCCCTCGGCCAGGGATCCTCTCATCTCTGTCCCTGAGAACTCCCACTTTTCCTTCAAGACTCGACTCACATACTATTTCCTCGAAGCCTTCTCTGGTTCCCAGGTTCCATTCTAGTGTCTGACACCACTTTCTAAACTTCCCTCCCCCAGCTATCTCCCAAAGCTAATATTACTTGTTACTGAGGCAAGAGCCACCATCTGCAGACCAAAAACTATTTTGAAATGTAAGAGGAACTTAAATTTTATTCACTCAGGCGTTCCCAGCCAACAGCACATAATACATATGTGCTCAATAAGCATTAAGTAAAGAATAAATGAAGTGGACTATAAACTCATTTTTTGACTGAAATACCATATATTACAATGACACTGTGACATGCATTAACTGTACCATGTAAAATCCCACTTCTAGACTTTGACTAATAAACTGAATCTATCTAAATTAGTAACTCCACATTACAACTATCTTTAATAAAATTAAAGAAATGTAATTTAAAATTTTACATGTACCATCTGCTGCAGTCATTACAATTTAGGGTGTGGGGAGGAACTTGGCTAGCAAGCTTGAGAGAACAGATAAGAACCTGCTGTGCCTGCTCTGTGGCTAAAATGCAGGTTGAAAGGAGGCTTGCCAAATAGGTGGATCACAGTCTCTTCTGCCCATCCCTTGTTTAAACTTTCTACTAAGCTGTCCTTCTTTATTTACCAAGGTAGCTTAGAGGCGTATTTCAGCCAGGGTGATCATTTCTGCCAGTTCCTCTCCAGCCCTGATTCCACCAGCCAATCCACAGTCATTCTACAATAGCTCAGGAACCCAGTCCCCGCACCACATTACTTCAAAGGCTTCTTCTGGCTTCAATTTTCCCCTTCCAATCCCTGACACTCCCAGAGGCTCCTCCAAGCACACAGCTCAGCTTCTCAACCCACACAGACTATGAGAATTAACTGGGGGCACTTCTAAAAATTACTGGCTCCCCCTTGATTGGTCTGGGGTAGGGCCCCATCATGGGCATTTTTCTAGCTTTCCAGGCCACATGATTTGCAGGCTCCCAGGGAGTCAAATCCAAACTTCCCAGCCAGCACTGAGGCCCCCTTTACTCCCTAAACACAACTCAACTCTGGCTTCTCTTCATTCTCCATCTCTAGAACTGCTATCTAGCCAGTCTCAGGAAGCCAGTCTGGGCCAGGCCCCCACCCACAGAGATTACTCCGCAGGGCCCCCTTCTCAAACACTTGAGGTGGCACCCACTCAAGACCTACCCTGCTCCCTACTACCCAGAAAACCAAACCCCAAGGCTGCTGTCTCATCAGAGCCAGTGGCCATCTGGCCACCTGGGAGCTCACTGCTCCCAGCAGGCATCCACCCGTCACCAGCTGCAGGAGCCAGCACACACTCAAGCACCTACCCCATCCCATCTCAAGCTTTAACTCCTGCTGTTCCTGAGATCCGAAATACCTTCCCATCTGCCTTCCACTTAGGGATACTGTTTCTTGTTCTTCAAGGTCCAGCTCAAATCCTACCTTCTCCTGATAGCTTCCCTGACTTCTAAATTTTTTCTCCATTCTTGACCCCCTGACAAAGAATCAAAATCATGGCTCAACAAACTGCTAGCTTCTGTCTCACAAATAGTAACTTTGTCTTCTCAATTAGATTAAGTTCTTGGTGGCATTTCATTTATAACCATTATTTGCCTCTAGATCACGTGTTCCATATTTTTCAGGTTGACACTGGCCTCAGTCATGAAACTGTCCTTGAAATGCCCATACTTCTACATCTCCCAGCTGCTTCTCATAAAGTGACATACAAATTCTTTCTCCAATCAGATGTTTCCCAAATTTTGTCATCCATAGTATAGTCATTATATCCCAGGACAGCTCTGAGTATCAAAAAGGCACACAGGGGGCTGGGCGCAGTGGCTCACGCCTGTAATCCCAGTACTTTGGGAAGCTGAGGTGGGCAGATCACGAGGTCAGGAGATCAAGACCATCCTGGCTAACACGGTGAAACCCCCTCTCTACCATAAATACAAAAAGAAATCAGCCAGGCGTGGTGGCGGGCGCCTGTAGTCCCAGCTACTTGGGAGGCTGAGACAGGAGAATGGCGTGAACCCGGGGGCGGAGCCTGCAGTGAGCTGAGATCGCGCCACTGCACTCCAGCCTGGGTGACAGAGCGAGACTCCGCTTCAAAAAAAAAAAAAAAAAAAGGCACACAGGGAGGACTTGCTTTCAGGGGGGAAAAAAAAAACAAAACAAAACAACTGCGTCCCTTTATTGCTAGGATATTTTTTTGGGGGGGGCGGAAGGGGCCTTTTAATACAACTTTTTGCTCACATTGATTTATTCACCTCAGAGTCTTAAAGAGTTCACAAAACAAACTCAAGTCCAAGCCTCCAGGGCCTCCCACAAGTGCAGGGCAAGCACCAACACATAGCTGTTTACCATTCCTTGGTTGGGGAGCTGCAAAGAGTGCTCAAACCTTGGGAAAATGCTCACACCCCAGCCTCCCCAGGACATTTTAAGACCAGAGAGAAAATTACCCATTGGCTAGAACCCAGGTGTTAATTGCCTACTGGGGAAGGACATACTTCACATGGAATTATTATTATTCTTATTATTTTGAGACAGTCTCGCTCTGTCGCCAGGCTGGAGTGCAGTGGCATGATCTCAGCTCACTGCGACCTCTGTCTCCCAGTTCAAGCGATCCTCCTGCCTCAGCCTTCCAAGTAGCTGGGACTACAGGCATGCGCCACCACGCCCAGCTAATTTTTGTATTTTTAGTAGAGATGGGGTTTCACCATTTGGCCAGGATGGTCTTGATCTCTTGACCTCATGATTCACCTGCCTCGGCTTCCCAAAGTGCTGGGATTACAGGTATGAGCCACCACGCCCAGCCACATGTAACTTTTTAAGACTACCAAATTCCAGCTGGGTGCGATAGCTCACGCCTGTAATCCCAGCACTTGGGGAGCCCGAGGTAGGAGGATCACAAGGTCAAGAGATGAAGAAGGGCCGGGCATGGTGGCTCACGCCTGTAATCCCAGCACTTTGAGAGGCCGAGGCGGGCAGATCACCTGAGGTCAGGAGTTCGAGACCAGCCTGGCCAACATGGTAAAACCTGGTCTCTACTAAAAATACAAAAAAATTACCCAGGCGTGGTGGTACGTGCCTGTAGTCCCAGCTACTCAGGAGGCTGAGACAGGAGAATCACTTGAGCCCAGGAGATGGAGGTTGCAGTGAGCCGAGATCGCGCCATTGCACTCCAGCTTAGGCGACAAGAGCAAAACTCCATCTTTAAAAAAAAAAAAAAAAGAGATCAAGACCATCCTGGCTAACATGGCAAAACCCCATCTCTACTAAAAATATAAAAATTAGCTGGGTGTGGTGGCACATGCCTATAGTCCCAGCTACTCGGGAGGCTGAGGCAGGAGGATTGCTTGAACCTGGGAGGCAGAGGCTGCAGTGAGCTGAGATCCCGCCGCTGCAGTGAGCTGAGATCCCGCCACTGCACTCCAGCCTGGCAACAGAGACTCCAACTCAAAAAAAAAAAAAAAAGACTACCAAATTCCATATTTGACCCCCTTTTAACAAAGTAGCATTAGTAGAGGGTTTTCAGTCCTTAGTACCCACACCAGTGTGCAGAGCTGCAGGATCACAAAGTAAAAAGAAATGTCCCCTTCGCTCAAGGAAAAATTTGGCCAATTATTTTAACACAGCTCTGCAAACACAAAAACCCTTACTAGCCCACACAGACTTCCTTGGGGTCAAGCCATCTAGGGTAGCCCTAGGTCCCTGCTGTACACATCCAGGCAGCTTAGGGCCACCTGACAGAGAGGTAAGCTGTTATCATAGAAACAACTTCATAAAGCTCCAAAATCAGACAGGTGTGGGACTGAATTCAGGTCCAGCCAGCCACTGGCCAGGTGCCCATGACCAAGCTTGCCTCTTCCGAGCCTCAGCTTGCTCAGCCTACCTCTTGGGGTTGTTGTGAGGGTACAGTGAGGTAATGGGCGCACCTGGCACAGCTGCAAATGAGGTCGTGGAAATAAAGCAGTTCTGAGTTTGACACAGGTGGCAGCAAATACCAGCTGGGGCATACCAGCAGGAGTTCATACTAACTGTATGGCCTGGGGCAGGTTACTGAACCCCTCTTAGTTTTTTAAAATGCAAAATGAGAAATGGTGATAGGGCTTGCAGGACCACCATGAAAATTAAACACAGTGCATAAAATTAGTAATATAAGGCCTCGCACACAGGAAATATTCAAAAACCATCGGGGCTCACACACACCTCCCTGCACATTCGGTTTTGATGGACAAGTTGATAATTACCACTGAAGAAAAAAAATTCGAACTGTAAACATGAAAGAATATTAAATCTGAATTGCTGCAGGGAGGAGAAGCAACTTCCATTAACACCAGTGGTCCATGCCAAGTGGCCCCGTGGGAATCCAGGACCCAACAACATTACTCCCTCAACCTTTTCAAGTTACAATTCTTTCTTTTTTTTTTTTTTTTGAGAAGAGTCACACTCCCTCACACAGTCTGGAGTGTAGTGGCACAATCTCGGCTCACTGCAACCTCCGCCTCCCAGGTTCAAGCAATTCTCGTGCCTCAGCCTCTCGAGTAGTTGGGACTACAGGCCCACGCCACCACACCTGGCTCATTTTTGTATTTTTAGTAGAAATGGGGTTTCGCCATGTTGGCCATGCTGGTCTCCAACTCCTGGCCTCAAGTGATCCACCAGCCTCAGCCTCCCAGTGCTGGGATTACAAGCATGAGCCACTGCACCCAGCCCCCAAGTTACAATTCTAAAAGGCCTAGACAGTAAACTTCTTACATGATGTGTGAGAATGATGAACCTGCTTTTTCAACAGCATCCAAGATTTACAGCCTTTTTGAAGGACAATGACATCTTCTCTCCCCATTTCCTTTCCAAATGTCACGCCATCCATCATCTTCAGACCAATATTCAGAAACATTTCAGTGTCATTTTTGAGTTCCTACTGCACAGCCAGCAGGTGCTAGACATCTTACACACCTTCCCATAAAGTCCTCTGGGCCAAGGTTCCCAAATTTGGTCCCTAGACTGGCAGCATCAGCAGCACTTGGAAGCTGGCTAAAAATACACATTCTCTGCCAGGCACAGTGGCTCATACCTGTAATCCCAGCACTTTGGGAGGCCAAGACAAGCGGATCACTTGAGGTCAGGAGTTTGAGACCAGTCTGGCCAACGTGGTAAAACCCCATCTCTACTAAAAATACAAAAAATTAGCCGGGCATGGCCGGGCGCAGTGGCTCATGCCTGTAATCCCAGCAGTTTGGGAGGCCGAGGCAGGCGGATCACAAGGTCAGGAGATCGAGACCATCCTGGCTAACACGGTGAAACCCCATCTCTATTAAAAATACAAAAAAATTAGCCGGGTGTGGTGGCGGGTGCCTGTAGTCCCAGCTACTCGGGAGGCTGAGGCAGGAGAATGGCGTGAACCCGGGAGGCGGAGCTTGCAGTGAGCTGAGATCGCGCCGCTGCACTCCAGGCTGGGAGACAGCGAGACTCCGTCTCAAAAAAAAAAAAAAAAAAAAAAAAAAAATTAGCCAGGCATGGTAGCACACACCTGTAATCCCAGCTACTCAGGAAGCTGAGGCAGAAAAATCGCTTTAACCTGGGAGGTGGAGTGCAGCGAACCAAGATCGCGCCACCGCACTCCAGCCTGGGCAACAGAACAAGACTCTGTCTCAAAAAAAAAAAAAAAAAGACACATTCTCAGGCCTCCCCTCCCTAATGAGAAACAATGGGGTGCAGCCCCAGCCACGTGTTCAGCAAGCCCTCTGGGTGCTTCTGCTGCACACAGGAGTTTGAGAAACAAGGCTAGTCTATTTCATGAAGTAGTGATTACGAGCCCCCCTTTAGAGATGAGGACACCAAAGCTCAGTGATTAAAGTGCCCAAAGCCACCCAGCCAGGAGGCCCATTAGTACCCACACCTCATTCCAAAGCTATCTGCCACATGGCCTTTGAAGCCAAATTAACTGTACCACTTGGTGTTCTCAGCTATCGAGCTGCTGCAACGTGCAACTACCTAAGAGGGGTGGGACCAAGAGGAAAAATGAAGCCTGCACTCAGAAGTGATTAATTATAAATGCTTTTAAATCCACATCATGCATTAGCCCTAAACAATCAGCCGTCCCCCAGGATGAGCCTACTTTTCCCTGTTCTATATATCAGCAGGGTTACCATGAAGAGAAGATGGGGAGTCCCTTTATTTACAGCCCTTTGCATGTCCAATTCCTTGTATTGCTTTGAACAGAAAGAGAATTAAGTTACCTGTCCTGTCTCTAGAGGGCTTGAAAGTGAAGCACACTCTGCCTAGACCAGGACCAACAGGAAACAGAATCAGGAAAAGGACTTTCTATGCCCAGGAACGAAGCAGGCTCCAGCACCTAGGTACTAGGGGAATGAGTCACAGAAAGAATCCAATGCATGGATAGGGAGCATTTTAACAATGTTGCGGATCTGGTTCAAAAGAAGACAGGTTTTTTGTTTTTGTTTTTTGAGACAAGAGTCTTGCTCTGTCACCCAGGCTGGAGACTCACTGCAACCTCCCCTTCCCAGGTTCAAGTGATTTTCCTGCCTCAGCCTCCTGAGTAGCTGGGACTACAGGTGTATGCCACTATGCCCGGCTAATTTTTGTATTTTTTTGGTCAAGACAGGGTTTTGCCATACTGGCCAGACTCGTCTCAAAAACTCTAGGCCTCAAGTGATCCGCCCACCTCAGCCTCCCAAAATGCTGGGATTACAGGCATGAGCCACCGTGGCTGGCCTAGGCTTTTTTTTTTTTTTTTTCAGATCAAACACCAAATCTAGTGTCTCTCAGCTAAAATGATCCATTAATTATTGACATTCAAACCACAGTGTTTTCAAAGGTTCTAAGGTTAGGAAAGAGCCAGAAATCTCGTTATTCACAATTCCCAACCTTCTAAATAAACTTGGTGGTGACTTTCAGACAACAAATTTATTCTATTATTTAAATGAATACCTATTATTTTGTGGGGCCTTCTACAGGGGCCAGTGGAGCAGAAGGGACCCAGGCCTGGGAATTACACAGATTCACTTTGAATCCTGGCTGTGCCAGTTCCTCACAGCTTACTTAACCTCTCTGGGCCTCAGTTTTTCTACTCACAAATGGGTGATAATCCCTATGTTAAATGTTGATGGAAATTACAGTGGTTTAAAAAAAGGCTGCTGAAACGGCTTTCAACATATACTTATTTCACTGTATTTGTTTTTCTAAGTTTCTATTTTTAGTTAACTTGAATGAACTAGTTAAGCAATAAAATTCCATTGACGAACTTATCAGAAAGTTTGTCAATTTTTTTTTTTTTTTTTTTTTTGAGACAGAGTCTTGCTCTGTCGCCAAGCTGGAGCACAGTGGTGCGATCTCGGCTCACTGCAACCTCTGCCTCCCAGGTTCAAGTGATTCTCCTGCCTCAGCCTCCCGAGTAGCTGGGACTACAGGTGTGCACCACCACGCCCAGCTAATTTTTGTATTTTTAGTAGAGATGGGGTTTCACCATGTTGGCCAGAATGGTCTCGATCCCTTGACCTCAGGGTGATCCGGCCGCTTTGGCCTCCCAAAGTGCTGGAATTACAGGCGTGAGCCACCATGCCCGGCAAGTTTGTCAATTTTCAAAAACTCAACAGATGGACATAAACATTCATTTCACAATGCATCTGACAAAAAACAAATGTGCTCTTCCCATCCTCAACCACCTTAATCATATCACCCCACCTCCCTCAGTCCACTGTTAACTTGCAGTGTGTCTCTTCATCCCCATGAGACTTGGTCCTCGAAGTAGGTAACAGGTATAATAACATTTTGGAGTCCAACAGATCTGTTCAAATCACTTACTGGCTGCGCGACCTCGAGCATGTAACTTAAGCTCCCTAGGCCTCAGTTTCCTCACCTGCAGATGAGGTGGATAAACCTATGCAACTGACACACAATTGCTGAACCAACAGTAGTGATTTCAGCAACAGTGCGACAGAACAGTAGGGAGCCATAAAAATGTGCTCCCCTGCCTCGAGGAATACTGGTGACAAACCTTTACTGAGCATCTACCATCTATCAGAGACCGAGCCTGGTACTGGAGAAGTAAAGACAAGCTGACCACTGGCCTCAAAGACGTCACAGTGTCACAAGAGCCCCAGATACACGGACAATGTCGTAAGTGCACCAGCAGACTGTGTGGGTTGGTGAAGGTAGGATAGCAGAGAAAAAGGGGCCAAACATCGGACGAGCTAGACGGCAAAGTATTGACAGAAGAGGTCTGTTTACACCGAATACATGAGTTAAAAGTCCAGCAGACAAAAAAGGGATACAAACTACGTAATTCCTCACATCTTTTCCAGCCTCAACTTCCCCGAATCCAAGGCCGGCCATGGTGGCTCACACCTGTAATCCCAGCACTTTGGGAGGCCAAGATAGGTGGATCACTTGAAGTCAGGAGTTCGAGATCAGCCTGGCCAGCATGGCAAAACCCTATCTCTACTAAAAATACAAAAATTAGCCGGGCATGGTGGCACACGCCTGTAGTCCCAGCTACTCGGGAGGTTAGGCAGGAGAATCACTTGAACCCAGGAGGCAGAGGTTTGCAGTGAGCCAAGATTGCGCCACTGCACTCCAGCCTGGGTGACAGCGTGAGACGCCATCTCAAAAAAAAAAAAATTCCCCAAATCCAAGCCCTTTGACTTCTCCAAGGCTCAGGGTCACCAGGTATACATGTCATAAAATGACAACAATCGTGGTCCTTCACACCCCTATACACCAGAGAGAAAGGTTATGGGGAACAGTGAGAACCGCCAGAAAACTTAGAAAATTTTAATGTACTTTCCAAAAGTATGACAAGGACAATTCCATGCATAAAAATCTCATAGTACTTCAGTTCACAACCGAAAGTTGCCGCTCCTCCTAATTAAAGTTAAAAAAAAAAAAAGTCCGAAAACTTTTCAACTTTTGCAGGACTCTTATCAGAATCCCAATTCTTGGGAAATCCTCCGCTCATTATGGAAGAGGGTTAGTGATAACAGAGAATTTCTACAAAGGTTGGGTCATTTTTCAAGGCTGCATACACGATGCTAGATATTATCACTTGAAAGTTTTACATTTCTTCACACCTCGAGTGCTTGGCCCAACACACACTGCTGGAAGTTTTCCACAGAGCTCTCCATCTGGCCAGCTCAGGCTTCAGAGAGGCAAAAAGCCTCTGTAAACCAGGGAAACTTGGTACATCCCACAAGACAATCCGAACTGGCTCCTGGTCCGGGGACTTGTGGGACGCAGTCCTGAATCATGCCTTACAGTAACTTACACTTTACCAAAATCTTTAATAACCAGTATCTCATTCCCTGCTTACAAAAGAATAGCCCAGTGAGACTGGTAAAGATGACTAGCCCAATTTTAAAACCAGGGAAATAAATAAGCTTTTAAAATGTAAAAGTAAAAATACAGATAAATAAAAGATTTAGGCCGGGAGTGTTGGCTCACGCCTGTAATCCCAGCACTTTGGGAGGCCGAGGTGGGCGGATCACATGAGGTCAGGAGTTCGAGACCAGCCTGGCCAACGTGGCGAAATCCCGTCTCTACTAAAAATACAAAGATTAGCCGGGCGTGGTGGATGGCGTGCGCCTGTAATCCCAGCTACTCCGGAGGCTGAGGCAGGAGAATCGCTTGAACCCAGGAGGCGGAGGTTTCGGTGAGCCGAGATCGTGCCACTGCACTCTAGCCTGGGTGACAGAGACTCCGTCTCAAAAAAATAAATAAATAAAAAATTTAAAAGTTTAGGTGCGCTTCCCCAACACAATCACTTGTCCCAAAAACAAGCACCGAACAAGTACCATTCAGAAGCAAATTGTAGTCCCTTTTGATGTTCATTTAAATACAGATGAAAACTTAATTATCAATGCTAACTCAATCACTGCTGTGCCAGATTCAGCATAAGATTTTGTCAGCACCTAAAATTCTGTATCTAGAGCTACAAGAGGCACGTTTTCTGCCAAATCTTCGTTATATTACATAATGAGAGGAAGCTTGGATTCTTAAAATTCACCTTTTCCCATCATTTTAACACCCTGTTCCAATCCCTTCTTTCACAGGATATTTTCTGGAGGTGAAAAGGAATAACTCATTACTTCTCATATTTTCCTGCCCACTTTCTTGCATAAATATTAAAAATAAAGGGGAAGGTAGGGTCCTGAACATCTCCCTAAAAGATAAAAAAGTTATTAAATGTGGTAAACAGAGCCTGGAGACCTAGCTTCTAGTTCTGCACTGACACAGTATCACTGCGTGACCTTGGGCAAATTACTGCAGTTCTGGGCCTCAGTTTCCCTCATCTGAACCCTAATGATGGTTAAGCCCTCTCCGCTCTTAAAGCACAGATTTTAGATACGTCCCCAGGGAAGCACAACTGTGAAGGAGTCGCCCAGACGGACTCCTTGGGCGGAGAAACGGCCTTCCACAAGCTCCGGCGGGGGGATTCACAGGGAGCTCAAGCTGCCCCAGGGAAAGCCACTGGGCAAACTTCAGGTCGCAAACAAAAACCTGTTGGCACCGACTCCTCTAGCAAAGGCCAGCCTCCCAACGCGCTCGGCTCTCGGCTCTAGGGGAGCCGCCCCACAGGGAGAGAGAGGAAGTCTCTCCTGGAAGAGGCCAGACCCCACGCACCCATTCACCCACCCGGATCAGCCGAGCAGGACCGCCGGGCCGGGTGGGTCTCTGCCATCCCACGCGGAACAAAAGGCAGCTGGAGCCTGGCTCTTCCGCCCCCGTCCCCGCTGTTCCGTGGGAGTGGGGGCTGGGGAGTGGGGAGCCTGGTCCCCAAGGACGGAAGGGGGCCCTGCTACAGCCCCCAGGAAAGGTGAGACGGGCGGGATCCCGGACAGAGATAAGGACCCCTCCCCCGATTCCCGGAGGGCGCCCGGACCGGGCTCTGCACGGGGGCTGGCGGGAGACCAGGCTGGGCTCAGGAGGAAGGGGCGCCGGGCTCGGGGAGAGGAGGAACGTGCTCTGGGGAGGGGGCGGGGTTGTTCCAAGATGAACGGGGCTCCAGGATCCGAGGTAGGAGTAAGGGGCGCCCTGGACTCTGGGGACATAAAAGGAGATGCTCGGTGATAGGGACGGGTAAGGGGGGAGATCCTTGCAGCGGAAAGCTGGATCCAGATGGGAAGGGGGCCATGCTCCAGTCCGTGGGGCGGGGCCTGGTTGGAAAGAAGGGGATCCCCCAGAGCCTGGCGTAGGGACCAGCGGGGCGGCAGGGGCGCATGCCCTGGCGGGGCTGGTGAGGTAGGGGAGCCTGTGCTCTGGGGGCGTCCGCGCCCTGGAGAGGGGGAGGGTCCTCGCCCCGGGGACTCGCTCTGGCCTTGGAGCCCCACGGGCTGTGGCTCACCTCTGCTCCTCCGGGCCGGCGTGGGTGCGCCGCTGCGGCCACCGGCAGCGCTCGAGAGGCGGGAGCGACCGTAGCCCGCGGAGCCGCCGCCACCGCCGCGTCTGGCTCAGTTTGACACCCACACACCAGCCAACATGGCGGCCGGGAGGGGGCGCGCCGGACGCGTGCGCGCGCCCTCAGGCCCCGCCCCCGAGGCCCCGAGGTCCCGCCCCCACGCCCGCAGACCACGCCCCTGCGACCCCGCCAGAGCCCCTCCCTAGTGGCCCCTGCGCGGCTTCCCCTCCGCCTCCTGCGCTCCAGGACCCCACGCGGACGACCCACCCTTCCGCAGCGCCCCACAGTCGACGCCCGAGCCCCCAAAAAACCCCCAATCCCGAGCGCCACACAAACCCTGGCAAATTAATACCCGAACGCGCGCACTCTAATCCCCTTCAGGCCACTCCACCCCGTACACACTCACGGCCCCCCCACACTCACGGCCGGGCAGCACGCGCAGACCCCGCCCCGTCAAGCAGAAACTCACGCTCCGGCCTGCCGGTTTCACTCAAAAACCTTGTTCAGTAGGAGAGACTGGAAGGGGGCCAGGGCCTGCCGGGCGCTGGTAGGGTTGGGTTCTTAGGCTACAAGTGTGTTCACTTTATGAAGATGCGCGGAAGTACACTTTGGATTTGTGCGCTTTTCCGTGCGTGTATTTCACGTCAATAAAATATACTCAAAAACGGAGAAGTCTCTAGGCTTCTTTAGGCTGCTCAAGGGGTTACCTAAGGGCACGAATGGCAAGGGGTTACCTACATGGCACGAAAACGGAAACCCTTGACTGGCGGGCACCCACAAA
This sequence comes from Homo sapiens, assembly GCF_000001405.40. Classification (NCBI taxonomy): domain Eukaryota; kingdom Metazoa; phylum Chordata; class Mammalia; order Primates; family Hominidae; genus Homo; species Homo sapiens. The sequence goes on along the minus strand of NC_000017.11, from coordinate 19,236,696 downwards.
GCACCTCCTCTGTGCCAAGCCCTGTGCTGGGCACAGAAATGAGACAGCCCCAAATGCCTCGAATGAGAGTCCCGGAACTGGAGGGGCCAGAACTGGAGGCTGCACCTCAAAGCTGACTAACCTGCTCCAATCAGGGTGGGAGTCAGCAGAGACTTCTCACAGCAGGGGCGCGGAGCATGAGTCAGGGCTTGCTAGGTGGGCAGAGGGCACCATCCCTGTTGCCTGGGTGACATCAACACTCTGCCTAGCCTTGGCTTCAGGGAAGCTGTGGCCAGAAGTCTTCCTCTGCCCTAACTCACTGAGGGACCTTAAACAAGTCACTGTACTTCTCTGAGCCTCAGATTCCTCCTCCCTGTACAGGAACCAGGGGATGAAAGTATCCCTTAAGGTTCTAACAACCCAGGATCTGGAATTCCATTCTCTGGCAAAAAAAAAAAAGGTTGTATCTTTCCAGGAATTCATCTATTTATTGTAAGTTTTTTAGTGTGTGTGCATAGACGTGTTCATAATAGTTTTTGAGGGCTTTTTTGTGTTTGTATGGGGTCGGTGGTAATGTCCTCTTTGCCCTTTCTGATTATGTTTACTTGTATCTTCTCTTTTTTCTTTATTAGTCTAGCTAGTGATACAATAAATACGATAAAAATGGAGAGAGCTTGTAACACGTTTGCAAAACCACATAGCCACTTTTCCTTTGAAAAGTCAAACACTGGTAGCTCTAGATGCTAGAAACACTCTCCAGTTAACCACCCTTCCCACTGCTTGGTGCCCCTTCTCCACCAGCAGAGGGAATTATGCCCTATGTGCCTGCCTTGCAGCAGAAGCCGGAGCTCCCCGTTTTGAACTTGGTCCACCCTCATCCCAGAGAATGCCCTCAACCAGTCCAACATTCCTTGTGAGCCTCACCTCTTTACCCCATCTCCAAGGAAAGCAGAACTTTACACTGCAATCATGCTTCTGCCCTGAGTTTACAATGTCAGATGAGTTATAACACAGAGCTGATGCACAGCACGGGCGTGATGCTTCTAAATCAGCACTGTTCAGCAGAATTTCCCTCCACGATGGAAATGTTCTTTCTGCGTGCTGTCCGTAGGATAGCTACGAGTCACAGGAGGCCAGCGAGCACTTGAAATGTGGCTAGTGAGACTGAGGGGCTGAATTTTTTAAACTTCATTAAACTTTTATTAATTTAAATGTAAATAGCCATATGTGGCTAGATGCTACCATGCTGACCAGTGCTGGTCTAAAACCTTACCACAATTCCACAAGTGCACATTCTTTTTTTATTTATTTGTTTTGAGACGGAGTCTCACTCTATTGCCCAGGCTGAAATGCAATGGCACAATCTCAGCTCACTGCAACCTCCATCTCCCAGGTTCAAGTGATTCTCCTGCCTCAGCCTCCCACGTGGCTGGGATTACAGGCCCGCACCCCCACACCTGGCTAATTTTTGTATTTTTAGTAGAGACAGGGTTTCACCATGTTGGCCAGGCTGGTCTCGAACTCCTGACCTCGTGATCCTCCCGCCTCAGCCTCCCAAAGTGTTGGGATTACAGGTGTGAGCCACCGTGCCCAGCAAGGTGCACATTCTTGCTGTTCACATTTTACAGACAAGAAATTGAGGTTTGGAGATATGCTGGGGCTTGGCCACCCAGGCCCACTTTTCCATATGCAGAGCCTAATACTCCCTTCACTACCCACCTAGCAAGTGTGTGTAGCCGCACAGATAATATGCAAGCCTGGAAAGAGAACTGGATACAGATAATGAGATGATGAGCTAACCTACAGGACAGGAAGTGAGTTGGAGAATACCAGATTAGCCCAGGCTTGGGAAGTGGAGGAGGGTGTCCTGAGGCCGGAAGACCGCCACGTGCAAGGTCAGAGGGGACATTCTTGCATTCCTCAAAGTCATTTCTCTTTCCTGGACCCCCTCCTTGAAGCGTATCAGCCCCCTGGCATTCCTCTCTCAATTCATCCTCATGATGATCCCTTGACGTCAGCAGCCCTATTCCTATTTTAGATGCGGAAACTGAGGCAGCATGTGGCAGGGCTAGGATTCAATTCCAGGTTCTATGAGTCTAGAGCACATAAGCAGTCTTGCAGAGGAACTTGCAGGATAAGCTGAACAATTTCATCCGTGCCCAAAGCAGTCCATGGAAAACAGGGCTGGAGGAGACACTCTCATCTGCCCTTGCAGAGGTTTGGAGGTTGGTTCCAGGTGGATAATGGAGCAGACTGATGGGGGCCGGTTGGAGAGGTGTATTTCAGAAGAAAGAGCTGGCAGTGCAGGCCAGGGGTGTCTCTGGGGTTAGGGAAGGAGGGTTTCAAGCAGGAAGGGACTTTGGGGGAAAGACTGGCAGGCAGCAGACAGGGACAGACTGCATGCTGAATGAAAAGAATCACTTAGCACAGGTGCAGAACAGGCTCCCCGGGATCTTCACCAAAGGCTTGAACTCTATATTCAAAACTATTTGTCCCACAAAAAGAAACTTGTGTTGGCAATCCAGAAACACCTAATTTCTTGTCCACCGACTTGCTGCTTGACCATGACGTCACTGCCCCTCCCTGGACCTCAGTTTCCCCATCTGTGAAGTGGGAATAATAACCCCTCCCACTCCCTAGGATTGCATTCTGGCTCAGGTGAAAAGGCAGAGGAGGAAATGCTTTGGAAACTGTAAATGCACTGGATGGGTGTTGATGGCAGTTCTCTTATTAAGGACATTGAAAAGAATGGAGCCATCCTTTCCCTTCTAGGGGTTGAAAGTCTAGGACAGAGAAGTTTTGAGTTTGGGCAGCATGAACATGAGCAGAAACCAAATGCCACATAGACAATCAAGAGAAAGAGCTATGACAGCTCTCACAGGAGGAAGTTTCCTTCTAGCCCATGGGGAAGGAAGGACCTGTGCCAACATCCTGGAAGTGCAGGTGCTGGAGAAAGGAACTAGTAACAATGACAACAAAGTAGTGAGCATTGTGCAAATGTTTTGCATGCAGTACCTCATTTCCTCTTCATAAAAAACCCTAAGAGGTAGAGACTACCGTTATCCTTATTTTACAGCTGAGGTTCAGAAAGCTTCCATTATTTGCCCAAGATAACACAGCTAAAAAGTGGTAACCCTGGAAAACCCAAGCCTAAACTCCAAAGCTAAACTTTTTTTCTTTGTTTTTTGAGACGAAGTTTCGTTCTTGTTGCCCAGGCTGGAGTGCAGTGGCGCGGAGTTCACCGCAACCTCCGCCTCCCAGGTTCAAGCAATTTTCCTACCTTAGCCTCCCAAGTAGCTGGAATTACAGACATGTGCCACCACACCTGGCTAATTTTTGTATTTCTAAATTTATTTATTTATTTATTTATTTAAGATGGAGTCTCACTCTGTTGCCCAGGCTAGAGTCCAGTGGCGCAATCTCGGCTCATTGCACCCTCCGCCTCCCTGGTTCAAGCGATTCTCCTGAGTAGCTGGGATTACAGGCATGTGCCACCATGCCCAGCTAATTTTGGTATTTTTTTAGTAGACACGCCGTTTCACCATGTTGGTCAGCCTGGTCTCGAACTCCTGACCTCAAATGATCCGCCTGCCTTGGCCTCCCAAAGTGATGGGATTACAGGCATGTGCCACCATGCCCAGCTAATTTTGGTATTTTTTTAGTAGACACGTGGTTTCACCATGTTGGTCAGCCTGGTCTCCAACTCCTGACCTCAGATGATCCGCCTGCCTTGGCCTCCCAAAGTGATGGGATTACAGGCATGAGCCACTGCACCCGGCCCTTCTATTTTTTTAGAGACGGGGTTTCACCATGTTGGCCAGGCTGGTCCTGAACACCTGAACTCAGGTGATCTGTCCACCTTGGCCTCCCAAAGTGCTGGGATTACAGGAGTGAGCCACCATGCCCAGCCTTTTGTGTGTGTGTGTGTGTGTGTATGTGTGTGAGAGAGAGACCGGGTCTTGTTCTGTCACCCAGGCTAGAGTGCAGTGGCACAATCATGGTTCACTGCATCCTCAATCTCCTAGGCTCAAACAATCCTCCTACCTCAGCCTCCCAAGTAGCTGGGACTACACCACACCTGGCTATTTTTTCCAATTTTTTTGTAGAGACAGGATCACATAATGTTGCCCAGGCTGGTCTCAAACTCCTGGAGTTGATCCCCCTGCCTCAGCCACCCACTCAAAGTGCTGAGATTACAGGGATGAGCCACCATGCCTAAAACTAAACTCTTGGGAAGAATCTGAATAGGCTGAAGGGAGCGACTCCTTCTCCCTTCCAGCTCTGAGCCTGAGTCAATCAGAGCTTTCTCTCCCTGGTCAGTGATTAGTTCAGGAATGGGCACCTGACTCATAGCAGAGCAATGACTCTCAAGCCAAGCCTGGGACTTCTACAGAAATCATTGAAAAAAGAAGCTTCTAGGGGCCGGGGTGCAGTGGTTCATGCCTGTAATCCCAGCACTTTGGGAGGCTGAGGCGGGCAGATCACCTGAGGTTAGGAGTTTGAGACCAGCCTGGCCAATATGGTGAAACCCCGTCTTTACTAAAAATACAAAATTAGCTGGGTGTGGTGGCGTGCACCTGTAATCCCAGCTATTCAGGAGGCTTAGACAGGAGAATCGCTTGAACCTGGGAGGCGGAGGCTGCAGTGAGCCGAGATCATGCCACTGCACTCCAGCCTGAGGAACAGGAGCAAAACTTCATCTCAAAAAAAAAAAGTTAGCCAGGCGTGGTGGTACATGTAATCCCAGCTACTTGGTTGGGAGGCTGAAGCAGGAGAATCGCTCAAACCCAGGAGGCAGAGGTTGCAGTGAGCCAAGATTGTGCCATTGCACTCCAGCCTGGGCAACAAGAGTGAAACTCCGTCTCAAAAAAAAGAAAAAAAGAAGCTTCTCTTCCTATCAGGTTACTGAGCTAGTGGGATATAAGCCTGGAGTAGCTCCATAATGGAGAACCAGCCTAAGAATGAAGCCAACACAGATGGGAACAGAGATGAGAGAAAAGATAGAGTCCTGCTGATATTAAGCACCTTGAACCAGCCAGCCAGCCATGCCTGAAGCTTTAAGCATAGACTTTTCAGCACACAAGCCAATACATTTTTTGGAACTATTGTGATAGAAAACCCAACTCAGGCCAGGCACAGTGGCTCACGCCTGTAATCCCAGCACTTTGAGAGACCAAGGCGGGTGAATCAGGAGGTCAGGAGATCAAGACCATCCTGACCAAAATGGTGAAACCCTGTCTCTACTAAAAATATGAAAAATTAATTGGGCATGTTGGTACGTGCCTATAATCCCAGCTACTCAGGATGCTGAGGCAGGAGAATTGCTTGAACCAGGGAGTCAGAGGTTGTAGTGAGCCCAGATTGCACCACTGCACTCCAGCCTGGCAACAGAGTGAGACTCCTTCTCAAAAAAAAAAAAAAAAAAAAACAGAAAAAGAAAACCCAACCCAGGCCAGCTGAGGTGGCTCACACCTATAATCCTAGCAGTTTTGGTGCTCCACACGGGAGGATCACTTGAGTTTAGGAGTAGGAGGCCAGCCTGGGCAACATAGTGGGACGTTGTCTCTTAAAAAAAAAATTTTTTTTTTACTTAGTTGGACGTGGTGGTGCTCACCTGTAGTCCCAGCTACTTGGGAGGCTGAGGCGGGAGGATCCCTTAAGCCTAGCAGGTTGAGGTTGCAATGAGCCATGATTGTGCCACTGTATTCCAGCCTGGACAACAGAGCAAGACCCTACCCAAAAAAAAAAAAAAAAAAGAAAGAAAGAAAGAAAGGAAGAGAAAAACCCCACTGAAACTGGCTTAAATGATAATTGGAATCAATTGGCTCATTTAACCAAAATTTCCAGAGCTAGGGTTCAAGTGCAGTGCGATCAAGGCTCTGGCTCCATTCTTTAGCATATGCCTCTTGGACATGTGGCCATTTTCCTTGGCTGGTGTCTTGACTAGCTGCAGATTGGCTGTGGCACATCCATGCCTCAGATCTCTGGCCATGCCATGGAAAACAGAGAGCAGTCTGGGTGCAGTGGTTCACACCTGTAATCCCAGCACTTTGGGAAGCCGAGATGGGCAGATCACAAGGTCAGGAGTTCGAGACCAGCCTGGCCAATATGGTGAAACCCCATCTCTACTAAAAATACAAAAATTAGCTGGGCATAGTGATGCGCGCCTGTAGTCTCAACTACTTGGCAGACTGAGGCAGAAGAATCGCTTGAACCCGGGAGGCGAAGGTTGCAGTGAGCCGAGATCATGCCACTGCACTCCAGCCTGGATGACAGAGCGAGACAGAAAGAAAAGAGAAAGAGAGAGAAAGAAAGAGAGAGAGAGAGAAAGAGAAAGAGAGAAAAAGAAAGAGAGAAAGAGAGAGAAAGAGAGAAAGGAAGACAGGAAAGGAGGAAGGAAGGAAGGAAGAGAGAGCATCTCTTTCTCTCAATTCAGCAAACTAAAATCCTAGGCTTGCTCTGAATGGAAGAACTTGGATCATGGGAGGGTGAAATGGGGAATTATGATAATTGGCGTAGTCAAATCAGGGCTCATTCCCGGAGTTGCGACAAGAACAAATGCTGACCAGGAGTGCCCACCACACTAATGAATTCCCTCTTCTCCTTCTTCAGCCAGACCACTAGCATTTTCTTTCTTTTTTTTTTTTTTTTTTTTTGAGACGGAGTCTTGCTCTGTAGACCAGGCTGAAGTGCAGTGGCGTGATCTCAGCTCACTGCAAGCTCCGTCTCCCGGGTTCACGCCATACTCCTGCCTTAGCCTCCCGAGTAGCTGGGACTACAGGTGCCCGCCACCACACCCGGCTCATTTTTTATATTTTTAGTAGAGACGGGGTTTCACCGTGTTAGCCAGGATGGTCTCGATCTCCTGACCTCGTGATCCGCCCGGCTCGGCTTCCCAAAGTGCTGGGATTACAGGCGTGAGCCACCGCGCCCAGCCCACTTGCATTTTCATTAGTCAGTATCCAGATTCCTGATAGTAACCCCATTTTCTGTTTTTTGTGGGTTTTTTTGTTTGTTTTGTTTTGTTTTTTGAGACCGAGTTTCGCTCTTGTTGCCCAGGCTGGAATGCAGTGGCTCGATCTTGGCTCACTGCAACCTCGGCCTCCGGAGTTCAAGCGATTCTCCTGCTTCAGCCTCCTAAGTGGCTGGGATTACGGGCACGCGTTACCGCCCCCGGCTAATTTTGTATTTTTAGTAGAGACGGGGTTTCACCATGTTGGTCAGGCTGGTCTCAAACTCCTGACCTCAGGTTATTCTCCTGCCTCGGCCTCCCAGAGTGCTGGGATTAAGTAACCCCATTTTGAAATGGTTTCCATTTAGCTTTTTTGATAGTTCCAAACTTTCATACTTTCAGTCTTCATTAAATCAATTAATAAACTGATCATTCTGCTTGGGATTTACATAATATCTTTCTTCCAGAGCTTTAATTATATTTCATAAGCAAATTTCAATGACCTTCATCATTTTTCCTCCCTAGAGCATAATGTGTAACTATAAAAATAGCATCCGTGGCTGGGCGCGGTGGCTCACGCCTATAATCCCAGCACTTTGGGAGGCCGAGGAGGGTGGATCACAAGGTCAGGAGTTTGAGACCATCCTGGCCAAGATGGTGAAACCCCGTCTCTACTAAAAATACCAAAAAATTAGCCGGGCGTGGTGGCGGGCACCTGTAATCCCAGCTACTCAGGAGGCTGAGGCAGAGAATTGCTTGAACCTGGGAGGCAGAGGTTGCAGTGAGCTGAGATCGTGCCACTGCACTCCAGCCTGGGCAACAGAGCAAGACTCCGTCTCAAAAAAAAAAAAAAAAAAAAAAAAAAAAGATAGCATCCACTCAATATCTAGTCTCTGATCTTATGGCACATTTCTGTTCCATTAATCTTTAGGCTTTTTCCCAAAGTGGTGAAGATTCCAAACAAAATGGGCCATTTAGAAAACGTTTTCAGGCTGGTCACCGTGGCTTACGCCTATAATCCCAGCACTTTGGGAGGCCGAGGTGGCTGGATCACAAGGTCAGGAGTTCGAGACCAGCCTGGCCAACATTATGAAAACCTGTCTCTACTAAAGACGCAAAAAATTACCTGGGCGTGGTGGTGCATGCCTGTAATCCCAGCTACTCGGGAGGCTGAAGCAAGAGAATCACTTGAACCTGGGAGGCAGAAGTTGCAGTGAGCTGAGATCACACCATTGCACTCTAGCCTGGGTGACAGGGTGAGACTCTTTCTCAAAAGAAAAAAAAAATGTTTTTGGCTGGGCACAGTGGCTCATGCCTGTAATCCCAATCCCAGCACTTTGGGAGGCCGACCGAGGTGGGTGGATCACTTGAGGTCAGGAGTTTGAGACCAGCCTGGCCAACATGGGGAAACCCCGTCTCTACTAAAAATACAAAAATTAGCCAGGCGTGGTGGTGCACACCTGTAATCCCAGCTACTCGGGAGGCTGAGGCAGGAGAATCCCATGAACCCGGGAGGCAGAGGTTGCAGTAAGCCAAGATCACGCCACTGCACTCCAGCCTGGACAACAGAGCAAGACTCCGTCTCAAAAAAAAAAAAAAAGTTTTCTTCAGATTGTCAAATTCTGACTTGAAACAGTTATCATAAGCTGAGCCTGGTGGTTCACACCTGTAATCCCAGCACTTTGGGAGACTGAGGTGGGAGAATCGCTTGGGTCCAGTAGCGAGACCTTGTCTCAAAAACAAATCAAACAAACAAAACACAAAAACACAACCACAAAAAGCAAACAACACCCCCCTCCCACCCAAAGAAAAAGAAATGGTAACTACCTGGACAAAACATTTCACGTGCATTGTTTTAGTAAACAGACACAACCTTGGCTTCAGGTCTTTTTTGTTTTCTGTCACCCAGGCTGGAGTGCAGTGGTGAGATCTCGGCTCACTGCAACCTCCACCTCCCAGGTTCAAGTGATTCTCCTGCCTCAGCCTCCAGAGTAGCTGGAATTACAGGTGCAGGCCACCATGCCCGGCTAACTTTTGTATTTTTAGTAGAGACACAGTTTTACCATGTTGGCCAGGCTGGTCTTGAACTCCTGGCCTCAAGTGATCTGCCTGACTCAGCCTCCCAAAGTGCTAAGATTACAGGCATGAGCCACGGCACCCGGTCTTGGCTTGTTTTCTTGACAGATCGTTGCAACAGGGTAGGACAGGCACACTTATCACTGTTTAACAGATGAGCAAAGTAAACTGAGGTGCAGAGAGGGGCAATAGCTGGTGGCCCAGCTGATAGGCTGAGATTTTCACATGTCAGTCAGAGCCAGGGACCAACATCTATCCACTATTCTCTGCTGTCCTCTCTCAGAGCGCCCCTTCTTTGGAAATGTGCATAGCACCTTTCTACAAGAGACTCTTAGTGTGTTCTGAGAAAGCCGTAGCTCCTCACCTGCCTCAGAAGGGCACGGTGCTTGCTTCTTCAGAAAATTTACAGACAAGTTTCACACACTTAAAACTTTCAGCTTGGCTTGAGAGTTAAAACATAACCACTCCAAACTGTAATACAAAGAAGTCTGCTCAAAAGAGTAGCATTTGACCAGCCTGGGCAACATAGGGAAACCCCATCTCTACAAAAAAAAAAAAAAAAGTACAAAAATTAGCCAGACGTGGTGGCACATGCCTGTAATCTCAGCTACTCAGGAGGCTAAGGCAGGAGAATTGCTTGAACCCAGGAGGCGGAGTTTGCAGTGAGCTGACATCGCATCACTGCACTCCAGCCTGGGTGACAGAGCAATACTCCATCTCGAAGAAAAAGAAAAAAAAAAAAAATACATGCACAGAAAAAAAGTTCAATCAGTGCATAAGGACATATGCAACAAGTCTCCCTCCTACTGTTTCTCCTGATCTGCAGGTCCCCTCCCTAATGGCAATCACTGTTACAGTGTAACAGAGATTCTGACATAATCTTATTGTATGTATTTCCTTCACCCCCACGCATGGAAACAGTAACTCCCTCCACACACTACCTCATGCTTATATCATTAACAGTGTAACTCTTGGAGATTGTTGCACACCCACCAAAAGAGAACTGCCTTATTCTGTTTGTTTGTTTGTTTGTTTTGAGACGGAGTCTCTGTCGCTCAGGCTGGAGTGCAGTGGCACGATCTCGGCTCACTGCAACCTACGCCTCCCAGGTTCAAGCAATTCTCCTGCCTCAGGCTCCCGAGCAGCTGGCATTACAGGCATGCACCACCATGCCCAGCTAATTCTTTTGTATTTTTAGTAGAGACTGGGTTTCACCATATTGGCCAGGCTGGTCTTGAACTCTTGACCTCAGGTGATCCACCCGCCTCGGCCTCCCAAAGTGCTAGGATTACAGGCGTCAGCCACCACGCCCAGGCTCTTTTTTTTTTTTTTTTTTTGAGTCAGAGTCTTGCTCTGTTGCCCAGGCTGGAGTGCAGTGGCACAATCTCAGCTCACTGCAACCTCGGTGTTCCAGGTTCAAATGATTGTCCTGCCTCAGCCTCCCGAGTAGCTGGGACTACAGGCATGCACCACCATGCCCAGATAACGTTTGTATTTTTAGGAGAGATGCGGTTTCACCATGTTGACCAGGCTGGTCTTGAACTCCTGACCTCAGGTGACCCACTGCACCCGGCCCAAATTTTTTTTTTTCTCAGACGGAGTCTCACTCTGTTGCCTAGGCTGGAGTGCAGTGGTGTGATCTTGGCTCACTGCAACCTCTACCTCCCAGGTTCAGCGATTCTCCTGCCTCAGCCTCCCGAGTAGCTGGGATTACAGGCATGTGCCGCCATGCCCAGCTACTTTTTTGTATTTTTAGTGGAGATGGGGTTTCACCGTGTTGGCCAGGCTGGTCTCAAACTCCTGACCTCAAGTGATCCACCCACCTTGGCCTCCCAAAGTGCTGGGATTACAGGCGTGAGCCACCACTCCCGGCCCCTGATTTTTGTATTTTTAGTAGAGATGGGGTTTCGCCACATTGGCCAGGCTGGTCTCGAACTTCTGACCTCAGGTGATCCACCCACCTCGGTCTCCCAAAGTGCTGGGATTACAGGCGTGAGCCCCTGTACCCAACCTCATTCTTAAAGCCTTCCTATATTTAACCAGTCCCCAGCAGATGACGTACATTATACCCTGCATTCTGTTTCTCATACATGTTCTTGCGCAAATTTAACTGCAGGGTAAGTTTCTAGAAGGGAAATTCCATAGTCTAGACTAAAGGTTACTGGTAGGCCAGGTATCTCAACCTATATTTGGTTCTCAGATCCAAAGGTAGGATTTACAGAACAAAACTGCTTCATGTTCAGTGGGGTTTCACATGCCAGCTGCAGGTGAGAGCTCTGGGGATTTGCATGCTGTCAGCCAACACCCTAGCCACCTGGAGAGGTCCTCTGTTGAATTAACTGCCCAGCATCTGTCCACCCTGTGGACCACCCACAGCAGTGTTGCCTTCAAAAACTTGCCTGCTGGTCGGGCACAGTAGCTCATGCCTGTAATCCCAGCACTTTGGGAGGCCGAGGCAGGCGGATCACATGAGATCAGGAGTTCAAGACTAGCCTGGCCAACATGGTGAAACCCTGTCTCTACTAAAAATACAAAAATTAGCGGGGCATGGTGGTACACGCCTGTAGTCCCAGCTACTTGGGAGGCTGAGGCAGGAGAATCCCTTGAACGTGGGAGGCAGAGGTTGCAGTGCACCGAGATGACGCCACTGTACTCCAGCCTGGGTGACAGAGCGAGAATCCACCTCAAAAAACAAACAGGCCGGGCGCGGTGGCTCACGCCTGTAATCCCAGAACTTTGGGAGGCCGAGGCAGGTGGATCACGAGGTCAGATCGAGACCATCCTGGCTAACACAGTGAAACCCCGTCTCTATAAAAATACAAAAAATCAGCCGGGTGTGGTGGCGGGCGCCTGTAGTCCCAGCTACTCAGGAGGCTAAGGCAGGAGAATGGCATGAACCCGGGAGGCGGAGTTTGCAGTGAGCCAAGATCGCGCCACTGCACTCCAGCCTGGGCGATAGAGCGAGACTCCGTCTCAAAAACAAACAAACAAACAAACAAACAAAAAACTTGCCTGTTAATTCTCATTTCTGAGATCCTGCAGCTACCTTGGGTGGTGGCCTGTCCAAGCCTGGCCTTTGTTTTGTTTTGTTTATTTGTTTTGAGACAGTCTTGTTCTGTTACCCAGGCTGGAGTGCAGCGGCGTGATCATGGCTCACTGCAGCCTCAAACTCCTGGGCTCAAGCGATCCTCCCACCTCAGCCTCCCAAGTCTTTGGGATTATAGGCGTGAGCCACCGTGCTGGCTTGCCTTTGGTTCTCTGAACTACTCCAGTTCTTTCCACTAAATCCACCCCCCTCTTTTTTCCCCTTTGGTTAATCAGAATCCATATCTTTTGCTCCAGATCAAAGAACCCTACCCGATGATCCCTTCTCCATTCACAAAATCAATAACATACTCAAAATCAATAAACAGCTGACCGAGCACAGTGGCTCACGCCTGTAATCCCAGCACTTTCGGAGGCAGAGGTGGGCGGATCACAAGGTCAGGAGTTCGAGTCCAGACTGACCAACATGGTGAAACCCCGTCTCTACTTAAAAAATACAAAAATTAGCTGGGCGTGGTGGTGTGCACCTGTAATCCCAGCTACTTGGGAGGCTGAGGCAGGAGAATGGCTTGAACCCGGGAGCCCGAGATTGCAGTGAGCTGATATCATGCCACTGTACTCCAGCCTGGGTGACAGAACGAGACTCCATCTCAAAAAAAAAAAAAAAAAAAAAAAAAAAAGAATGTGGCCGGGCGCGGTGGCTCACGCCTGTAATCCCAGCACTTTGGGAGGCCGAGGCAGGTGGATCACCAGGTCAGGAGTTCGAGACCAGCCTGGCCAATTTGGTGAAACCCCGTCTCTACTAAAAAATACAAAAATTAGCCAGGCATGGTGATGGGCGCCTGTCCCAGGCTGTTTTTATGTTATGTGGGGATGAGGCACTGACCCTGTGGGCCGGGATCTCTCTGGGGACGCTTCCCTTGCTTTTTGTCTACACTCCTTAAGGCAAACTACTTGGGAGGCTGAGGCAGGAGAATCACTTAAACCCGGGAGGCGGAGGTTGCAGTGAGCTGAGATCGCGCCACTGCACTCCAGCCTGGGCGACAGAGCAAGAATCCATCTCAAAAAAAAAAAAAAAAAGTAACAAGACTCTTAACAGCTGTGGAGATCTGTGCCTATTCTGAGTGCTTCTCCACTACTTCCTGATACTGATTTAGCTCTGTGTATATATTTGTTGAAGTAATGCTTAGATCTTAGTTGTATTCATCCAGTGCCCTCCCAATCATGTTTTGTGTGGAATAGCAAATCACTTTCTGCTTGTATTCCAAAAATGTTGCAGAAAGACTTGCCACCCTGCTGGGGACTGTCCCTGCCCCCTGACCACTTCTGGCCTGCCTTACACTCGATTATTTTGGGCAAAAAGTGCAAATCAAGACTGAGATGTCAGGCCAGGTGCAGTGGCTCATGCCTGTAATCCCAACACTTTGGGAGCCGATGGATCACTCAAGCCCAGGAGTTCAAGACCAGTCTGAGTAACATGGCGAAAAAAACCTGTCTTTACAAAAAGTAAAATAATTAGTGAGGCGTGATGGCATGCGCACACCTGTAGTCTCAGCTTCTCGGGATAGTCACAGCTACTTGGGAGGCTGAGGTGGGAGGATCACCTGAGGCCAGGGACACAGGTACATCAAGGCTGCAGTGGGCTGTGATCACACCACTGCACTCCAGCCTGAGTAACAGAGTAATACCCTGTTTCAAAAAAAAAAAAAAAGAAAGAAAGAAAGAACAAACAAAGAAAAAAAACAAAAAGGAAAAGGAAAAAGAAAGAGAGAGAGAGAGAGAGAGATAATCCAGGACTTTTTTTGAAGGGAGAGGGAAACAGGACTGTCTGACACGCGGGAAAATTGCTTGAATTCTCCAGCCTTCCCATTTGGATGCTTTTCTCTTTGCGTGAACACAGCCATAAGCTGGCTCGTTATAGAGGCATAGGCAGTGGTTGAAAATACAGGTCCTAGCAACAAGGAAGTCTGGGTTTGAATCCAGACTCAGCCACTTTCCAGCTGTGTGACCTGGGAGAAGTCACTGTTCCTCTCTGAGCCTGGAGCTACCTGCATCACTACCCTGAACTGATGAATGGAAAGCACTTGGTACAAAATCCAGCACATACTTGGCACACATAACTCACAGCTCGGTGTAATTAGAAGAATGCCAGGAGGACTGGCCTGCACGCTGGAAGGGGCTCTAGACAAGGCTGACCATCAGGATCCACTGGTTGGTCCAGAGATCTCGGAACAGACTGGTTCTCCCCGCCGCTTCTGCCTCCCACTCACCTCCACCCGTTCATGCAACTGTAGTTTTCTTAGCCCCTGAAACCGGGTTGGGGCTGCCGCAGGGGCCATCAGGCTGTGAGGGAGGCTGACGCGGACACAGTAGGTAAGAGGCCAAGATGTACAGTCCTGAAAGAGGGCAGGAGGCTGGTGACTCAGTGGGTGAGAAAATGCAAAGGCTGGGGCTATCTTAGCCCAGAAAAGGACAAATTTTTTTTCCCCAAATTATTTTCCTTCTTTTGTCTCTTTCTCCCCTCCCTCTCTCGCTCCTTCCTGCTTTTCTTCCTTTCCCTCCGTTACTTTCTTTAATCCAAAGGAAATTTAAGTGGAGGACATAAAAGCATATGCTGTTATTAATTTTTGCAAATGTCCTTAACTGAGAGGCACTGAGCAGAAAGAAGAACACAATTGCATCTCCATTATCTTCATCTGGGCCACCAGATACCAGCCACCCACTCTCTCAGACAATGGCAGAAAGGACAAGCCAGCCCCCAGGGACCCGGCCCTGCCAGCTTACCTGTTGGCACACCTCCCCTGAGCACTGCAGCCTCACCAACTGTCTGGGGTCCCTGAGACTGCCTGCTCACACTCACCTCTGAGCCTTCCTGTCTGCTGTTCCCTCTGCCTGGAACATCCTCTCCACTCCCCCTTAGACCCCCTCTAGCAGCTGTCCTGGCTGACTGCTAATTGGCTTTAGGATTCAGGGAGGCATCCTGCCTTGGGTGCCTTCTTTGATGGCCACAGATCAAGTTAGGGGTCTTCTCTGGCTGCTTATCCTCATAGCACCTGCTCCCGGATGTGACAGACAGCTTCAGTTTTGTCACCCTGTGGTCCAGCAGCTTTCTGAGGGAGGGCTGGGACCAGCTCTCATTTACCTGTGTCTCTCACCCCTGCAAGGTTCTGGCCACAGCAAGCAATGCCTAAGCACATATTTGTGGAGTAAAGGTATAAAAGACAAGGCATCCCAGATGGGCGTGGTGGCTCAATCCTAGCACTTGGAGAGTCTGAGACGGGAGGATCACTTGAGGGCAAGAGTTTCAGACCAGCCTGGGCAACCCAGTGAGACCCCATCTCTACAAAAAAAACATATTTTTGTTTGTTTGTTTGTTTGTTTGTTGTTTTTTAATTAGCCAGGCGTATTGGTGTGCACCTGTAATCTCAGCTACTTGAGAGGCTGAGGTGGGAGGATCTGTTAAGCCCAGGAAGTTGAGGCTGCAGTGAGTTATCATCCCACCACTGCACTTCAGCCTGGGCAATGGAGCAACACCCTGTCTCAAAAAAAAAAAAAAAAAAAAGGCAAGACATCAAGACATCCCTGGAGGAAGCCACTCTGTAGACCACAGGCTAACAGAGCATGGTTGAGCAGGGAGGAGTTGGGAGCTGCACCCAGCACCTCACACAATGTTATCATGGAGCTGGGGACAGAGCAGGTTCCAGAGCTGGGTTTGAGTCCCAGCTCCTCCGATGATGATATGACACCCCAGACATGTGCAGGGATGTCCTCTAAGCCTCAGCTTCCTCACTGCAATTTGGGGCTCTGTCTCTTTCTGGCAGGGAGTTATTGGGAAGACCAAATGAGATCATGTCCCCCTCCCAAACCCTGCAAGGCCTTTGCGTCACAGTTAGAATGAAGTCTACATATAGCCCTGTCCACTCGCAGCCTGCCTCCCTTCCCCATTCGCACCCTTACACACGGAGCCCCCTCCAACCTCCCCCCCACACACACTGAGCCCTGTGCTCTTTCCTCTGCCCAAATGGCCCTTCCCTCAGACATCTAGATGTCCATCCTCCTTCCCTCAGTCTGCCTCTCGGAGCAGTCTTCCCGACCACTACAACGATGCCTCCCCAACCCCGGCCTGCGTCACTCCCCACGCCCACCCTGCTTTGCAGCATCGCTCCCTGGCTGACATTACATCATGCATTTATTTCTTTGCTTATTGTCTCCCTCCCCTCCATGAGGGCAGGAACCTTCATCTGTCTTGTTGACAGTAGCATCCCTAGAACCTAGCTCAGGCCTGACTCACAGTGTGTGCTCAGTCCACATTTGGGAAACCAATGGAGAGATGAATGGCACAGAGATGCGCTCAGGAACCCAGTTCCCTGACCTCCCATCCAGGCTGCACCCCTCAGGAGTCTAGGTTCCTGCTGATTGGTAGAGTTCAGGACCCAGGGCTGGAAAGTGTCCACCCACAGGGCAGATGGGCCAAGGCCACGTGCTCAAGGTGTGCAGGGCTAGGAGAGGGGGTCAGCCCCAGCTCCCATATGAGGGGCATGTGCCTCGCCTTGCCCCTGCTTTGGCTAGAGGGTACCCTGTTCACCAGAGATGAGCCTAGGCTCTCCCCGGGCCTGGCTCTGGCTTTACCCCAGAGCCCTCCAACTCGCAGACCTCCAGGCAAGGAGGGCTGGGGACCCACCCGTACCAGCCATTTGCCTTTTCTCCAGTAACAGAGCCCAGAGGGGTCCCTGCCTGGGCCCAAAATCACACAGCAGATTGGGGTAGAGCCGGAGAGGACCCGAGACTCCTGTGCCAGCCTGGGCATCCCCTCCACTGCCAGGGAAGGACTGCATCCAAGTCGCATCCGTACCCAGGCCGAGGTGTCCGAGGCCCAGGCTGAAATCCGGTTGCTGCTGCAGAGACCAAGTTTCCAAGGCCTTGTCAAGTGGGCTGTGCCAGACGATCCCCAGGCCTGTCATTGGCTGCTCTTCGGCTCGGACACACCAAACCTCACCAAGCACTTCCATTTCTGAGGGAATAGAGGTTGTGGCTTCCGTCAAGCACCCATTTACCCCACCCTCCTCCTCCTCTTCCTGCAAACTTGAGTCACAGCTGCCCTGCTGGGCTCAGGCCCCAGGGATGTCTGAGTCAGCCTGGCTGGGGTTCCAGTCCTGACACCGCCCTTACCAGCTGGGAGACTCCGGGAACCTCCAACCCTGCTGAGCCTCCACTTCGACATCCGTGAAACAGCCATGAATAAGCAGGTCTCAAAGGTCGACTCCTGTATGCAGGGACACAGCATGCAGTAGGTGCCCAATCATAACAGCAGCACCCACCTGGAGCCCCTTATAGCAGCCCTTCTCCTCTGCACTTCCACATGGCATCTCATTTAACCTTCACCACAACCCAACTAGGAAGGCACCATCATTATCCCATTTTACTGATGAAGAAACTGAGGCCCAGGAAGGTGAATTTACCAGCCAGCTCACAAATGGACTAGTAGATGGCAGTTTGTGGATTGGAGCCCAGAGGCTGTGCTCCTGCCCACACCCTCTCAAATGAGGGCTATAAAATAACACTCTAAGAGCTCTTCCTACGTGCCTGGCAGTGTACTAAGAATTTGAGTCTTCAGTACGTTCAATCTTCACAACAGCCCTATGAGGTGGGGGTTATGAGGAGCCACCATTTTACAGATGGGTAAGTCAAGACACAGAGAGAGGATGTGGCTTGCCACAGACCACATGGCTGGTGAGCATAGGAGCCAAGATTCCAACCCGTTTCCCATCCTGGCCAAGAATAACACTCCTGCTTCTTCATTTCTCCGAAAGAAGCCATGCTGTCTCCATCCCTGGCTGTGACTTGGGCTGCTTGTCCCTTCTCTGCCCACCCACCCACCCCCAGGGCTGTGCCGGGGAAAGAAGGTGGTTCCTGGAGCCCTCTAGCCTCTGAAAAGCATGGCAGTGGCGCAACGTAGAGGATGGGCTTAAAGCCAAAGAAACACAGCTTCTTTTGTTGTTGTTGTTGTTGTTTGGGTTTTTGTTTTTGTTTTGTTTTGAGACAGAGTCTCACTCTGTCCCGAGAGTGCAGTGGTGTGATCCTGGCTCTCTGCAAGCTCTGCCTCCTGGGTTCACGCCATTCTCCTGCCTCAGCCTCCCGAGTAGCTGAGACTACAGGCACCTGCCACCAAGCTCAGCTAATTTTTTGTATTTTTAGTAGAGACAGGGTTTCACCATGTTAGCCAGGATGGTCTCGATCTCCTGACCTCATGATCCACCCACCTCGGCCTCCCAAAGTGCTGGGATTACAGGCATGAGCCACCGTGCCCAGTCTTTTTTTTTTTTTTTTTTTTTTAAGACGGAGTCTTGCTCCGTTGCCCAGGCTGGATGCAGTGGCACGATCTCGGCTCACTGCAACCTCCACCTCCTGGGTTCAAGCAATTCTCCTGCCTCAGCCTCCCGAGTAGCTTGGATTACAGGCGTGTGCCACCACGCCTGGCTAATTTTTGTATGTTTAGGGTTTTGCCATCTTGGCCAGGCCAGTCTCGAACTCCTGACTTCAGGTGATCCGCTCACCTCGGCCTCCCAAAGTGCTGAGATTACAGGCGTGAGCCACCATGCCTGGCCAAGAAACATGGGTTCTAATCCCAATGCCCCCGCTTCCTAGCTATGGGACCTTGATTGAGTCCTGTACCGTGCCTCAGTTTCCCCACTTATAAAAAGAGGTTACTAAAAAGGATGCTTCACTCAAGGGTGTGAAGACCCAGTGAATGAAGTGTTAATAAGAGCTCCACGTATAGCGATGCTGCTGTTCAGCTGCACCAGGGTGGACTCCCTTGACTTGCTGGGAGTTACAATGAGGAAGGAAGGACCGTTAAACCTGTAGGTCTTTCCAGAGAAAGTGCGTTTCCTAAAACCAAATCCTGCCCTTGCTCCAAAACTGTCAGTGGTGGTTTCCCATGACCACGCCACAGTCCCAGGGTCTCCCCTGGCCTTCAAGGCTGGCACAGTCTGACCCTGCCAACGTCCCTAGTGCCACCATCTGTCAGCCCCTCCTTGCTCCTGCTCCTGGTCTGCACATGCTGTTCTCTTTGCCAAGAATGCCATTTCCCCAGCCCCCTGGTCCCGATGGGGAACACCTCCTCATCCTTCAAAGCCAAGCTGGAAGGGAACATCTTTGGAGATGCCGCTTGACCTCCCAGGCAGAAGGGGTCATTCTCCCTGGAGATGTGGTCACGTCATTAACCACACTGGGTTAGAATCATCAGAAGCTGTTCCTGCCTCTTCCGTCAAGCAAGGGGCTCTGGAGGCCAGAAAATGCCTATGAATCATGCCCACACCCCCAGAGCCCAGCATGGGGCGGGCTCAGGTTAGGTCAATCGTGTTTGAAGACTGAATAAATGAATGTCTTCATTTGCTACCCTCAGAAGCCCAGTCCGGAAAAATATTCCAGTGCAAGGTTTTTGGCTTGAATGAGATCCCAAGAATCACCTTCAGGTTGTCAGGAAAATGATACAGGGAAGGGAAGGAGCCAACAAAGGGTATGGGAATGAGCACATAACACTATGGACAGCTGGGGAACCTTGGGCGATGATGCAGAACTGTTTATCACTAACTCTCACCAGGTCAGTTGTGCATCAAGGCTACTCGGGGGATAGCACTTTACAGCCTACTCTAGCACCACGGTGGCCTTCTGGGGCAGGGGCCAGCAGGCTGCAGCTGCTGGATGAAGCCCCCAGGCAGAGTCGCTGGTCCTCAGGTGCTCAAGCTTAGCTGGAAGCCTTCAGGTTGCTGTGCAATGGAATAGTGAGTACCCAGAGGATATGTGCGTGTGTTACAGTGAGTGAGTGAATGAACGAATGAATGGAGAATCAAGAAAAGAGCCGCGTATCTTCAGTCATTGAGCAGACACGGGCCTTCTGCTGTGTGGCCCTGGACGAGCCATCATGCCTCTCTGACCCTGGTTTCCTCTTCTATAAAGCAGGAATGCTAGCCCAGCCTCCCAGGAGATAAAGGGTGGGAGGTCCCCAGAGAGTGAGAAGGGTTCCACCTGGGCTCCCAGACTCAATCTCAGCTCCAGGAAGCAGGACATGGCCCCAGTGAGGGTTCTCTGTGGGTGAAGAAGCCACAGAAGGCAGGCACAGTGCCCTGGTTGGAACCACAGGGGCCCCGAAGCAACCACATCATGGCCACCACAGCCTCCACCATCCCACAGCAATTTCCGCTGCTGCCTCTCCCAGGGCAAGATCTCCCACCAGTGGCTGGCTGTCCCCTCTGCCAGCACCTGCCCCGGGTGGGCCCTGCAGCATGGCCATGGCTGCTGCAAGGCAGGCTGGCAGCTGCTCCTGTGTGCAGCAGCGTGTCTGCTTTGAAAAGCCACAGAGACTCCTGTGGTTAGGGGCTCATGTTACAGTAGCACACGTTCGAATCCCAGTTCTACTACTTGTGACTGTGGGAAAGTAATTTCACCCCAGTCCTCTCTGGTCTCATTGATCAAATGGAACTAACATTCTATTGTCCCCTCTGGTGGTCTCAACTCCAGCAGTTTGTGAGATGGTTGCCTTCACTGTTTTCCCTACTGCAAAACCCATAAGGACACAGTTATCTTGCCTCCTGCCCCAACCCCAGGGTCTTGAACACAGTAAGTGCTCGATAAATGCTTGGTAAATACATGAATTATTGTCTGACCCGCCTTGCTCTTCCAGTCCAAACTTAAATGTCGCCTCCTCCAGGCAGCTTTCCCTGATTCCTTCCCCGAGTTCCCAGAATCTCTTCCAACTCCTTTAACCTCTTTCCTGCAGCTGCCTGGCCTACTGGGTGTGGCCGCCAGTTATCGGACCCCGCACCCTCCACCTACCTTTCCCCAGGTTTGCGCGGGGCCTGCCGGCCTGCCCGCCCGCCCCGAGGGAATGAAGGGCTGGAAGGAAGGGGAGGGAGAAAGGAGGCGGCGCAGATACATCCAGAAGGGGAGGCGGCGGGGGATTCTCGAAGGCCCGGCCAAGACCCGCAGCCTCAGCAAGCCAAGATGCGAGCAGGGGGCCGGCCGGAAGGAGGCGGGGGAGGGGCGGCCAGGGAGCTGGACGCTAGCGGGCGGACGGGCGGGGGCGGCGGGGGTGGCGGGAGGGTTGGGGGCGGGGGCCTGGTATTTCCTGAGGCCCTTCAGGAAATGCTCTGGGCCGCCCCTGGGCGGGATCGGCGGTGGGATGGGTCTGGGAGGGATCCACAGGCTCCTTCCCTGCGCTGCCCTGGACTCTCTGGCGCGCTGTCTCTGCGGGCCCTCTTCCCCGTCGAGGAGGCGCTGCTCAAGCCCCATTTCACGGAGGAAGAAACCAAGACTCAGAGAGGGCCACCGGGGTCACAGTCTCTCCTGCACAGTTCTGCGGCTGCGCCAGCGCCGGCCCGCTCCCTCCACGTCCCCGGCCCCTGTCAGGGCTGCGGCAGCCGCAGAACCCCCGGGCCGGGCTCCCTATGGCAGGGCCAGGGCGGAGGACTGGGAGACGGGGCGGGAAGGCGAGGCGGGGCCCGGCGTATCCCACGCACAGACCGCGCAGCGCGCACAGCCCCGGCCCTCAGGGAGAGCAGTGCTGGCTGCCCTGCCCCGGATCGTCCTCCCCTGCCTCGGCCCGGACACGGCCAGGCAGGACCCCGCGACACATCCGACGCCCCACCTCACACTCGGGACCCTGAGACACTCACTGTTCACCTAACGACTCGCTCCCTCCTCCGCTGACGGAGGAGTCAGTCCATCGGGACTGGATGGGCTCCGTGTGCTCGAGTTCAAATCCTGCCTCACCACCCGCTGGCTGGCGCTTTTCTTGTCTAAGAAGAGCACCGCAGTTCCCTCTGTGTGGTGGGGATAACAGCACAGCCTGCCTCAGAAAGTTGCAGTGAGAACTAAATGCGTTCTGCTGGGCGCGGTGGCTCAGGCCTTAATCCTAGCACTTTGGGAGGCCGGGCCTGAGGACGGCTTGAGGTCAGGAGTTCGAGACTAGCCTGGTCAACATTGTGAGACCCCCCCCCCCCCCGTCTCTACAAATTTGTTTTTTTTTGTTGTTTGTTTGTTTGTTTTTTAGCCGGAGTCTCGCTCTATCGCCCAGGCTGGAGTGCAGTGGCGCGATCTCAAGTGAGCGATCTCAGCTCACTGCAACCTCTGTCTCCCGAGTTCAAGCGATTCTCCTGCCTCATCCTCTCGAGTAGCTGGGACTACAGGCGCGTGCCACCACGCCTGGCTAATTTTTTGTATTTTTGCTAGAGACGGGGTTTCACCGTGTTAGCCAGGATGGTCACAATTTCCTGACCTCGTGATCCGCCCGCCTGAGCCTCCCAAAGTGCTGGGATTACAGGCGTGAACCACCGCGCCCGGCCTACAAAATATTTTTAAAACGCGTCGATCAGTATAAAGCGCTGTGCCTGGCACATCCTGTGCTCAATCTGCTATTGTGACAAAATCGTGCTCAGGCCCCTGCCACCTGCAAACAAAGTCTCTCTCTCTTTGACATTTTCCCACCACCGTTTCAACCTGCGCAGTCTCTCCTTTTCTCTCTCCTTCTGAATTTTAACAAATATCCCTCTTCTGTAAAGTGGCTGAAAAAAAAAAAAAAGGAAAACAAATCACAATGGCTTAGACAAATAAGGGTTTATTTCCCCTATCACTGTGAACCCGGAGACCAGCCATGGCTGGCATTGTTTCCCCAGCCCAGTGATGGCAGGGCTGACGTCCTCTGTAATGCGCTTGGCGTTTCCCCCTTGTTTACAGCGTGGCTGATGCTGCTCCTGGCGTTGCATCTGCCTCCGCATTTAAGACAGAAAGGAAAAGGAATGGTTACTTTCAGGGTTAATTGAAAGCGTTTGTCACTTTCGTCAATAATTTCCCAGGCACCCCGCCCCCCTCACCCCCCACCCCCACCCCTGCCACACACACATAATGAGATCTAATGAGACTCCTTAGATGTCATTGGCCAAAACTGTGTCACATGGTCACTCCCAGCTGCAACAAAGGCTGAGAAGGTAAGTAGTTTCTCTTTTCCAGCCTCCACAGTGGAAAGCAGCAGGGAAGAGGGGAATTGGGAATGGTACACAAGGATCAGTCAGCTATTATAATAGTGTCTACCACACCTTCCCCCTCCGTCTTCTTCCAGCCCCTACACTCCCCAGGACCTGCCTTCCAGCCACCCCTGACCTCCTCCTTCATCCAGGGGCCACCTGTTTCCATTTCTTTTGGGATATCAGAAGCTCAGAACTCTGGGGCTGCACTTTTACAGGGTAGCAATCAGATGACGCTGAGTAGAACCGCATCTTTCTTTTCTTTTCTTTCTTTTTTTTTTTTTTTTTGAGACAGAGTCTCACTCCATCACTCCAGTCTGCACACTAGGCTGGAGTGCAGTGGTGTGAACACTGTAGCCTTGAGCCCCCGGGCCCAGGTGATCCTCCTACCTCAGCCTCTCAAATGGCTGGGACTATAGGTACATGCCACCATGCTCAGCTAATTTTTTTTGTTTATTTTTTTGTAGAAACAGCATCTCTTGCCAGGCGCGGTGGCTCACACCTGTAATTCCAGCACTTTGGGAGGCCAAGGCAGGTGGATCACAAGGTCAGGAGTTCGAGACCAGCCTGGCCAATATGAAACCCTGTCTCTACTAAAACTACAAAAATTAGCCAGGTCTGGTTGTGGGCACCTGTAGTCCCAGCTACTTGGGAGGCTGAGACAGGAGAATCGTTTGAACCCGGGAGGCGGAGGTTGCAGCGAGCCGAGATCACGCCACTGCACTCCAGCCTGGGTGACAGAGTGAAACTCTGTCTCAAAAAAAAAAAAAAGAAAAGAAAAGAAAAAGAAACAGCGTCTCTTACTCTGTTGCCCAGGCTGGTCTCAAACTCCTGGTCTCAAGCGATCCACACACCTTGGCCCCCCAAAGTGCTGAGATTACAGGTTTGAGCAGCGCACCTGGCTTTCCATACTCAGATTCTGAAACACAGATCTCATCGTATCACTCCTCTGGCTCAAAATCACCCTTAATAATTGGCTCTACTAGAGCCCCATTTCCCTATACTCCCTGCCTTTGAATATCTCACTGTTGCAACACTGAAACACTTAAAGAATCTCCTCTGCTTTCTCTCTGGTTGCTTCTAGGATCTCCTCTTTGACTTTGGTGTTCTATATTTTCACTACAATATGTCCAGACATGAATTTCTTCCTACCTATCTTGCTTGGGATTCATTGGATCTCTAGAATCTATGCATTTGGTGGTGCTTATTAGATATGGAAAAAAAGTCAGACTTCATGTTTTCAAATATTGAATTTGTCTCGTTTTCCCTTCTCTGTCTGGAACTGCTACCTATGTTAGCTCTTCCTGTTGTATTCTCCCTGGCTCCTAACCACTTTTTTTCTTTGTTTTCTCCTCCTCCTCTTCCTCCTCCTCCTCTTCTTCTTCGTCTTCTTCTTCTTCTCCTCTCCCTCCTCCTCATCCTTCTCCTTCTCCTCCTCCTTCTTCTTCTCCTTCTCCTTGCTACTGCTGCCACCTCCTCCTCCTCCTCCTCCTCCTCCTCCTCCTTCAGCTTTCTCAGGTTGAATTCTTCTTTCCCCCCTGCCCCCATTTTCCATTTATTTTTCTTTCTGGGTTGAATTCTGGATAATTTCTTCAAATCCATCTTCCAGATCATGAATTCTCTATTCAGCTTTGTCTAAACTGTCGTTTAAACTCTCCATTGAGTTTTTAATATGTTACCAGGTGTTAAATTTCTAGAAGCTCCATTTATTTCTCCTGCACATTTGCTTAGTTCTTCTCATTCCTCACCCTTTGCTCATGTTGCTCCATCTTCTCCCACCTCTTCTCCTGGCAAATTCCTATACAACCCATTTCTTTCCATCCCCAGGGAGCTTTCCCTGACCTCCAGGATGGACTGGGGCTTTCTTGGGCCCTTCAGTCCCTGGGACTCCTTTGTCACAGCACTGATCACCTTCAGCCATGATTGGCTGGGTCTGGATCTGGATCTGCCTCCCCCCCTCAGACCTGTGCTTCTAATAAGCAGGGGCCATATCTGCATCCTCTCTCAGGGATAAGTACAGGTGGTTTTCAATAAACTTGTATAAAATAAAAGCAATTTCCTTAGCCCCCCCATCACTCCTTAGTCTTACTTGTTGTTTCATTTACTTATTTTTCTTTTCTGTAAAGTATATTACTTACTGCCAGCTACATGCAATCAATTGTAAAATACTTTCAATAACTAAAAATTGAATAATGGTAAAAAAAAAAAACACACATCAGCTTTCAGTATAATTTGCTTAAATTGTTCTAGAAAACACTGCTAATTTTTGTTTCTGCAGAGTGAAGTACAGAAGTGAGCAGACTGATAAATTTTTTTTTTTTTTTTTTGGAGACAGGGTCTCACTCTCTTGCCCAGGCTGGAGTGCAGTGGTGCCATCACAGCTCACTGCAGCCTTGATCTCCTGGGATCAAGTGATCCTCCTGCCTCAGCCTTCTGGGTAGCAGGGACTATAGGTGTGTGCCACCATGCCTGGCTAATTAAAAATACTTTTTTTTGTTTGTTTTTTTGTAGAAACAGGGTCTCACTATGTTGTCCATGCTGTTCTCAAACTCCTAGGCTCAAGTGATCCTCTGGCTTCGGCCTCCCAAAGTGGTGAGATTACAGGTGTGAGCCACCACACCCAGCCCAGATTGATAAATTTATAAACATCATGGAAAGAATGATAGAAAGGAACTGGAGCCACTTGAATGACATTTGGATTCCACTTGTCATAAACCACTCCTCTTTTTTCTACCTCTTGGAAAACATCTTTCTTTGGAACAGAAAAATGTTAGTGTCAGCTGGCAGCCCTGATCCTCCATATGGGATGGAGTAATGGTCACCTCCAGGTCACCATTGGCTTCTTAGATTCTGCTTTATTTTTGCCATAGCAGTGCTAGATCAGGTATTCCAGATAACCAGTCAGCAAAATAGATTTTCTCCACAATGCTTTAATCGCTGCCTGCCTAAAGATCTCTAAACTGTAAGAAACAGACCAACAAAATGGGAGGATTTGAAATTTGGAATCCACTAACCCCAGGGATTAACTGCAGTTGGTTATCCATCTCAAATCTGGTGCTGAGTTCACAGCCAAACCACCCCAGCAGCACAGCTTTAATCATACGGGCATGCTTTTCATGGAAAAAGTACCTGCCAGACCTCCTGCTCCTGCATTCAAATTATTGTGGGAACACCAGTGGGCAAAGTCAACTCTTCTGTCACGTAAGTGAGTTCAGCATTTCCAACTGTACATGCTAGATCAAGCCAGCAAAACATCCCTTCACTTGTCCAGCTTTCGTGGTAGCAGGTATATTAAAGAGCTGCCTAGTATAAAAATGCAGCCCACTGAACAGGATTGCTGTAATTGAGCCTCCTCCCTTCTCAATTGCTTCAGGGATATCCTTTATTTTATTTTATTTATTTATTTATTTTTCTCAGATGGAGTCCTGCTGTGTCACCCAGGCTGGAGTGCAGTGACGCTATCTTGACTCACTGCAACCTCCACCTCCTGGGTTCAAGTGATTCTCCTGTCTCAGCCTCCTGGGTAGCTGGGATTACAGGCATGCATCACCACACCCAGCTAATTTTTCTTTTTTTTTTTTTTTTGAGACGAAATCTCTCTCTTGTCCCCCAGGCTGGAGTGCAATGGCACGATCTCAGCTCACTGCAACCTCCACCTCCCGGGTTCAAGCGATTCTCTTGCCTCAGCCTCCAGAGTAGCTGGGATTACAGGCGCCTGCCACGACGCCCAGCTAATTTTTGTACTTTTAGTAGAGACGGGGTTTCACCGTGTTGGCCAGGCTGGTCTCAAACTCCTGACCTCTGGTGATCCACCGGCCTCGGCCTCTCAAAGTGCTGGGATTACAGGCATGAGCCACCGCGCCCGGCCAATATCCTTTATTCTTAAGGTTTCCTCCCCCGTCTTGGCTTTATAATCCCCTTTCCTCAATGTTAACTCCATGGAGTCGTAGCTGTGACTCAACAGTATAATGATTAAAAGAGAAAGCTTTGGCTTCTATAAGAATTTTATACCATTTGGTATAGGCTTAAACAATAACTGGACTAAGGCTGGGCGCGGTGGCTCACACCTGTAATCCAAGGAGTTCGAGACCAGCCTGTGCAACATGGCAAGACCCCATCTCTACAAAAAAATACAAAAATTAGTCTGGCGTGGTGGTGTGTGCCTGTAGTCCCAGCTACCTGGGAGGTTAAGATGGGAGGATCACCTGAGCCCGGGAAGTTGAGGCTGCAGTGAGCTGTGATTGTGCCACTGCACTCCAGCCTGGACAACAGAGTGAGACCCTGGGTAACAGTAGAAGATGTAGATTAACAGTCAGCGCATTCACTAGGGCTATTTCTTTCTCGTAGGCTCCTATAGTCCTTCTGTAGGCCTACAATACTCTCATCTCTGTATCCCAAGGATGCTGCCTTCTTCGTGACCATAGGCTCCCATTTTGCCCCACTCAACTAGCTCTTCTTCAAGATCTGTTTTAACCATTTTTGGTTGAAGGCCAAGAGGATTTTCCAGGAAATAGATAGCATTTTCATCCTTATTCACTAAAGATAAATCAACTGGAGGCAGATCCTGCATTTTGGGGACATAAAAATACTCCCCAGCTGGGCACGGTGGCTCACGCCTGTAATCTGAGCACTTTAGGAGGCCGAGATGGAAGGACCACTTGAGGCCAGGAGTTTGAGAGCAGCCTGGGCAACAAAGCAAGACCCCCTCTCTGGAAAAAAATTAAAAAATTAGCCGGCATAGTGGTGCAAGCCTGTGATCCCAGCTACTGAGGAGGCTGAGGTGGGAGAATCCCTTGAGCCCAAGAGTTCCAGGCTGCAGTGAATCAAGACCGCACAACTGCAGTCAGCCTGGGTGACGGAGTGAGGCCCTGTCTCAAAAAAATTAAAAACAAACAAACAAAAAAACCTCCCTGAAGTGCCTTAGCTTATGTTCCTGAACTAGGTGGAAACTGTCCCTGTCATCTGCTTGGCGGCATTTGAGTTCAACCATCATGCTCTGCACTGTGACAGCTGACAAATTGTTCTCGGCTAGAATTCTTATGTGATCCTCAGCTCCCAGAACCCCTCAAGAAACTTCTCAAGCATTCTTTACAAAGGTATAGGCAAGACCACCTCAAACGACAGTGCCTCCACTCAGGGCTCCTTCCCCTAATCAGACTCAGGTAAACAAACACTTTCTTCCATGTACTTGCTTTTAACTTCATTAATTCACTTCCCCATCTGTAAATTCATTTCCTCATTCATTCATTTATTCATTATTCACTCGATAAGTCTTTTCTTTTCTTTTCTTTTCTTTTTTTTTTTGAGACAGAGTCTCGCCCTGTCGCCCAGGCTGGAGTGCAGTGGTGCAATCTCGGCTCACTGCAAGCTCCACCTCCTGGGGTCACGCCATTCTCCTGCCTCAGCCTCCCGAGCAGCTGGGACTACAGGCACCCGTCACCACACCTGGCTAATTTTTTTGTATTTTTAATACAGACGGGGTTTCACTGTGTTAGCCAGGATGGTCTCGATCTCCTGACCTCGTGATCCACCCACCTTGGCTTCCCGACGTGCTGGGATTACAGGCGTGAGCCACCGTGCCCAGCCAAGTCCTTTCTTTTCTTTTCTTTTTTTTTTAGAGATGGAGTCATGCTCTGTCGCCCAGGCTGGAATGCAGTGGCGCAATCTCGGCTCATTGCAACCTCCACCTCCTGGGTTCGAGCCATTCTCCTGCCTCAGCCTCCCGAGTAGCTGGGACTGCAGGCGGATGCCACCATGCCTGGCTAATTTCTTTTGTATTTTAGTAGAGACGGGAGTTTCACCATGTTGCCCAAACTGGTCTCAAACTCCTCAGCTCAGGCAATCCGCCCACCTTGGTGGATTACAGGCTTCAGCCACTGCGCCCAGCCTCAATACATCTTTTCTTTTCTTTCTTTCTTTCTTTTTTTTTTTTTTTTTCTGAGACAGAGTCTCGCTCTGTCGCCAGGCTGGAGTGCAGTGGCAGAATCTCAGCTCACTGCAAGCTCCGCCTCCCGGGTTCAAGTGATTCTCCTGCCTCAGCCTCCCAAGTAGCTGGGACTACAGGCGCCCGCCACCACGCCCAGCTAATTTTTTTGCATTTTTTTAGTAGAGACAGGGTTTCACCATGTTGGCCAGGATGGTCTCAATCTCTTGACTTCATGATCCACCCACCTCGGCCTCCCAAAGTGCTGGGATTACAGGCGTGAGCCACCACGCCCGGCCTCTATAAGTCTTTTCTAAGCACAACATAGGTTGATGCCAGCAGATACGGGATGAACTAATGAGTGACAGAGGCAATCTGCTGTAAGAAATTCTAACAGCCAGGAAGGCTTCAAGTTGGGGTGATACTGGAGCAGGGTCTGGAAGGAGGAAAGTTGGGGAAAATGCTGGGATCCCACAGCAATGTGAAGAGGGCCCCAGTGGGAGGTCGCCAGCCCATGGGACGCAGCCCGTAGGACCTTAATGCTCCCCAGCATATGAGTAGTGCATGTTCTTCCTCTCTTTGCCATGCCTGTCAGGAAGCTCAGAGCTCAGCTTGGTGCAAAGGTAGCAACTGTTGTTTGCCAGAGGTTTTGTAGTTATCTCTGTTTTGTCGCCCAAAATCTTTGACCTTTACATTGTCTATGTCTCTTATGGAAAACTTGAAATTGATGGAGTAAAATTAATAATAATAATAAAGACCTGATTCTCAGTAAGTGATGGATTCAGGACGTAAATGCAGCTCAGAGTCCAAGAGTTGTAGACTGACACCAGGCTTGTATTAGCTATCACTGCAATAATGCCACATAACAAACCACCCCAAAACTCAGTGGTTTAGAACAATCATTTAATTCCCCCTGATGCATCTGCAGGTTAGCTGAAGGTCAGTTGGTCTTGGCTGGGTGGCTCTGCCTCAGGCTAGGCTGGGATACAGGCTCTAGGCTGGGCTCTGGCTGTTCCATGTGTCTCTTGGCGGGGCGAGGCTGAAGGGCCGGCAGCCATTCAGGGGGACAATCTTCTCACAGCAGAAGCCAAGAAGACAGCTCCACTGTGGAAGTGCACCTCAAGCCTTTGGTCTTGTTATAGCCACTGCTATCCCATTGACCAAAGCAAGTTACATGGCTGAGCCCAGAGTCAAGAGACAGGGAGTGCACTCTGCCCACCTAGAGGCCGTGGCCAGCGTGAGGGGCCAATGATCAATGCCACATGCCATTTGCATCATCCAGTCTGGTCTCCACCCCTATTTCTCAGATGGGTACCCCAGGTGGATCAGTGTGGGACCAGGCAGGGTGCCCTGACTTCCCATTCCCTTTTCACAGCCCCGAGCAGGATCTCATATCACCTGGCTGATCCTCCTGGGGTGGGACCAATTCTGGAAACTGCAGTTGCAGGTGGAAGAACCTGGACTTCGGAATCACAAAGACCTGAGTTCTCTGCTCCCCAAGGCCAGCAGTGAGTCCCTGAGCAAGTCCCACCTACAAAGGAGGAAACTGAGGCTCAGAGGGGTTTGGCGACACATAGTAAGTGCTCCATCAAAAGTGGCCATTCAGGCTGGGCATGGTGGGTCATGCCTATAATTCCGGCACTTTGGGAGGCCGAGGTGGGTGGATCACTTGAGCTTAGGAGTTCAAGACCATGGTAACATGGTGAAATCCCCCCTCTACAAAATAAAAAACTAGCCAGGCATGGTAGTGTGGACGTGTAGTCCCAGCTACTCAGGAGGCTGAAGTGGGAGGATCACTTGAGCCCAGGAGATCAAGGCTGCAATGAGCTATGACAGCACCACTGCCCTCAAGCCTGGGCGACAGAGTGAGACCCTGTCTCAAAAAACAAACAGCCAGGAGCCGTGGCTCAGGCCTGTAATCCTAGCACTTTGGGAGGCTGAAGTGGGTGGATCACTCAAGGTCAGGAGTTTGAAACCAGCCTGGCCAACATGGTGAAACCCTGTCTCTACTAAAAAAAATACAAAAAAATTAGCTGGGCGTGGCTTCCGTGGGTTCCCTATCCCATGGAGAACCCACGGGACCAAGCAGGCAACTGCTTTCGTGTATTGCTTCATTGAATCCTCACAACCACCTTGCCTTATAAAAGAGGTGTTGCTATTATCCCCGTTCCACAGAAGGGGAAACTGAGGCACAAAGCAGAAAGGTCACGTGCCTGGAATCACACACCAGAAAGTGGCACAGCTGGGATTTTAACCCATGCCTGCCATGCTAGGACCAGCATCCTAGCAGCCAGGCACCATCCCCCAGCCCAGGCTGACTGCCCGTGCCCAGCTGGACTCCAGGGCTTGGCAGTCCCCAGGATGAAAAGAGGCCCCTCCCTGGGCCCTTCAAGTCACTCTGCCTGGGGGTGACACATGCAGCCACATAGGTCTCCGTGAGTTGCGGTAAGGTCTTGGGTCTCTTTATCCCTGGCATGCGGCGGGGGCACCAAAGTGACCTCAGGGATGCGGAAGTACAGGAGCCAGATTGCCAGCTGTGTGGCTCTGGCAAGTCACCTCCCCTCCCTGAGTCTGTTTCCTCAACTATAAAAAGGGATCAGTAAATGTCTCTTACTCATGGGATTGTGGGGGATTAAATTATTTGATAAATAAATGAATCATTTAGGAAAGTTCCTGGAATATAGAAACACAAGAAGAGGCAGAGGAGGAGGGGGGACAATATTACTATTGATAATATTATCCTGGGAAGCTTTTGCTGCCAGAAGCAGGAGGGACAATTTGCTGGGAAGGAAGACCCTAGGAACCAGTCCTTCCTGTGGACCTGGGACCCAGCACATTGCAGGTAGTTGGAAGGGGCCTCAGACCATCTCTGGAAACTCCATTCTATAGATGATGAGACTGAGGCCTGGGAGAGGCAGCCCCTGGGTCCAGGCTGCTCAGCAGAGCAGGCAGGCTGCCTGGCCCCACCTGGCCCCCTGCCCTCCTTCCATCCAGTCAGTCCCCATCCACCAGTCCCAATCCACCCAGTATCCATCTACCCAGTTCCCATCCACCCAGTCCCCATCCACCAATCCCCATCCACCCAGTCCCCATCCACAAATCCCCATCCACCCAGTCCCCATCTACCAATCCCCATCCACCCAGTCCCCACCCACCCAGTCCCCATCTACCCAGTCCCCATCCACCCAGTCCCCATCCACCAATCCCCATCCACCCAGTCCCCATCCACCCAGTCCCCATCCACCAATCCCCATCCACCCAGTCCCCACCCACCCAGTCCCCATCCACCAATCCCCATCCACCAATCCCCATCCACCCAGTCCCCATCCACCAATCCCTACCCACCCAGTCCCCATCCACCCAGTACCCATCCACCAATCCCCACCCACCCAGTCCCCATCCACCCAGTCCCCATCCACCCAGTACCCATCCACCAATCCCCACCCACCCAGTCCCCATCCACCCAGTACCCATCCACTCAGTCCCCATCCACCCAGTATCCATCTACCCAGTCCCCATCCACTCAGTCCCCATCCACCCACTATCCATCCACCCACTCCCCATCCACCCAGTCCCCATCCACTCAGTACCCATTCACCCAGTCCCCATCCACCCGTTTCCCATGCACCCTCACCCAACCCTGGTCTCCAGTCTCTCAGATTGAGGTCACCTCAGCTTCTCTGCACTGCAGTGGCCAGTGCAGGCAGTGCCCCCAGCCCCCCAGCTTGACCTCTGACCTTCCAGGACTCCAGGTTCCCACTCCAGCAGGTTAACAGTGCCAGTAATTCTGCTATCATTGCGCCTCCATGGGGTGCGGGGAGCAGGCTGTGTGGGCCCTTGGAAGCTCCCTAGGAAAGGATGAACCCCACAGTCCAGGGTCCTCTGCACAACGCTCAGAGCAGGATGGAGGAACATTGGGGGAAGAAGGTGGGCAGGCCCCAGTGTAGGAGACACCAACATCCCCCACCCATATCCTGTTCTGAGGCCAGGAAGAGGCCTGACCTACCCCTCCTCCTCCAGTGAGCCTTTCTTGGCTGACCAGGAGGCAGCTCTGTACAAGGGCTCCAGCCCAGGGCTGTGAGCAAGGGAGACCATGGGCCAGCCCCACCCCTTCTGGGTCTCTTGTTCCCTTCATAACTGGAGGACAGATGGCAGCAGCACTCAGGAAAGGCTCAATGCTGATGCACCCGGGAAGTGCTGTGCTGCACGGGCCCAGTGGCTGGACAGGACTGTGGGAGCCCACCCAGCCCCTTCCTCCCTGTCTTAGTGTGTTTGGTGTTGCTCTAACAGAATACCTGAGACTAGGGCATTTACTTCTTTGTTTGTTTTTTAGACAGGGTCTTGTTCTGTCACCCAGGCTGGAGTGCAGTGGCCCCTTCAGCTCACTGCAGCCTCCACTTCTTGTGCTCAAGTGATCCTTCCACCTTAGCCTCCAGAGTAGCTGGGACTACAAGTGTATGCCACCACACCTGGCTAATTTTTTAAATTTTTGTAGAGATCGCATCTCACTATGTTGCCCAGGCTGGTCTCGAACTTCCTGGCCTCAAGCAATCCTCTCACCTTGGCCTCCCAAAATGCTGGGATACCATGCCTGGGCATAATTAAATTTCGGCAGGAGCACCTCCTTTACGCCTCAATCTGTGCCTCACCAAGGCCAGCGCTGCACGACTCCAGGGGGCCATGCATGTGTCCTGGCCGACCATCCTCCCCTGACCAAGATGCATTCTGAAAAGATCCGGGGGCCGGCTCTGGGCCTTCACACATGCTGTTCTCTCCACCTGGAACACACTTCGCTTTCTCAAACGCCACCTCCCATTTATTTTTCAGCATACAGTTAAAAAATAAACTCCTGGGAAACCTGCCTTTATCCAGCTGGTAAAGTTCTCCTGTAGGTTCCCACAGCACCCGCTGCCTCAGTCTCCTCCCCATCCTGTCGCCCCACCGCCCCACCGCCCCACCGCCCCACTGCCCCACCACCCCACAACCCGCCGCTCTCTCTGTCTCCCCAGGCTCAGCCCTACTGGTGCCTCCTTGCGCCCGGACACGTGTAGACAGCGCCCTCTGCTGGCGACTCTCAGCTAGCCGCTCAGCCTCGCCCGCCTGGGTCCCAGCTCTGCCCCAGGCTCAGGTCCGGGGCCCTGGAGGTCCAAATGAGGCCAGAATCCCGGGAAGAGTCACCCGGAGAGGAGCCTCGGTCTCGGAGCCACAGACCCTGCTCAAATCCCTCTCCTGCCTTCTAATTTTCATGTGGCCTCGAGCAAATCATCTTCCTTCCTTGAGATTCAGTTTCCCCTTCCGCAAAATGTATCCTCCACAACTCTTCCCTGAGTACTTACCGTGTGCTAGATACTGAGTTGGGCACCGGCGATACCGCAGGGACAACGATGAGCAAAGTCACTGCCTCAGGAAGCTGACATAGAGGGGACGGGCAATAAACAATAAACACAACGCGGAATGTCAGTTGTCTATCTAGCACAGGGTGAGTGCTTAAAGAAGTGAAGCCGGACCGGGCGCGGTGGCTCACGCCTGTAATCCCAGCACTTTGGGAGGTCGAGGCGGGCGGATCACCTGAGGTCAGGAGTTTGAGACCAGCCTGACCAACACTGAGAAACCCCGTCTCTACCAAAAATAAAAAATGAGTCAGGTATGGTGGGGCATGTCTGCAATCCCAGCTACTCGGGAGGCTGAGGCAGGAGAGTCACTTGCACCTGGGAGGCAGAGGTTGCAGTGAGCTGAGATCACACCATTGCACTCCAGCCTGGGCAACAAGAGCAAAACTCAGTCTAAAAAAAAAAAAAAGCCGGGCGTGGTGGCTCACGTCTGTCATCCCAGCACTTTGGGAGGCTGAGGCGGGCAGATCACCTGAGGTCAGGAGTTGGAGACCAGCCAGGCCAACACGGTGAAACCCTGTCTCTACTAAAAATACAGAAATTAGCCGGGCATGGTGGTGGGCGCCTGTAGTCCCAGCTACTTGGAAGGCTGAGGCAGGAGAATCGCTTGAACCTGAGAGGCAGAGGTTGCAGTGAGTCGAGATCGGGCCACTGCACTCCAGCCTGGGCGACAGAGCAAGACTTCATCTCAAAAAAAAAAAAAAAAAAAAAAAAAAGGGAAGTGGAGCTGGAGGGGCCAGTGTGTATCCGAGGATGCGAGGGGAGGCCTCATGGGGAGGTGGGAACATCGATGCCCCCGCAGCACGCTGTCATAGCCATGCAAATGGCACGAACGCCCAGCATCCTCCCTCATGTGCTCTCCTTGGGCCACCTCCCAGCTCTCCATCCTACTTACTGTGTTTATCGTCTGCCTGCCCAGGAGAAAGTCGGCCTGTAAGTGCGGGGATTTTTGTCTGTCTACTTCCATGGGTAGCCCCAGCACTGAGAACAGTGCCTTGCACACAGTAGGTGCCCATTGGGTGCTGGTTTATCGATTTTTGCGCTAACCATGGGGCAGGACGGTGCCTCTCACTCAGCCGCCCACTCCTCATGGTGCCTCTCACTCAGCCGCCTGCTCCTCTATCAACTCTTCCAGAGCCAGCACTTGTGATCAAATAGGGGACAGCTGGGAGGCCATAGGAACCTGGAGGAGCCTGACGGACTCTGGGGTGAGTGCTGAGAGGCTTCCTGGAGGAGGCAGTGCATGCTGATGTGAGACTTGAAAAGTGGGAATGACAAGGAGGAAGGGTGTTCAAGGCAGAAGTAACAGCAATGAAAGCTGTGAGGCATGGAGATTCTTCAAGTGATTCAAGGTAGCTGGAGAAGAGAGGGCAGGTGGCAGGGATGACCAGGTCAGAGAAAGACTTGAGGACCAGGCCAAGGGGCTTGGATTTCATTCTGGGGGTTGGAGAGGCACTGTGGCCTAATATGTGAACACATGGGCCCTGAGTGGTGTCCACCTGCTACTCAGGAGGCTGAGGTGAGAGGATCACTTGAGCCCAGGAGTTCGAGGTTGAAGTGAGCCATGATTGTACCACTGCACTCCAGCCTGGGTAACAGAGTGACACCCTGTCTTAAAAATAAAATGAATAGGCCAGGTGCGGTGGCTCACGCCTATAATCCCAGCACTTTGGGAGGCCAAGGCGGGCGGATCACAAGGTCAGGAGATCGAGACCATCCTGGCTAACACAGTGAAATCCCATCTCTACTAAAAATACAAAAAAATTAGCTGGGCATGGTGGCGGGCGCCTGTAGTCCCAGCTACTCGGGAGGCTGAGGCAGGAGAATGGCGTGAACCTGGGAGGCGGAGCTTGCAGTGAGCCGAGATTGCACCGCTGCACTCCAGCCTGGGCGACTAAGCAAGACTCCATCTCAAATAAATAAATAAATAAATAAGTACATTAATTGACGTTTCAAAATTCATTCTATTTTTCTTTTTAATAACACTTTATCTATTTATAGAACAATTTTACATTTTATTAAGCCCCACTTTCTAGGTGTGAATTCTGCTGCTGTTGCTTGCTGGCAATGAGATGTTAAGTTGCTTAGGCTCTCTATGCCTTGGTTTCCCTGTGTGGAAAATGGACTTAAAGATATTTCAGACGGTTGTTGGTAAGAAGTGAGTTAGTACATCTGAAACATGTATCATATCCAGTAGGGGCTTAATTAATGTTAGCTGTGATTATTACATTCCTGTTTATTTTCCTCTACAGTAAGAGGCAATGCGAGTGAATAACTGGAATAACGGCCATCATTAAACTTAGCGTTTACCCGGCTCTTCCTGTCTTGGTTTGAGTTCTCAAATAGGCCGGGCGCGGTGGCTCACGCCTGTAATCCCAGTACTTTGGAAGGCCGAAGCGGATGGATCATGAGGTCAGGAGATCCAGACCGTCCTGGCCAACATAGTGAAAACCTATTTCTACTAAAAAATACAAAAAATTAGCCAGGCGTGGTGGCACACGCCTGTAGTCCCAACTACTCGGGAGGCTGAGGCAGGAGAATTGCTTGAACCCAGGGGGTGGAGGTTGCAGTGAGTCAAGATTGCACCACTACACTCCAGCCTGGGCGACAGGACGAGACTCCGTCTCAAAAAAAAGACCCTGAGACAAGAATTTCGGTACTGGGAGTTTCTTTGGGAGGTAACCCTAGGAGGCACCAGCAGGCATGTGGAGAAGTGAGATCAAGGGGTGAAAGCCAAGAAGGAGCAGGTCACTGCTGCAGGCAGCAGAGGCTCAGTGCTCTTGGGCGAGCACAGCTCGGAAGTGTCCCAACAAGGGCTGGAGAGGGTGGCACTTGTCCTCACTGTTCTTTTGCCCTTCGCCCGGGCTGAGCATTCTCTTGAAGCCAGAGAAAGTCCGCAGGGTTGTTGAATATATCAAATAAAAATACAGGACTCCCAGTTAAATTAGAAAACAATGAATGAATTTTTTTTTTTTTTTTTTGGTATGAGAATGTCCCACGTTATTTGGGGCATACTTACACTAAATAATTTGTCAGGCCAGGCACAGTGGCTCACGCCTGTTATCCTAGCACTTTGGGAGGCTGAGATGGGCAGATCACAAGGTCAGGGGTTCGAGACCAGCCTGGCCAATATGGTGAAACCCCGTCTCTACTAAAAGTATAAAAATTAGCCAGGAGTGGTGGCGCTTGCCTGTAGTCCCAGCTACTTGGGAGGCTCAGGCAGGAGACTTGCTTGAGCCCGGGAGGCGGAGGTAGCAGTGAGCCAAGATCGTGCCACTGCACTCCAGCCAGGGTGACAGAGCCAGACTCCGTCTCAAAAAAATAAAAATAAAAATAATAGTGATAATAATTTTTCACTATTTTTTCAAAACTCAATTTTAACTGGGAATCCTGTTTTTGTTTCTTTGTTTGTTTTGAGACAGAGTCTCGCTGTGTCGCCCAGGCTGGAGTGCAGTGGCGCGATCTCAGTTCACTGAAAGCTCTACCTCCCGGGTTCACACCATTTTTCTGCTTCAGCCTCCCGAGTAGCTGGGACTACAGGCGCCCGCCACCACGCCCGGCTAATTTTTTGTATTTTTAGTAGAGATGGGGTTTCACCGTGTTAGCCAGGATGGTCTCGATCTCCTGACCTCGTGATCCGCCCACCTCGGCCTCCCAAAGTGCTGGGATTACAGGCGTGAGCCACTGCGCCCGGTCATCCTGTGTTTTCGTGATGTGATGCCATAGGCATGGATAGGAAGTATGTGGCTGGCAGTTGCTGCTGGCTGCCAGCTAGAAGCTTAGCTGGAGCTGTTAGCCCAGGGCCTCAGTTCTCCGCATGGGTCTTTCTGTGTTGCTTCTTGGGCTTCCTCACAACGTGGTGGCTCATTTCCAGAAGGAGCATCCCAAATGATAACAATCAGAAGCTGCTAGTCCTCTTGAGGTCTTAACTTGGAAGTCCCAGAACATCGCTTCTGGTGCATTCTAGTGGGGGTGCATTCTAGGGGTGAAAACAGCCACAAGGCCAGGCCAGATGCAAGGGGAGGGGAAATAGGCTTCACCTTTGGATGTGGGGGTGGCGGAGGGCACAGGGCAGGGAGAAGTTCTTGGTGGCCGCCTCAGTAGACAATCAACTACAGTGGGAAGGCAAT
Source organism: Homo sapiens (assembly GCF_000001405.40). Lineage (NCBI taxonomy): Eukaryota > Metazoa > Chordata > Mammalia > Primates > Hominidae > Homo > Homo sapiens. The sequence continues at coordinate 19,198,180 of NC_000017.11, read as the reverse complement.
TTCCTTCTTCATTCACTTTCAGTCTGCTGATTATGCCCAGGTAAAATCTCTGCACAGTGTTAGGGCTTTACGTATTTTGCACACAGTTTTTCCAATTATGGGGTGTGACTGCTTAGTGAGCTATAAAGTTAGTATACTGAATCCAAATTAGTTTTTTTAAAACTTCTTTTTAAGGCCGGGTGCGGTGGCTCACGCCTGTAATCCCAGCACTTTGGGAGGCCGAGGCGGGCGGATCACGAGGTCAGGAGATCAAGACCATCCTGGCTAACACGGTGAAACCCCGTCGCTACTAAAAACACAAAAAATTAGTGGGGCGTGGTCGTGGGCGCCTGTAGTCCCAGCTATTCGGGAGGCTGAGGCAGGAGAATGGCGTGAACCCGGGAGGCGGAGCTTGCAGTGACCCAAGATCGCGCCACTGCACTCCAGCCTGAGCGACAGAGCGAAACTCCGTCTCAAAAAAAAAAAAAAAAAAAACAAAAAAAAAAATACACGACTTCTTTTTAATTTGCAAATTAAATCTGAACATGCACAAAAGTGGAAGGTATGAGCCCTCACTACCGCCACTCAGCCTCGACCCCCACCTGTTTTTATACTTCTTGCCTCTACCCACCTTTGAGTGCTTTAAAAAATAAAACGAAATAGATGGAATAACATACGATAGAAAATATCAGAAAAGGAAGAATGTTACTTTGTGAAAAATTGTGTCTACTGAGTTGGAATATGAAACATGTTTGCAAAACTGTCCTCACACTTTGCTAAAACTCGTTTTTGAACAGAGCACTCATCCTACACAGCCTCTGTGGGGAAGCATCCAACACCATTTAATAACATTGTTTTGTTTTTATCCTATTCACTTTCATTGTTATTGCCTATGAAAGTGACACAAATTTTCCATTTAAGAGTAGCAATAGATAAAGTCCCCCTTTGAGTACATGTATTGACCAGGTGTGGTGGCTCACGCCTGTAATCCCAGGAATTTTGGGAGGCTGAGGCAGGAGGATGGCTTGAGCCCAAAAGTTTAAGACCAGCCTCCGCAACATAGCAAGACCTCGTCTCTGCAAAAAATACATCAATTAGCTGGGAGTGGTGGCACAAGCCTGTAGTCCCAGCTACTTGGGAGGCTGAGGTGGGAGGATTGCTTGAGCCCAGGAGGGGGAGGTTGCAATGAGCCGAGATTGCGGCACTGCACTCCAGCCTGGGGACAGAGCAAGACCCTATCTCAACAAACAAACAAACAAACACGCCCCCCCCCCATCTCTTTATAGAACAATTTTAAGTTTTATTAGGTAGTTATAGTTGAGAGAGGGTGTGGTGAGAACACGAGAGTGGCCTCAGCCCAGTCCCACCAGAGTCTGCGGAGCCGCTGTCTGTCCCTGCTCCTGGCCGGTCTGCGGCAATCCCGTCATTTCTGCCTCGGTCTCTGCGTCTATGGGTACCGGTGCGTGGGTGGGTCAGTCTCTCTCTTGCGTTCTGTGTCTGTGTGGCCCGGACGCTGAGGGGTGTGGAGTGGCCCTGCCACAGGCCGTCCTTAGCACAGCCCCCGGGGGACCCCTCATTCACTTCCGGGACCGGAAGGCGACCTGTAGTTCCAGAAGCCGCCGCAAGAGGGCAGAGGCGGCCATAGGATGGGGCGCGGCCCGCTGGGGGCTGCCTTGAGATGCGGCTAAGAAACCCGGCAGCCCTGGGAGGAACCACACTCCCAGCGCCCCACATGTGGGTTCGAACCTGGGCTCCTCCATTCCTAGGTTAAGGCTCTTAATCCTGCCACCAGTAAAATGGGTTACTGTAAGCTTTAAATAATGTGAATATAAGGTACCTAGTTTGTGAACCTGTTTTTCCCGTTTGCTTGGGGAACTGTGGACCTCCCACAGGGGCTGGGACCTTTTAATAAGTCATACAATTTAAGGAATTTTTATTTCCCTAGTGTCTGGTACTGAAAGCAGTGAGCAAGGGAATGACATGATTAGAAAATGAAATAGAAGGAAAAGGAGGAGGGGGAGTGGAAGAGGAGGGGGAAGAGGAAAAAGAATATGATAAAATGCACTTAAAAAAAAATCCAGGGGCCAGACATGGTGGCTCACACCTGTAATTCCAGCACTTCGGGATGCTGAAGTGGAAGGGATTACTTGAAGCCAGGAGATCAAGACCAGCCTGGGCAACACAATGAAATCCTGTCTCTACAATAAATAAATAAGTAAATAAATAAATAAGTCAGGTATGGTGGCGAGCACCTCTGGTCTCAGCTACTTGGGAGGCTGAGGTGGGAGGTTGACTTGAGCCCAGGAGTTTGAGGCTGCAGTGAGCAGTGATCATGCCACTGCACTCCAGCCTGGATGACAGAGCAAGACTCTTATCTCTGAAAAGATAAACAAACAAACAAACAAACAATCTATTATCCTACCCCTCATCAATAACCACATTGGGTTTTTGGGTTTTCATACGTGAATTTGTGGTCTTTTTCTCACAACAAACTCATACATCCAAATATAAATTTATGAATATTTGCTCACAAACTCAAAGGTGCAAGAAATGTCACACTACTTCATTAAATTAAAAAAAAATTTTAAGTACTTGTTTTATAAACATGCTCAACAGAAAAAATCCAAGCCACTTAGAAAGTATACAGAAAAAAAGCAATAAATCTCCCCCATCTGTGGGGTTTTATATTTCATGAACATCATCATAGAATTCTCTCCACACAGCCTCAATCTATCTATATAAGATGAATGAATGGATGGACAGGCAAGTTTTTTGTTTTCTTGAGACAGGGTCTGGCTTTGTTATCCAGGCTGGGGGGCAGTGGTATGATCTTGGCTCACTGCAACCTCCACCTCCTGGGCTCAAGCCATTTTCCCGCCTCAGCCTCCCAAGTAGCTGGGACTACAGATGCGTGCCACCATGCCTGGCTAATTGTTTTGTATTTTTTGTAGAGACGGGGTTTCACCCTGTTGCCCAAGCTGGTCTTGAACTACTGAGCACAAGAGATCCTCCTAACTTGGCCTCCCAAAGTGCTGGGATTATAGGCGTGAACCACCACGTCCAGCTGACAGGTAAGATTTTTTAAGACTGGGATCATAACCCATGCTATTCTGTTTGTGTGTGAACAGCCAGTGACTTGTCATTATGTACGTATGCCTGTGTGTTTTAAGTGTTTTAAAAAATTAATTAGTAGAGGGCAGGCACAGTGGCTCATGCCTGTAATCCCAGCACTTTGGGAGGCCGAGGTGGACAGATCACCTGAAATCAGGAGTTCAAGACTAACCTGGCCAACACGGTGAAACCCCATCTCTACTAAAAATACAAAAATTAGCCAGGCATGGTGATGCATGTCTGTAATCCCAGCTACTTGGGAGGCTGAGGCAGGAGAATCTCTTGATTCAGTGAGACAAGATCGCACCACTGCACTCCAGCTGGGACACAGAGCAAGACTCCGTCTTTAAAAAAAAAAAAAAAAGAATTAATTAGTAGACTTTTCTGGGAGGAGCGGTTATAGGTTTACAGAAGAATTGAGCACAAAGAACAGAATCCCCATACATCCTCTCTCTCAGACCCCTACACTCATTTCCCCGTTAGTAACATTTTGCATTATAGCGTGATACTTCTGTTACAACTGATGTACCAATATGCATATGGAATTATTAAATAAGGTCCATAGCTCACATTACAGCTCATTCCTGGTGTTGTACATTCTGTGGGTTTGGACAAATGTGTAATGCCGTATCCACCATTGTCATGTCATACAGAGTAGTTTTGTGGCCCTGAAAGTCCCCTGTGCTCTGCCTGTCCATCCCTCCCTCCCCCAACCCCTGCTAACCACTGAGCCTTTTACTGTCTCCATAGTTTTGCTTTTCCAGAAGGTCATGTGTATGGAATCGTACAGTATATGGCCTTTTCACATTGGCTTCTTTTTCTTAGTAATATGCGTTTAAGGTTCTTGAATGTTTTTTCATGGCTTGATAGCTCATTTGTTTTTAGCACTGAATAATATCTAATTCTCTGGATGTACCACAGTTTATTTATCCATTCACCTATGTAGGACTTTTTTTTTTTTTTTTTTGAGGTGGAGTCTCACTCTGTCTCCCAGGCTGCAGTGCAGTAGGGTGACCTCAGCTCACTGCAACCTCTGCCTCCCAGGTTCAAGCGATTCTCCTACCTCAGCCTCCTGAGTAGCTGTGATTACAGGCGTGTGCCACCACACCCAGCTAATTTTTGTTGTTGTTGTTGTTGTTGTTTTCTTTCTTTTTTTTTTTTTTTGAGATGGAGTTTCGCTCTGTCGCCCAGGCTGGAGTGCAGTGGCGCGATCTCGGCTCACTGCAAGCTCTGCCTCCCGGGTTCACACCATTCTCCTGCCTCAGCCTCCTGAGTAGCTGGGACTACAGGCACCCGCCACCACGCACGGCTTATTTTTTGTATTTTTTTTTTTTTTTTTTTTTTTTTTAGTAGAGACGGCGTTTCACCATGTTAGCCGGGATGATCTCGATCTCCTGACCTCGTGATCTGCCCGCCTCAGCCTCCCAAAGTGCTGGGATTGCAGGCGGGAGCCACTGCGCCCAGTGTAATTTTTGTATTTTTAGTAGAGATGGGGTTTTGCCATGTTGGCCAGGCTGGTCTTGAGCTCCTGATCTCAGGAGATCCACCTGCCTTGGCCTCTCAAAGTGAAGACATATTTTTTATTTTATTTTATTTTATTTTATTTTATTTTATTAGAGACAGGGGTCTCCCTCTGTTGCCCAGGCAGCTCCTAAACCCCTGATCTCAAGTGACTGTCTGCCTCAGCTGCCCAAGTAGCAGGGATTACAGTCACAAGCCACCGCCCCCGGCTCTGTTTAGGAACATCTTAGTTCCAAGTTTTGGCAATTATGGGTAAAGCTGCTATAAACATATGTGTGCAGGCTTGTGCGGACATACGTTTTCAAATCATTTGGGTAGACACCAAGAGCTGCATTCCAGCCTGGGCAACAAGAGCGAAACTCCGTCTCAAAAAAAAAAAAAAAAAAAAAAAAAAAACCAGAAATGTAGGCCGGGCATGGCGGCTTGCACCTATAATCCCAGAACTTTGGGAGGCCAAGGCAGGCAGATCACTTGAGGTCAGGAGTTCAAGACCAGCCTGTCCAACATGGCGAAACCCCGTCTCTACTAAAAATACAAATATTAGCCAGGCGTGGTGGCGCATGCCTGTAATCCCAGCTACTCAGGAGGCCGAGGCACGTGACTCACTTGAACTCAGGAGGCAGAGGTTGCAGTGAGCCCAGATCGTGCCACTGCACTCCAGCCTGGGTGATGAAGTGAAACTCTGTCAAAACAGAAATTATTCTCTCGCAGTTATGAAGTCTCAAAGGGGGATCCTTCCTTGGCTCCTCCGGCGTCTGGAGGCTACTGGCCATCCTGGTGTTACTCAAACACCAGGGGTTCCATCTAGGGCCTGCCACTCACCTCACAGAAAGCCAATCAGTGAGACAACGATTCTTGCCAAGGAAGAAGGCTTTAATCAGGTGCTGCAGCTGAGGGGATGGGAGGGCTTCATCCCAGGAATGCAGGGGGTGGTTCAACATAAGAAAATCCGTTAACGTAATGTACCGCATTAGTAGAACAAAGGGAAAAAAACAGTCATTCCAGCTGACACAGAAAAAGCATCTAAGAAATTCTAACATTTCATCATTAAAACATAGAGAAAACTATGAAACGAGGGGATCTGCCTCAACATTATAAAAGGTATTTGTGAAAAAACCACAGTTACCATCATACTTAGTGGTGAAAGACTAAAAGCTTTCCCCCTAAGTTCAGGAACAAGACACAGAGGTTCACCTTTACCACTGCTACTCAATGTTTTTTTTTTTTGTTTTGTTGGTTTTGTTGTGTTTTCGAGAAGGAGTCTTGCTCTGTCGCCCAGGCTGGAATGCAGTGGCGTGATCTCGGCTCACTGCAGCCTCTGCCCCCGGGGTTCAAGCAATTCTCCTGCCTCAGCCTCCCCAGTAGCTGGGACTACAGGTGCGCACTGCCACGCCTGGCTAATTTTTGTATTCTTAGTAGAGACAGGGTTTCACCATGTTGGCCAGGATGCTCTTGAGCTCCTGACCTTGTTATCTGCCTGCCTCGGCCTCCCAAAATGCTGGAATTACAGATGTGAGCCACCGCGCCTGGCCTAGTCAACATTTTGCTAGAAGTTGTAGCCAGAGCCTTTAGGTAAGAAAAGGCACCAAATTGAGAAATAAGAAATAAAACCATCGCTTTAAATAGGGAAAATCCCAAAGAATACACGCACAATAATTACTAGAGCTAATAAGCAAATGCAGCAAAGTTTCAGGACACAAGATCAACTCACAAAAACCAGTTGTGTGGTTTCCTGTTTGTTTTTTTGAGGAGTTATGCTCTTATCGCCCAGGCCGGAGTGCAATGGCGTGATCTTGGCTCACTGCAGCCTCTGCCTCCCGGGTTCAAGCAATTCTCCTGCCTCAGCCTCCCCAGTAGCTGGGATTACAGGCGCAGGCCACCACGCCCGGCCAGTTTTTGTATTTTTAGTAGAGACGAGGTTTCACCACGTTGGCCAGGATGGTCTTGATCTCCTGACCTGGTGATCCACCCGCCTCGGCCTCCCAAAGTGCTAGGATGACAGGCGTGAGCCACCGTGCCCGGTCCAGTTGTGTTTTTATGCACTGGCAAGGAACAATTCAAAAATGTAATTAAGAAAACCGCTGGGCGTGGTGGCTCACGCCTGTAGTCCCAGCACTTTGAGCGGCCGAGGCGGGTGGATCCCTTGATCCCAGGAGTTCAAGACCATCCTGGGCAATGTGGTGAAACCCCCTCCCTACAAAAAATACAAAAAATTAGCGGAGCGTGATGGCATGTGCCTACGATCCCAGCTACTCAGGAGGCTGACGTGGGAGGATCACCCGAGCCCTGGGGGTCAAGGCTGCAGTGAGCTGTCACATCATGCATCATTGCACTCCAGCCTGAAAAAGGAGTGAAATTCTGCAACATGTTACAACGTGAATGAACCTTGAAAACGTCATTCTAAGTGAAATAAGCCAGATACAAAAGGACAATATTGCATGTTTCCACTTATAGAGATACCTACAAGAATCAAATTCATAGAGACGGAAAGTAGAATAGTGGTTAAAGGGGTCTGGGCGGAGGGAGGAAAGGGAAGTTTGTTTTACGGGTAGAGTTTCAGTTTGGGATGTCGAAAAAGTTCTGGAGATAAATAATGGTGATGGTTACATGCCAATGGCTACACGAATGTACTTAATGCCACTGAATTGTATATGTGAAAAATGGTTAAAATGGTAAATTTTGTATCTATTTAATACCATCCCCCCTAAAAAAAAAATTGTTTTTAAGAGTCAAGATCTCACTCTGTCTCCCAGGCTGGGGTGCAGTGGGGTAACTGATCAGAGCTCACTGCAGCTTTGAACTCAGCCAGCTTCCCTGACTCAAACGATCATCCCGCTTCAGCCTCCCGAGTAGCTGGGACTACAGACGGTGCCATCACGCCCAGCTCATTGTTGATTCCCGCCCCCTTGGTAGAGACGGGATTCCGCTATATTGCCTGGGCTGGTGTCGAACTCATAGAACAAAGGATCCTCCCTCCTGGGCCTGGGCGTGGGCTCGCAAAACGCTGGGATTCCCGGATTACAGGCGGGCGCACCACACCAGGAGCAAACACTTCCGGTTTTAAAAATTCAGTTTGTGATTGGCTGTCATTCAGTATTATGCTAATTAAGCATGCCCGGTTTTAAACCTCTTAAAACAACTTTTAAAATTACCTTTCCACCTAAAACGTTAAAATTTGTCAAGTGATAATATTCGACAAGCTGTTATTGCCAAACTATTTTCCTATTTGTTTCCTAATGGCATCGGAACTAGCGAAAGTTTCTCGCCATCAGTTAAAAGTTTGCGGCAGATGTAGACCTAGCAGAGGTGTGCAAGGAGGCCGTTAAGACTATACTTTCAGGGATCATTTCTATAGTGTGTTACTAGAGAAGTTTCTCTGAACGTGTAGAGCACCGAAAACCACGAGGAAGAGAGGTAGCGTTTTCTCCTGAACGTGAAGCCGGCTTTCTGGCGTTGCTTGGCTGCAACTGCCGTCAGCCATTGATGATCGTTCTTCTCTCCGTATTGGGGAGTGAGAGGGAGAGAACGCGGTCTGAGTGGTTTTTCCTTCTTGATGGCTCAATGACAGAGACTAGCTCGTAAACTCCGGGGCGTTTCTGGGCTGTTCGCTCCTGCTTGGCATGTCGCGAGAAAGGTTTTCGCCTCCTGTTTCAGCGGTGACGGCTCTTGGGTTTTCTCGGGGTGGCTTTTTAATTTTAGTCTTGGCGCGAGGCGGGGGATGCTGTGTGGCACCTCCTATTGTCTCTTTTTGCGTTTTCTCCCATTCTCGCTCCCTCTTTTGTCGCCGTTTCCCGCCCGCCACTCCCACCCCCAGACGGGGTCTCCGGGTCTCTTGTTCTGTCTGCCGGCCCCGGCTGGATTGCAGTGGCGCGATCTCGGCTCCTAGCAACATCTGCCTCCCGGGCTCAAGCGAGTCTCCCGCCTAAGCCCTCCCGAGTAGCCGGGGCTTAAAGGCGCACACGCCACTCCAGGCTTTTTTTTTTTTTTTTTTTTTTTTTTTGGCAGAAACGGGGTGTCAGCATGTTAGCCAGGCTGGTCTCCAACGCGTGATCTCAGGTGATCCGCCGGCCTCGGCCTCCCGAAGTTCTGGGATTACAGGCGTGAGCCACTGCACCCGGCCCTTCTATTTTTTTAAATAGCGACGGGGTTTCACCATGTTGGCCAGGCTGCTCCTGAACACCTGAGTTCAGGTGATCCGCCCGCCTCGGCCTCCCGAAGTTCTGCGATTACAGGCGTGCCACCCGCACCCGGCCCTAAAAGTACTTTTTATAGAGATGGGGTCTCACTCTGTTGCCCAGACTGGTCTCAAACTGCTTATCTCAAGTGACTGACTGTCTGCCTCAGCTGCCCAAGTAGCAGGGATTACAGACACAAGCCACAGCCGCTGGCTCTATTCAGGAACATCTTAGTTCCAAGTTTTGGCAATTATGGATAAAGCTGCTATAAACAGGTGTGCAGGTTTTTGTGTGGACATTTTCAACTCATTTGGGTAGACACCAAGAGGCACGAGTTCTGATCATACCGAAAGTGTTTAGTTTCAGAAGAAGCTGCTTTTCTTGGGCTCCATAACAAAATACACAGACTTTGTGGCTTAAATAACACAAATTTATTTCTTACAGTTCTCAGTCGGGCGCGGTGGCTCACTCCTGTAATCCCAGAACTTCGGGAGGCCGAGGCGGGCGGATCACCTGAACTCAGGTGTTCAGGAGCAGCCTGGCCAACATGGTGAAACCCCGTCGCTATTTAAAAAAATAGAAGGGCCGGGTGCAGTGGCTCACGCCTGTAATCCCAGAACTTCGGGAGGCCGAGGCGGGCGGATCACCTGAGATCACGCGTTGGAGACCAGCCTGGCTAACATGCTGACACCCCGTTTCTGCCAAAAAAAAAAAAAAAAAAAAAAAAAAAGCCTGGAGTGGCGTGTGCGCCTTTAAGCCCCGGCTACTCGGGAGGGCTTAGGCGGGAGACTCGCTTGAGCCCGGGAGGCAGATGTTGCTAGGAGCCGAGATCGCGCCACTGCAATCCAGCCGGGGCCGGCAGACAGAACAAGAGACCCGGAGACCCCGTCTGGGGGTGGGAGTGGCGGGCGGGAAACGGCGACAAAAGAGGGAGCGAGAATGGGAGAAAACGCAAAAAGAGACAATAGGAGGTGCCACACAGCATCCCCCGCCTCGCGCCAAGACTAAAATTAAAAAGCCACCCCGAGAAAACCCAAGAGCCGTCACCGCTGAAACAGGAGGCGAAAACCTTTCTCGCGACATGCCAAGCAGGAGCGAACAGCCCAGAAACGCCCCGGAGTTTACGAGCTAGTCTCTGTCATTGAGCCATCAAGAAGGAAAAACCACTCAGACCGCGTTCTCTCCCTCTCACTCCCCAATACGGAGAGAAGAACGATCATCAATGGCTGACGGCAGTTGCAGCCAAGCAACGCCAGAAAGCCGGCTTCACGCTCAGGAGAAAACGCTACCTCTCTTCCTCGTGGTTTTCGGTGCTCTACACGTTCAGAGAAACTTCTCTAGTAACACACTATAGAAATGATCCCTGAAAGTATAGTCTTAACGGCCTCCTTGCACACCTCTGCTAGGTCTACATCTGCCGCAAACTTTTAACTGATGGCGAGAAACTTTCGCTAGTTCCGATGCCATTAGGAAACAAATAGGAAAATAGTTTGGCAATAACAGCTTGTCGAATATTATCACTTGACAAATTTTAACGTTTTAGGTGGAAAGGTAATTTTAAAAGTTGTTTTAAGAGGTTTAAAACCGGGCATGCTTAATTAGCATAATACTGAATGACAGCCAATCACAAACTGAATTTTTAAAACCGGAAGTGTTTGCTCCTGGTGTGGTGCGCCCGCCTGTAATCCGGGAATCCCAGCGTTTTGCGAGCCCACGCCCAGGCCCAGGAGGGAGGATCCTTTGTTCTATGAGTTCGACACCAGCCCAGGCAATATAGCGGAATCCCGTCTCTACCAAGGGGGCGGGAATCAACAATGAGCTGGGCGTGATGGCACCGTCTGTAGTCCCAGCTACTCGGGAGGCTGAAGCGGGATGATCGTTTGAGTCAGGGAAGCTGGCTGAGTTCAAAGCTGCAGTGAGCTCTGATCAGTTACCCCACTGCACCCCAGCCTGGGAGACAGAGTGAGATCTTGACTCTTAAAAACAATTTTTTTTTTAGGGGGGATGGTATTAAATAGATACAAAATTTACCATTTTAACCATTTTTCACATATACAATTCAGTGGCATTAAGTACATTCGTGTAGCCATTGGCATGTAACCATCACCATTATTTATCTCCAGAACTTTTTCGACATCCCAAACTGAAACTCTACCCGTAAAACAAACTTCCCTTTCCTCCCTCCGCCCAGACCCCTTTAACCACTATTCTACTTTCCGTCTCTATGAATTTGATTCTTGTAGGTATCTCTATAAGTGGAAACATGCAATATTGTCCTTTTGTATCTGGCTTATTTCACTTAGAATGACGTTTTCAAGGTTCATTCACGTTGTAACATGTTGCAGAATTTCACTCCTTTTTCAGGCTGGAGTGCAATGATGCATGATGTGACAGCTCACTGCAGCCTTGACCCCCAGGGCTCGGGTGATCCTCCCACGTCAGCCTCCTGAGTAGCTGGGATCGTAGGCACATGCCATCACGCTCCGCTAATTTTTTGTATTTTTTGTAGGGAGGGGGTTTCACCACATTGCCCAGGATGGTCTTGAACTCCTGGGATCAAGGGATCCACCCGCCTCGGCCGCTCAAAGTGCTGGGACTACAGGCGTGAGCCACCACGCCCAGCGGTTTTCTTAATTACATTTTTGAATTGTTCCTTGCCAGTGCATAAAAACACAACTGGACCGGGCACGGTGGCTCACGCCTGTCATCCTAGCACTTTGGGAGGCCGAGGCGGGTGGATCACCAGGTCAGGAGATCAAGACCATCCTGGCCAACGTGGTGAAACCTCGTCTCTACTAAAAATACAAAAACTGGCCGGGCGTGGTGGCCTGCGCCTGTAATCCCAGCTACTGGGGAGGCTGAGGCAGGAGAATTGCTTGAACCCGGGAGGCAGAGGCTGCAGTGAGCCAAGATCACGCCATTGCACTCCGGCCTGGGCGATAAGAGCATAACTCCTCAAAAAAACAAACAGGAAACCACACAACTGGTTTTTGTGAGTTGATCTTGTGTCCTGAAACTTTGCTGCATTTGCTTATTAGCTCTAGTAATTATTGTGCGTGTATTCTTTGGGATTTTCCCTATTTAAAGCGATGGTTTTATTTCTTATTTCTCAATTTGGTGCCTTTTCTTACCTAAAGGCTCTGGCTACAACTTCTAGCAAAATGTTGACTAGGCCAGGCGCGGTGGCTCACATCTGTAATTCCAGCATTTTGGGAGGCCGAGGCAGGCAGATAACAAGGTCAGGAGCTCAAGAGCATCCTGGCCAACATGGTGAAACCCTGTCTCTACTAAGAATACAAAAATTAGCCAGGCGTGGCAGTGCGCACCTGTAGTCCCAGCTACTGGGGAGGCTGAGGCAGGAGAATTGCTTGAACCCCGGGGGCAGAGGCTGCAGTGAGCCGAGATCACGCCACTGCATTCCAGCCTGGGCGACAGAGCAAGACTCCTTCTCGAAAACACAACAAAACCAACAAAACAAAAAAAAAAAACATTGAGTAGCAGTGGTAAAGGTGAACCTCTGTGTCTTGTTCCTGAACTTAGGGGGAAAGCTTTTAGTCTTTCACCACTAAGTATGATGGTAACTGTGGTTTTTTCACAAATACCTTTTATAATGTTGAGGCAGATCCCCTCGTTTCATAGTTTTCTCTATGTTTTAATGATGAAATGTTAGAATTTCTTAGATGCTTTTTCTGTGTCAGCTGGAATGACTGTTTTTTTCCCTTTGTTCTACTAATGCGGTACATTACGTTAACGGATTTTCTTATGTTGAACCACCCCCTGCATTCCTGGGATGAAGCCCTCCCATCCCCTCAGCTGCAGCACCTGATTAAAGCCTTCTTCCTTGGCAAGAATCGTTGTCTCACTGATTGGCTTTCTGTGAGGTGAGTGGCAGGCCCTAGATGGAACCCCTGGTGTTTGAGTAACACCAGGATGGCCAGTAGCCTCCAGACGCCGGAGGAGCCAAGGAAGGATCCCCCTTTGAGACTTCATAACTGCGAGAGAATAATTTCTGTTTTGACAGAGTTTCACTTCATCACCCAGGCTGGAGTGCAGTGGCACGATCTGGGCTCACTGCAACCTCTGCCTCCTGAGTTCAAGTGAGTCACGTGCCTCGGCCTCCTGAGTAGCTGGGATTACAGGCATGCGCCACCACGCCTGGCTAATATTTGTATTTTTAGTAGAGACGGGGTTTCGCCATGTTGGACAGGCTGGTCTTGAACTCCTGACCTCAAGTGATCTGCCTGCCTTGGCCTCCCAAAGTTCTGGGATTATAGGTGCAAGCCGCCATGCCCGGCCTACATTTCTGGTTTTTTTTTTTTTTTTTTTTTTTTTTTTGAGACGGAGTTTCGCTCTTGTTGCCCAGGCTGGAATGCAGCTCTTGGTGTCTACCCAAATGATTTGAAAACGTATGTCCGCACAAGCCTGCACACATATGTTTATAGCAGCTTTACCCATAATTGCCAAAACTTGGAACTAAGATGTTCCTAAACAGAGCCGGGGGCGGTGGCTTGTGACTGTAATCCCTGCTACTTGGGCAGCTGAGGCAGACAGTCACTTGAGATCAGGGGTTTAGGAGCTGCCTGGGCAACAGAGGGAGACCCCTGTCTCTAATAAAATAAAATAAAATAAAATAAAATAAAATAAAAAATATGTCTTCACTTTGAGAGGCCAAGGCAGGTGGATCTCCTGAGATCAGGAGCTCAAGACCAGCCTGGCCAACATGGCAAAACCCCATCTCTACTAAAAATACAAAAATTACACTGGGCGCAGTGGCTCCCGCCTGCAATCCCAGCACTTTGGGAGGCTGAGGCGGGCAGATCACGAGGTCAGGAGATCGAGATCATCCCGGCTAACATGGTGAAACGCCGTCTCTACTAAAAAAAAAAAAAAAAAAAAAAAAAATACAAAAAATAAGCCGTGCGTGGTGGCGGGTGCCTGTAGTCCCAGCTACTCAGGAGGCTGAGGCAGGAGAATGGTGTGAACCCGGGAGGCAGAGCTTGCAGTGAGCCGAGATCGCGCCACTGCACTCCAGCCTGGGCGACAGAGCGAAACTCCATCTCAAAAAAAAAAAAAAAGAAAGAAAACAACAACAACAACAACAACAAAAATTAGCTGGGTGTGGTGGCACACGCCTGTAATCACAGCTACTCAGGAGGCTGAGGTAGGAGAATCGCTTGAACCTGGGAGGCAGAGGTTGCAGTGAGCTGAGGTCACCCTACTGCACTGCAGCCTGGGAGACAGAGTGAGACTCCACCTCAAAAAAAAAAAAAAAAAAGTCCTACATAGGTGAATGGATAAATAAACTGTGGTACATCCAGAGAATTAGATATTATTCAGTGCTAAAAACAAATGAGCTATCAAGCCATGAAAAAACATTCAAGAACCTTAAACGCATATTACTAAGAAAAAGAAGCCAATGTGAAAAGGCCATATACTGTACGATTCCATACACATGACCTTCTGGAAAAGCAAAACTATGGAGACAGTAAAAGGCTCAGTGGTTAGCAGGGGTTGGGGGAGGGAGGGATGGACAGGCAGAGCACAGGGGACTTTCAGGGCCACAAAACTACTCTGTATGACATGACAATGGTGGATACGGCATTACACATTTGTCCAAACCCACAGAATGTACAACACCAGGAATGAGCTGTAATGTGAGCTATGGACCTTATTTAATAATTCCATATGCATATTGGTACATCAGTTGTAACAGAAGTATCACGCTATAATGCAAAATGTTACTAACGGGGAAATGAGTGTAGGGGTCTGAGAGAGAGGATGTATGGGGATTCTGTTCTTTGTGCTCAATTCTTCTGTAAACCTATAACCGCTCCTCCCAGAAAAGTCTACTAATTAATTCTTTTTTTTTTTTTTTTAAAGACGGAGTCTTGCTCTGTGTCCCAGCTGGAGTGCAGTGGTGCGATCTTGTCTCACTGAATCAAGAGATTCTCCTGCCTCAGCCTCCCAAGTAGCTGGGATTACAGACATGCATCACCATGCCTGGCTAATTTTTGTATTTTTAGTAGAGATGGGGTTTCACCGTGTTGGCCAGGTTAGTCTTGAACTCCTGATTTCAGGTGATCTGTCCACCTCGGCCTCCCAAAGTGCTGGGATTACAGGCATGAGCCACTGTGCCTGCCCTCTACTAATTAATTTTTTAAAACACTTAAAACACACAGGCATACGTACATAATGACAAGTCACTGGCTGTTCACACACAAACAGAATAGCATGGGTTATGATCCCAGTCTTAAAAAATCTTACCTGTCAGCTGGACGTGGTGGTTCACGCCTATAATCCCAGCACTTTGGGAGGCCAAGTTAGGAGGATCTCTTGTGCTCAGTAGTTCAAGACCAGCTTGGGCAACAGGGTGAAACCCCGTCTCTACAAAAAATACAAAACAATTAGCCAGGCATGGTGGCACGCATCTGTAGTCCCAGCTACTTGGGAGGCTGAGGCGGGAAAATGGCTTGAGCCCAGGAGGTGGAGGTTGCAGTGAGCCAAGATCATACCACTGCCCCCCAGCCTGGATAACAAAGCCAGACCCTGTCTCAAGAAAACAAAAAACTTGCCTGTCCATCCATTCATTCATCTTATATAGATAGATTGAGGCTGTGTGGAGAGAATTCTATGATGATGTTCATGAAATATAAAACCCCACAGATGGGGGAGATTTATTGCTTTTTTTCTGTATACTTTCTAAGTGGCTTGGATTTTTTCTGTTGAGCATGTTTATAAAACAAGTACTTAAAATTTTTTTTTAATTTAATGAAGTAGTGTGACATTTCTTGCACCTTTGAGTTTGTGAGCAAATATTCATAAATTTATATTTGGATGTATGAGTTTGTTGTGAGAAAAAGACCACAAATTCACGTATGAAAACCCAAAAACCCAATGTGGTTATTGATGAGGGGTAGGATAATAGATTGTTTGTTTGTTTGTTTGTTTATCTTTTCAGAGATAAGAGTCTTGCTCTGTCATCCAGGCTGGAGTGCAGTGGCATGATCACTGCTCACTGCAGCCTCAAACTCCTGGGCTCAAGTCAACCTCCCACCTCAGCCTCCCAAGTAGCTGAGACCAGAGGTGCTCGCCACCATACCTGACTTATTTATTTATTTACTTATTTATTTATTGTAGAGACAGGATTTCATTGTGTTGCCCAGGCTGGTCTTGATCTCCTGGCTTCAAGTAATCCCTTCCACTTCAGCATCCCGAAGTGCTGGAATTACAGGTGTGAGCCACCATGTCTGGCCCCTGGATTTTTTTTTAAGTGCATTTTATCATATTCTTTTTCCTCTTCCCCCTCCTCTTCCACTCCCCCTCCTCCTTTTCCTTCTATTTCATTTTCTAATCATGTCATTCCCTTGCTCACTGCTTTCAGTACCAGACACTAGGGAAATAAAAATTCCTTAAATTGTATGACTTATTAAAAGGTCCCAGCCCCTGTGGGAGGTCCACAGTTCCCCAAGCAAACGGGAAAAACAGGTTCACAAACTAGGTACCTTATATTCACATTATTTAAAGCTTACAGTAACCCATTTTACTGGTGGCAGGATTAAGAGCCTTAACCTAGGAATGGAGGAGCCCAGGTTCGAACCCACATGTGGGGCGCTGGGAGTGTGGTTCCTCCCAGGGCTGCCGGGTTTCTTAGCCGCATCTCAAGGCAGCCCCCAGCGGGCCGCGCCCCATCCTATGGCCGCCTCTGCCCTCTTGCGGCGGCTTCTGGAACTACAGGTCGCCTTCCGGTCCCGGAAGTGAATGAGGGGTCCCCCGGGGGCTGTGCTAAGGACGGCCTGTGGCAGGGCCACTCCACACCCCTCAGCGTCCGGGCCACACAGACACAGAACGCAAGAGAGAGACTGACCCACCCACGCACCGGTCCCCATAGACGCAGAGACCGAGGCAGAAATGACGGGATTGCCGCAGACCGGCCAGGAGCAGGGACAGACAGCGGCTCCGCAGACTCTGGTGGGACTGGGCTGAGGCCACTCTCGTGTTCTCACCACACCCTCTCTCAACTATAACTACCTAATAAAACTTAAAATTGTTCTATAAAGAGATGGGGGGGGGGGCGTGTTTGTTTGTTTGTTTGTTGAGATAGGGTCTTGCTCTGTCCCCAGGCTGGAGTGCAGTGCCGCAATCTCGGCTCATTGCAACCTCCCCCTCCTGGGCTCAAGCAATCCTCCCACCTCAGCCTCCCAAGTAGCTGGGACTACAGGCTTGTGCCACCACTCCCAGCTAATTGATGTATTTTTTGCAGAGACGAGGTCTTGCTATGTTGCGGAGGCTGGTCTTAAACTTTTGGGCTCAAGCCATCCTCCTGCCTCAGCCTCCCAAAATTCCTGGGATTACAGGCGTGAGCCACCACACCTGGTCAATACATGTACTCAAAGGGGGACTTTATCTATTGCTACTCTTAAATGGAAAATTTGTGTCACTTTCATAGGCAATAACAATGAAAGTGAATAGGATAAAAACAAAACAATGTTATTAAATGGTGTTGGATGCTTCCCCACAGAGGCTGTGTAGGATGAGTGCTCTGTTCAAAAACGAGTTTTAGCAAAGTGTGAGGACAGTTTTGCAAACATGTTTCATATTCCAACTCAGTAGACACAATTTTTCACAAAGTAACATTCTTCCTTTTCTGATATTTTCTATCGTATGTTATTCCATCTATTTCGTTTTATTTTTTAAAGCACTCAAAGGTGGGTAGAGGCAAGAAGTATAAAAACAGGTGGGGGTCGAGGCTGAGTGGCGGTAGTGAGGGCTCATACCTTCCACTTTTGTGCATGTTCAGATTTAATTTGCAAATTAAAAAGAAGTCGTGTATTTTGTTTTTTTTTTTTTTTTTTTTTTTTTTGAGACGGAGTTTCGCTCTGTCGCTCAGGCTGGAGTGCAGTGGCGCGATCTTGGGTCACTGCAAGCTCCGCCTCCCGGGTTCACGCCATTCTCCTGCCTCAGCCTCCCGAATAGCTGGGACTACAGGCGCCCACGACCACGCCCCACTAATTTTTTGTGTTTTTAGTAGCGACGGGGTTTCACCGTGTTAGCCAGGATGGTCTTGATCTCCTGACCTCGTGATCCGCCCGCCTCGGCCTCCCAAAGTGCTGGGATTACAGGCGTGAGCCACCGCACCCGGCCTTAAAAAGAAGTTTTAAAAAAACTAATTTGGATTCAGTATACTAACTTTATAGCTCACTAAGCAGTCACACCCCATAATTGGAAAAACTGTGTGCAAAATACGTAAAGCCCTAACACTGTGCAGAGATTTTACCTGGGCATAATCAGCAGACTGAAAGTGAATGAAGAAGGAAATTGCCTTCCCACTGTAGTTGATTGTCTACTGAGGCGGCCACCAAGAACTTCTCCCTGCCCTGTGCCCTCCGCCACCCCCACATCCAAAGGTGAAGCCTATTTCCCCTCCCCTTGCATCTGGCCTGGCCTTGTGGCTGTTTTCACCCCTAGAATGCACCCCCACTAGAATGCACCAGAAGCGATGTTCTGGGACTTCCAAGTTAAGACCTCAAGAGGACTAGCAGCTTCTGATTGTTATCATTTGGGATGCTCCTTCTGGAAATGAGCCACCACGTTGTGAGGAAGCCCAAGAAGCAACACAGAAAGACCCATGCGGAGAACTGAGGCCCTGGGCTAACAGCTCCAGCTAAGCTTCTAGCTGGCAGCCAGCAGCAACTGCCAGCCACATACTTCCTATCCATGCCTATGGCATCACATCACGAAAACACAGGATGACCGGGCGCAGTGGCTCACGCCTGTAATCCCAGCACTTTGGGAGGCCGAGGTGGGCGGATCACGAGGTCAGGAGATCGAGACCATCCTGGCTAACACGGTGAAACCCCATCTCTACTAAAAATACAAAAAATTAGCCGGGCGTGGTGGCGGGCGCCTGTAGTCCCAGCTACTCGGGAGGCTGAAGCAGAAAAATGGTGTGAACCCGGGAGGTAGAGCTTTCAGTGAACTGAGATCGCGCCACTGCACTCCAGCCTGGGCGACACAGCGAGACTCTGTCTCAAAACAAACAAAGAAACAAAAACAGGATTCCCAGTTAAAATTGAGTTTTGAAAAAATAGTGAAAAATTATTATCACTATTATTTTTATTTTTATTTTTTTGAGACGGAGTCTGGCTCTGTCACCCTGGCTGGAGTGCAGTGGCACGATCTTGGCTCACTGCTACCTCCGCCTCCCGGGCTCAAGCAAGTCTCCTGCCTGAGCCTCCCAAGTAGCTGGGACTACAGGCAAGCGCCACCACTCCTGGCTAATTTTTATACTTTTAGTAGAGACGGGGTTTCACCATATTGGCCAGGCTGGTCTCGAACCCCTGACCTTGTGATCTGCCCATCTCAGCCTCCCAAAGTGCTAGGATAACAGGCGTGAGCCACTGTGCCTGGCCTGACAAATTATTTAGTGTAAGTATGCCCCAAATAACGTGGGACATTCTCATACCAAAAAAAAAAAAAAAAAATTCATTCATTGTTTTCTAATTTAACTGGGAGTCCTGTATTTTTATTTGATATATTCAACAACCCTGCGGACTTTCTCTGGCTTCAAGAGAATGCTCAGCCCGGGCGAAGGGCAAAAGAACAGTGAGGACAAGTGCCACCCTCTCCAGCCCTTGTTGGGACACTTCCGAGCTGTGCTCGCCCAAGAGCACTGAGCCTCTGCTGCCTGCAGCAGTGACCTGCTCCTTCTTGGCTTTCACCCCTTGATCTCACTTCTCCACATGCCTGCTGGTGCCTCCTAGGGTTACCTCCCAAAGAAACTCCCAGTACCGAAATTCTTGTCTCAGGGTCTTTTTTTTGAGACGGAGTCTCGTCCTGTCGCCCAGGCTGGAGTGTAGTGGTGCAATCTTGACTCACTGCAACCTCCACCCCCTGGGTTCAAGCAATTCTCCTGCCTCAGCCTCCCGAGTAGTTGGGACTACAGGCGTGTGCCACCACGCCTGGCTAATTTTTTGTATTTTTTAGTAGAAATAGGTTTTCACTATGTTGGCCAGGACGGTCTGGATCTCCTGACCTCATGATCCATCCGCTTCGGCCTTCCAAAGTACTGGGATTACAGGCGTGAGCCACCGCGCCCGGCCTATTTGAGAACTCAAACCAAGACAGGAAGAGCCGGGTAAACGCTAAGTTTAATGATGGCCGTTATTCCAGTTATTCACTCGCATTGCCTCTTACTGTAGAGGAAAATAAACAGGAATGTAATAATCACAGCTAACATTAATTAAGCCCCTACTGGATATGATACATGTTTCAGATGTACTAACTCACTTCTTACCAACAACCGTCTGAAATATCTTTAAGTCCATTTTCCACACAGGGAAACCAAGGCATAGAGAGCCTAAGCAACTTAACATCTCATTGCCAGCAAGCAACAGCAGCAGAATTCACACCTAGAAAGTGGGGCTTAATAAAATGTAAAATTGTTCTATAAATAGATAAAGTGTTATTAAAAAGAAAAATAGAATGAATTTTGAAACGTCAATTAATGTACTTATTTATTTATTTATTTATTTGAGATGGAGTCTTGCTTAGTCGCCCAGGCTGGAGTGCAGCGGTGCAATCTCGGCTCACTGCAAGCTCCGCCTCCCAGGTTCACGCCATTCTCCTGCCTCAGCCTCCCGAGTAGCTGGGACTACAGGCGCCCGCCACCATGCCCAGCTAATTTTTTTGTATTTTTAGTAGAGATGGGATTTCACTGTGTTAGCCAGGATGGTCTCGATCTCCTGACCTTGTGATCCGCCCGCCTTGGCCTCCCAAAGTGCTGGGATTATAGGCGTGAGCCACCGCACCTGGCCTATTCATTTTATTTTTAAGACAGGGTGTCACTCTGTTACCCAGGCTGGAGTGCAGTGGTACAATCATGGCTCACTTCAACCTCGAACTCCTGGGCTCAAGTGATCCTCTCACCTCAGCCTCCTGAGTAGCAGGTGGACACCACTCAGGGCCCATGTGTTCACATATTAGGCCACAGTGCCTCTCCAACCCCCAGAATGAAATCCAAGCCCCTTGGCCTGGTCCTCAAGTCTTTCTCTGACCTGGTCATCCCTGCCACCTGCCCTCTCTTCTCCAGCTACCTTGAATCACTTGAAGAATCTCCATGCCTCACAGCTTTCATTGCTGTTACTTCTGCCTTGAACACCCTTCCTCCTTGTCATTCCCACTTTTCAAGTCTCACATCAGCATGCACTGCCTCCTCCAGGAAGCCTCTCAGCACTCACCCCAGAGTCCGTCAGGCTCCTCCAGGTTCCTATGGCCTCCCAGCTGTCCCCTATTTGATCACAAGTGCTGGCTCTGGAAGAGTTGATAGAGGAGCAGGCGGCTGAGTGAGAGGCACCATGAGGAGTGGGCGGCTGAGTGAGAGGCACCGTCCTGCCCCATGGTTAGCGCAAAAATCGATAAACCAGCACCCAATGGGCACCTACTGTGTGCAAGGCACTGTTCTCAGTGCTGGGGCTACCCATGGAAGTAGACAGACAAAAATCCCCGCACTTACAGGCCGACTTTCTCCTGGGCAGGCAGACGATAAACACAGTAAGTAGGATGGAGAGCTGGGAGGTGGCCCAAGGAGAGCACATGAGGGAGGATGCTGGGCGTTCGTGCCATTTGCATGGCTATGACAGCGTGCTGCGGGGGCATCGATGTTCCCACCTCCCCATGAGGCCTCCCCTCGCATCCTCGGATACACACTGGCCCCTCCAGCTCCACTTCCCTTTTTTTTTTTTTTTTTTTTTTTTTTGAGATGAAGTCTTGCTCTGTCGCCCAGGCTGGAGTGCAGTGGCCCGATCTCGACTCACTGCAACCTCTGCCTCTCAGGTTCAAGCGATTCTCCTGCCTCAGCCTTCCAAGTAGCTGGGACTACAGGCGCCCACCACCATGCCCGGCTAATTTCTGTATTTTTAGTAGAGACAGGGTTTCACCGTGTTGGCCTGGCTGGTCTCCAACTCCTGACCTCAGGTGATCTGCCCGCCTCAGCCTCCCAAAGTGCTGGGATGACAGACGTGAGCCACCACGCCCGGCTTTTTTTTTTTTTTAGACTGAGTTTTGCTCTTGTTGCCCAGGCTGGAGTGCAATGGTGTGATCTCAGCTCACTGCAACCTCTGCCTCCCAGGTGCAAGTGACTCTCCTGCCTCAGCCTCCCGAGTAGCTGGGATTGCAGACATGCCCCACCATACCTGACTCATTTTTTATTTTTGGTAGAGACGGGGTTTCTCAGTGTTGGTCAGGCTGGTCTCAAACTCCTGACCTCAGGTGATCCGCCCGCCTCGACCTCCCAAAGTGCTGGGATTACAGGCGTGAGCCACCGCGCCCGGTCCGGCTTCACTTCTTTAAGCACTCACCCTGTGCTAGATAGACAACTGACATTCCGCGTTGTGTTTATTGTTTATTGCCCGTCCCCTCTATGTCAGCTTCCTGAGGCAGTGACTTTGCTCATCGTTGTCCCTGCGGTATCGCCGGTGCCCAACTCAGTATCTAGCACACGGTAAGTACTCAGGGAAGAGTTGTGGAGGATACATTTTGCGGAAGGGGAAACTGAATCTCAAGGAAGGAAGATGATTTGCTCGAGGCCACATGAAAATTAGAAGGCAGGAGAGGGATTTGAGCAGGGTCTGTGGCTCCGAGACCGAGGCTCCTCTCCGGGTGACTCTTCCCGGGATTCTGGCCTCATTTGGACCTCCAGGGCCCCGGACCTGAGCCTGGGGCAGAGCTGGGACCCAGGCGGGCGAGGCTGAGCGGCTAGCTGAGAGTCGCCAGCAGAGGGCGCTGTCTACACGTGTCCGGGCGCAAGGAGGCACCAGTAGGGCTGAGCCTGGGGAGACAGAGAGAGCGGCGGGTTGTGGGGTGGTGGGGCAGTGGGGCGGTGGGGCGGTGGGGCGGTGGGGCGACAGGATGGGGAGGAGACTGAGGCAGCGGGTGCTGTGGGAACCTACAGGAGAACTTTACCAGCTGGATAAAGGCAGGTTTCCCAGGAGTTTATTTTTTAACTGTATGCTGAAAAATAAATGGGAGGTGGCGTTTGAGAAAGCGAAGTGTGTTCCAGGTGGAGAGAACAGCATGTGTGAAGGCCCAGAGCCGGCCCCCGGATCTTTTCAGAATGCATCTTGGTCAGGGGAGGATGGTCGGCCAGGACACATGCATGGCCCCCTGGAGTCGTGCAGCGCTGGCCTTGGTGAGGCACAGATTGAGGCGTAAAGGAGGTGCTCCTGCCGAAATTTAATTATGCCCAGGCATGGTATCCCAGCATTTTGGGAGGCCAAGGTGAGAGGATTGCTTGAGGCCAGGAAGTTCGAGACCAGCCTGGGCAACATAGTGAGATGCGATCTCTACAAAAATTTAAAAAATTAGCCAGGTGTGGTGGCATACACTTGTAGTCCCAGCTACTCTGGAGGCTAAGGTGGAAGGATCACTTGAGCACAAGAAGTGGAGGCTGCAGTGAGCTGAAGGGGCCACTGCACTCCAGCCTGGGTGACAGAACAAGACCCTGTCTAAAAAACAAACAAAGAAGTAAATGCCCTAGTCTCAGGTATTCTGTTAGAGCAACACCAAACACACTAAGACAGGGAGGAAGGGGCTGGGTGGGCTCCCACAGTCCTGTCCAGCCACTGGGCCCGTGCAGCACAGCACTTCCCGGGTGCATCAGCATTGAGCCTTTCCTGAGTGCTGCTGCCATCTGTCCTCCAGTTATGAAGGGAACAAGAGACCCAGAAGGGGTGGGGCTGGCCCATGGTCTCCCTTGCTCACAGCCCTGGGCTGGAGCCCTTGTACAGAGCTGCCTCCTGGTCAGCCAAGAAAGGCTCACTGGAGGAGGAGGGGTAGGTCAGGCCTCTTCCTGGCCTCAGAACAGGATATGGGTGGGGGATGTTGGTGTCTCCTACACTGGGGCCTGCCCACCTTCTTCCCCCAATGTTCCTCCATCCTGCTCTGAGCGTTGTGC
The DNA here is from genome assembly GCF_000001405.40 of Homo sapiens. Taxonomy (NCBI): domain Eukaryota; kingdom Metazoa; phylum Chordata; class Mammalia; order Primates; family Hominidae; genus Homo; species Homo sapiens. The sequence goes on along the minus strand of NC_000017.11, from coordinate 19,174,444 downwards.
AGAGGACCCTGGACTGTGGGGTTCATCCTTTCCTAGGGAGCTTCCAAGGGCCCACACAGCCTGCTCCCCGCACCCCATGGAGGCGCAATGATAGCAGAATTACTGGCACTGTTAACCTGCTGGAGTGGGAACCTGGAGTCCTGGAAGGTCAGAGGTCAAGCTGGGGGGCTGGGGGCACTGCCTGCACTGGCCACTGCAGTGCAGAGAAGCTGAGGTGACCTCAATCTGAGAGACTGGAGACCAGGGTTGGGTGAGGGTGCATGGGAAACGGGTGGATGGGGACTGGGTGAATGGGTACTGAGTGGATGGGGACTGGGTGGATGGGGAGTGGGTGGATGGATAGTGGGTGGATGGGGACTGAGTGCATGGGGACTGGGTAGATGGATACTGGGTGGATGGGGACTGAGTGGATGGGTACTGGGTGGATGGGGACTGGGTGGGTGGGGATTGGTGGATGGGTACTGGGTGGATGGGGACTGGGTGGATGGGGACTGGGTGGGTGGGGATTGGTGGATGGGTACTGGGTGGATGGGGACTGGGTGGGTAGGGATTGGTGGATGGGGACTGGGTGGATGGGGATTGGTGGATGGGGATTGGTGGATGGGGACTGGGTGGGTGGGGACTGGGTGGATGGGGATTGGTGGATGGGGACTGGGTGGATGGGGACTGGGTGGATGGGGATTGGTGGATGGGGACTGGGTGGATGGGGACTGGGTAGATGGGGACTGGGTGGGTGGGGACTGGGTGGATGGGGATTGGTAGATGGGGACTGGGTGGATGGGGATTTGTGGATGGGGACTGGGTGGATGGGGATTGGTGGATGGGGACTGGGTGGATGGGAACTGGGTAGATGGATACTGGGTGGATTGGGACTGGTGGATGGGGACTGACTGGATGGAAGGAGGGCAGGGGGCCAGGTGGGGCCAGGCAGCCTGCCTGCTCTGCTGAGCAGCCTGGACCCAGGGGCTGCCTCTCCCAGGCCTCAGTCTCATCATCTATAGAATGGAGTTTCCAGAGATGGTCTGAGGCCCCTTCCAACTACCTGCAATGTGCTGGGTCCCAGGTCCACAGGAAGGACTGGTTCCTAGGGTCTTCCTTCCCAGCAAATTGTCCCTCCTGCTTCTGGCAGCAAAAGCTTCCCAGGATAATATTATCAATAGTAATATTGTCCCCCCTCCTCCTCTGCCTCTTCTTGTGTTTCTATATTCCAGGAACTTTCCTAAATGATTCATTTATTTATCAAATAATTTAATCCCCCACAATCCCATGAGTAAGAGACATTTACTGATCCCTTTTTATAGTTGAGGAAACAGACTCAGGGAGGGGAGGTGACTTGCCAGAGCCACACAGCTGGCAATCTGGCTCCTGTACTTCCGCATCCCTGAGGTCACTTTGGTGCCCCCGCCGCATGCCAGGGATAAAGAGACCCAAGACCTTACCGCAACTCACGGAGACCTATGTGGCTGCATGTGTCACCCCCAGGCAGAGTGACTTGAAGGGCCCAGGGAGGGGCCTCTTTTCATCCTGGGGACTGCCAAGCCCTGGAGTCCAGCTGGGCACGGGCAGTCAGCCTGGGCTGGGGGATGGTGCCTGGCTGCTAGGATGCTGGTCCTAGCATGGCAGGCATGGGTTAAAATCCCAGCTGTGCCACTTTCTGGTGTGTGATTCCAGGCACGTGACCTTTCTGCTTTGTGCCTCAGTTTCCCCTTCTGTGGAACGGGGATAATAGCAACACCTCTTTTATAAGGCAAGGTGGTTGTGAGGATTCAATGAAGCAATACACGAAAGCAGTTGCCTGCTTGGTCCCGTGGGTTCTCCATGGGATAGGGAACCCACGGAAGCCACGCCCAGCTAATTTTTTTGTATTTTTTTTAGTAGAGACAGGGTTTCACCATGTTGGCCAGGCTGGTTTCAAACTCCTGACCTTGAGTGATCCACCCACTTCAGCCTCCCAAAGTGCTAGGATTACAGGCCTGAGCCACGGCTCCTGGCTGTTTGTTTTTTGAGACAGGGTCTCACTCTGTCGCCCAGGCTTGAGGGCAGTGGTGCTGTCATAGCTCATTGCAGCCTTGATCTCCTGGGCTCAAGTGATCCTCCCACTTCAGCCTCCTGAGTAGCTGGGACTACACGTCCACACTACCATGCCTGGCTAGTTTTTTATTTTGTAGAGGGGGGATTTCACCATGTTACCATGGTCTTGAACTCCTAAGCTCAAGTGATCCACCCACCTCGGCCTCCCAAAGTGCCGGAATTATAGGCATGACCCACCATGCCCAGCCTGAATGGCCACTTTTGATGGAGCACTTACTATGTGTCGCCAAACCCCTCTGAGCCTCAGTTTCCTCCTTTGTAGGTGGGACTTGCTCAGGGACTCACTGCTGGCCTTGGGGAGCAGAGAACTCAGGTCTTTGTGATTCCGAAGTCCAGGTTCTTCCACCTGCAACTGCAGTTTCCAGAATTGGTCCCACCCCAGGAGGATCAGCCAGGTGATATGAGATCCTGCTCGGGGCTGTGAAAAGGGAATGGGAAGTCAGGGCACCCTGCCTGGTCCCACACTGATCCACCTGGGGTACCCATCTGAGAAATAGGGGTGGAGACCAGACTGGATGATGCAAATGGCATGTGGCATTGATCATTGGCCCCTCACGCTGGCCACGGCCTCTAGGTGGGCAGAGTGCACTCCCTGTCTCTTGACTCTGGGCTCAGCCATGTAACTTGCTTTGGTCAATGGGATAGCAGTGGCTATAACAAGACCAAAGGCTTGAGGTGCACTTCCACAGTGGAGCTGTCTTCTTGGCTTCTGCTGTGAGAAGATTGTCCCCCTGAATGGCTGCCGGCCCTTCAGCCTCGCCCCGCCAAGAGACACATGGAACAGCCAGAGCCCAGCCTAGAGCCTGTATCCCAGCCTAGCCTGAGGCAGAGCCACCCAGCCAAGACCAACTGACCTTCAGCTAACCTGCAGATGCATCAGGGGGAATTAAATGATTGTTCTAAACCACTGAGTTTTGGGGTGGTTTGTTATGTGGCATTATTGCAGTGATAGCTAATACAAGCCTGGTGTCAGTCTACAACTCTTGGACTCTGAGCTGCATTTACGTCCTGAATCCATCACTTACTGAGAATCAGGTCTTTATTATTATTATTAATTTTACTCCATCAATTTCAAGTTTTCCATAAGAGACATAGACAATGTAAAGGTCAAAGATTTTGGGCGACAAAACAGAGATAACTACAAAACCTCTGGCAAACAACAGTTGCTACCTTTGCACCAAGCTGAGCTCTGAGCTTCCTGACAGGCATGGCAAAGAGAGGAAGAACATGCACTACTCATATGCTGGGGAGCATTAAGGTCCTACGGGCTGCGTCCCATGGGCTGGCGACCTCCCACTGGGGCCCTCTTCACATTGCTGTGGGATCCCAGCATTTTCCCCAACTTTCCTCCTTCCAGACCCTGCTCCAGTATCACCCCAACTTGAAGCCTTCCTGGCTGTTAGAATTTCTTACAGCAGATTGCCTCTGTCACTCATTAGTTCATCCCGTATCTGCTGGCATCAACCTATGTTGTGCTTAGAAAAGACTTATAGAGGCCGGGCGTGGTGGCTCACGCCTGTAATCCCAGCACTTTGGGAGGCCGAGGTGGGTGGATCATGAAGTCAAGAGATTGAGACCATCCTGGCCAACATGGTGAAACCCTGTCTCTACTAAAAAAATGCAAAAAAATTAGCTGGGCGTGGTGGCGGGCGCCTGTAGTCCCAGCTACTTGGGAGGCTGAGGCAGGAGAATCACTTGAACCCGGGAGGCGGAGCTTGCAGTGAGCTGAGATTCTGCCACTGCACTCCAGCCTGGCGACAGAGCGAGACTCTGTCTCAGAAAAAAAAAAAAAAAAAGAAAGAAAGAAAGAAAAGAAAAGATGTATTGAGGCTGGGCGCAGTGGCTGAAGCCTGTAATCCACCAAGGTGGGCGGATTGCCTGAGCTGAGGAGTTTGAGACCAGTTTGGGCAACATGGTGAAACTCCCGTCTCTACTAAAATACAAAAGAAATTAGCCAGGCATGGTGGCATCCGCCTGCAGTCCCAGCTACTCGGGAGGCTGAGGCAGGAGAATGGCTCGAACCCAGGAGGTGGAGGTTGCAATGAGCCGAGATTGCGCCACTGCATTCCAGCCTGGGCGACAGAGCATGACTCCATCTCTAAAAAAAAAAGAAAAGAAAAGAAAGGACTTGGCTGGGCACGGTGGCTCACGCCTGTAATCCCAGCACGTCGGGAAGCCAAGGTGGGTGGATCACGAGGTCAGGAGATCGAGACCATCCTGGCTAACACAGTGAAACCCCGTCTGTATTAAAAATACAAAAAAATTAGCCAGGTGTGGTGACGGGTGCCTGTAGTCCCAGCTGCTCGGGAGGCTGAGGCAGGAGAATGGCGTGACCCCAGGAGGTGGAGCTTGCAGTGAGCCGAGATTGCACCACTGCACTCCAGCCTGGGCGACAGGGCGAGACTCTGTCTCAAAAAAAAAAAGAAAAGAAAAGAAAAGAAAAGACTTATCGAGTGAATAATGAATAAATGAATGAATGAGGAAATGAATTTACAGATGGGGAAGTGAATTAATGAAGTTAAAAGCAAGTACATGGAAGAAAGTGTTTGTTTACCTGAGTCTGATTAGGGGAAGGAGCCCTGAGTGGAGGCACTGTCGTTTGAGGTGGTCTTGCCTATACCTTTGTAAAGAATGCTTGAGAAGTTTCTTGAGGGGTTCTGGGAGCTGAGGATCACATAAGAATTCTAGCCGAGAACAATTTGTCAGCTGTCACAGTGCAGAGCATGATGGTTGAACTCAAATGCCGCCAAGCAGATGACAGGGACAGTTTCCACCTAGTTCAGGAACATAAGCTAAGGCACTTCAGGGAGGTTTTTTTGTTTGTTTGTTTTTAATTTTTTTGAGACAGGGCCTCACTCCGTCACCCAGGCTGACTGCAGTTGTGCGGTCTTGATTCACTGCAGCCTGGAACTCTTGGGCTCAAGGGATTCTCCCACCTCAGCCTCCTCAGTAGCTGGGATCACAGGCTTGCACCACTATGCCGGCTAATTTTTTAATTTTTTTCCAGAGAGGGGGTCTTGCTTTGTTGCCCAGGCTGCTCTCAAACTCCTGGCCTCAAGTGGTCCTTCCATCTCGGCCTCCTAAAGTGCTCAGATTACAGGCGTGAGCCACCGTGCCCAGCTGGGGAGTATTTTTATGTCCCCAAAATGCAGGATCTGCCTCCAGTTGATTTATCTTTAGTGAATAAGGATGAAAATGCTATCTATTTCCTGGAAAATCCTCTTGGCCTTCAACCAAAAATGGTTAAAACAGATCTTGAAGAAGAGCTAGTTGAGTGGGGCAAAATGGGAGCCTATGGTCACGAAGAAGGCAGCATCCTTGGGATACAGAGATGAGAGTATTGTAGGCCTACAGAAGGACTATAGGAGCCTACGAGAAAGAAATAGCCCTAGTGAATGCGCTGACTGTTAATCTACATCTTCTACTGTTACCCAGGGTCTCACTCTGTTGTCCAGGCTGGAGTGCAGTGGCACAATCACAGCTCACTGCAGCCTCAACTTCCCGGGCTCAGGTGATCCTCCCATCTTAACCTCCCAGGTAGCTGGGACTACAGGCACACACCACCACGCCAGACTAATTTTTGTATTTTTTTGTAGAGATGGGGTCTTGCCATGTTGCACAGGCTGGTCTCGAACTCCTTGGATTACAGGTGTGAGCCACCGCGCCCAGCCTTAGTCCAGTTATTGTTTAAGCCTATACCAAATGGTATAAAATTCTTATAGAAGCCAAAGCTTTCTCTTTTAATCATTATACTGTTGAGTCACAGCTACGACTCCATGGAGTTAACATTGAGGAAAGGGGATTATAAAGCCAAGACGGGGGAGGAAACCTTAAGAATAAAGGATATTGGCCGGGCGCGGTGGCTCATGCCTGTAATCCCAGCACTTTGAGAGGCCGAGGCCGGTGGATCACCAGAGGTCAGGAGTTTGAGACCAGCCTGGCCAACACGGTGAAACCCCGTCTCTACTAAAAGTACAAAAATTAGCTGGGCGTGGGCGTCGTGGCAGGCGCCTGTAATCCCAGCTACTCTGGAGGCTGAGGCAAGAGAATCGCTTGAACCCGGGAGGTGGAGGTTGCAGTGAGCTGAGATCGTGCCATTGCACTCCAGCCTGGGGGACAAGAGAGAGATTTCGTCTCAAAAAAAAAAAAAAAAGAAAAATTAGCTGGGTGTGGTGATGCATGCCTGTAATCCCAGCTACCCAGGAGGCTGAGACAGGAGAATCACTTGAACCCAGGAGGTGGAGGTTGCAGTGAGTCAAGATAGCGTCACTGCACTCCAGCCTGGGTGACACAGCAGGACTCCATCTGAGAAAAATAAATAAATAAATAAAATAAAATAAAGGATATCCCTGAAGCAATTGAGAAGGGAGGAGGCTCAATTACAGCAATCCTGTTCAGTGGGCTGCATTTTTATACTAGGCAGCTCTTTAATATACCTGCTACCACGAAAGCTGGACAAGTGAAGGGATGTTTTGCTGGCTTGATCTAGCATGTACAGTTGGAAATGCTGAACTCACTTACGTGACAGAAGAGTTGACTTTGCCCACTGGTGTTCCCACAATAATTTGAATGCAGGAGCAGGAGGTCTGGCAGGTACTTTTTCCATGAAAAGCATGCCCGTATGATTAAAGCTGTGCTGCTGGGGTGGTTTGGCTGTGAACTCAGCACCAGATTTGAGATGGATAACCAACTGCAGTTAATCCCTGGGGTTAGTGGATTCCAAATTTCAAATCCTCCCATTTTGTTGGTCTGTTTCTTACAGTTTAGAGATCTTTAGGCAGGCAGCGATTAAAGCATTGTGGAGAAAATCTATTTTGCTGACTGGTTATCTGGAATACCTGATCTAGCACTGCTATGGCAAAAATAAAGCAGAATCTAAGAAGCCAATGGTGACCTGGAGGTGACCATTACTCCATCCCATATGGAGGATCAGGGCTGCCAGCTGACACTAACATTTTTCTGTTCCAAAGAAAGATGTTTTCCAAGAGGTAGAAAAAAGAGGAGTGGTTTATGACAAGTGGAATCCAAATGTCATTCAAGTGGCTCCAGTTCCTTTCTATCATTCTTTCCATGATGTTTATAAATTTATCAATCTGGGCTGGGTGTGGTGGCTCACACCTGTAATCTCACCACTTTGGGAGGCCGAAGCCAGAGGATCACTTGAGCCTAGGAGTTTGAGAACAGCATGGACAACATAGTGAGACCCTGTTTCTACAAAAAAACAAACAAAAAAAAGTATTTTTAATTAGCCAGGCATGGTGGCACACACCTATAGTCCCTGCTACCCAGAAGGCTGAGGCAGGAGGATCACTTGATCCCAGGAGATCAAGGCTGCAGTGAGCTGTGATGGCACCACTGCACTCCAGCCTGGGCAAGAGAGTGAGACCCTGTCTCCAAAAAAAAAAAAAAAAAATTTATCAGTCTGCTCACTTCTGTACTTCACTCTGCAGAAACAAAAATTAGCAGTGTTTTCTAGAACAATTTAAGCAAATTATACTGAAAGCTGATGTGTGTTTTTTTTTTTTACCATTATTCAATTTTTAGTTATTGAAAGTATTTTACAATTGATTGCATGTAGCTGGCAGTAAGTAATATACTTTACAGAAAAGAAAAATAAGTAAATGAAACAACAAGTAAGACTAAGGAGTGATGGGGGGGCTAAGGAAATTGCTTTTATTTTATACAAGTTTATTGAAAACCACCTGTACTTATCCCTGAGAGAGGATGCAGATATGGCCCCTGCTTATTAGAAGCACAGGTCTGAGGGGGGGAGGCAGATCCAGATCCAGACCCAGCCAATCATGGCTGAAGGTGATCAGTGCTGTGACAAAGGAGTCCCAGGGACTGAAGGGCCCAAGAAAGCCCCAGTCCATCCTGGAGGTCAGGGAAAGCTCCCTGGGGATGGAAAGAAATGGGTTGTATAGGAATTTGCCAGGAGAAGAGGTGGGAGAAGATGGAGCAACATGAGCAAAGGGTGAGGAATGAGAAGAACTAAGCAAATGTGCAGGAGAAATAAATGGAGCTTCTAGAAATTTAACACCTGGTAACATATTAAAAACTCAATGGAGAGTTTAAACGACAGTTTAGACAAAGCTGAATAGAGAATTCATGATCTGGAAGATGGATTTGAAGAAATTATCCAGAATTCAACCCAGAAAGAAAAATAAATGGAAAATGGGGGCAGGGGGGAAAGAAGAATTCAACCTGAGAAAGCTGAAGGAGGAGGAGGAGGAGGAGGAGGAGGAGGAGGTGGCAGCAGTAGCAAGGAGAAGGAGAAGAAGAAGGAGGAGGAGAAGGAGAAGGATGAGGAGGAGGGAGAGGAGAAGAAGAAGAAGACGAAGAAGAAGAGGAGGAGGAGGAAGAGGAGGAGGAGAAAACAAAGAAAAAAAGTGGTTAGGAGCCAGGGAGAATACAACAGGAAGAGCTAACATAGGTAGCAGTTCCAGACAGAGAAGGGAAAACGAGACAAATTCAATATTTGAAAACATGAAGTCTGACTTTTTTTCCATATCTAATAAGCACCACCAAATGCATAGATTCTAGAGATCCAATGAATCCCAAGCAAGATAGGTAGGAAGAAATTCATGTCTGGACATATTGTAGTGAAAATATAGAACACCAAAGTCAAAGAGGAGATCCTAGAAGCAACCAGAGAGAAAGCAGAGGAGATTCTTTAAGTGTTTCAGTGTTGCAACAGTGAGATATTCAAAGGCAGGGAGTATAGGGAAATGGGGCTCTAGTAGAGCCAATTATTAAGGGTGATTTTGAGCCAGAGGAGTGATACGATGAGATCTGTGTTTCAGAATCTGAGTATGGAAAGCCAGGTGCGCTGCTCAAACCTGTAATCTCAGCACTTTGGGGGGCCAAGGTGTGTGGATCGCTTGAGACCAGGAGTTTGAGACCAGCCTGGGCAACAGAGTAAGAGACGCTGTTTCTTTTTCTTTTCTTTTCTTTTTTTTTTTTTTGAGACAGAGTTTCACTCTGTCACCCAGGCTGGAGTGCAGTGGCGTGATCTCGGCTCGCTGCAACCTCCGCCTCCCGGGTTCAAACGATTCTCCTGTCTCAGCCTCCCAAGTAGCTGGGACTACAGGTGCCCACAACCAGACCTGGCTAATTTTTGTAGTTTTAGTAGAGACAGGGTTTCATATTGGCCAGGCTGGTCTCGAACTCCTGACCTTGTGATCCACCTGCCTTGGCCTCCCAAAGTGCTGGAATTACAGGTGTGAGCCACCGCGCCTGGCAAGAGACGCTGTTTCTACAAAAAAATAAACAAAAAAAATTAGCTGAGCATGGTGGCATGTACCTATAGTCCCAGCCATTTGAGAGGCTGAGGTAGGAGGATCACCTGGGCCCGGGGGCTCAAGGCTACAGTGTTCACACCACTGCACTCCAGCCTAGTGTGCAGACTGGAGTGATGGAGTGAGACTCTGTCTCAAAAAAAAAAAAAAAAAAGAAAGAAAAGAAAAGAAAGATGCGGTTCTACTCAGCGTCATCTGATTGCTACCCTGTAAAAGTGCAGCCCCAGAGTTCTGAGCTTCTGATATCCCAAAAGAAATGGAAACAGGTGGCCCCTGGATGAAGGAGGAGGTCAGGGGTGGCTGGAAGGCAGGTCCTGGGGAGTGTAGGGGCTGGAAGAAGACGGAGGGGGAAGGTGTGGTAGACACTATTATAATAGCTGACTGATCCTTGTGTACCATTCCCAATTCCCCTCTTCCCTGCTGCTTTCCACTGTGGAGGCTGGAAAAGAGAAACTACTTACCTTCTCAGCCTTTGTTGCAGCTGGGAGTGACCATGTGACACAGTTTTGGCCAATGACATCTAAGGAGTCTCATTAGATCTCATTATGTGTGTGTGGCAGGGGTGGGGGTGGGGGGTGAGGGGGGCGGGGTGCCTGGGAAATTATTGACGAAAGTGACAAACGCTTTCAATTAACCCTGAAAGTAACCATTCCTTTTCCTTTCTGTCTTAAATGCGGAGGCAGATGCAACGCCAGGAGCAGCATCAGCCACGCTGTAAACAAGGGGGAAACGCCAAGCGCATTACAGAGGACGTCAGCCCTGCCATCACTGGGCTGGGGAAACAATGCCAGCCATGGCTGGTCTCCGGGTTCACAGTGATAGGGGAAATAAACCCTTATTTGTCTAAGCCATTGTGATTTGTTTTCCTTTTTTTTTTTTTTCAGCCACTTTACAGAAGAGGGATATTTGTTAAAATTCAGAAGGAGAGAGAAAAGGAGAGACTGCGCAGGTTGAAACGGTGGTGGGAAAATGTCAAAGAGAGAGAGACTTTGTTTGCAGGTGGCAGGGGCCTGAGCACGATTTTGTCACAATAGCAGATTGAGCACAGGATGTGCCAGGCACAGCGCTTTATACTGATCGACGCGTTTTAAAAATATTTTGTAGGCCGGGCGCGGTGGTTCACGCCTGTAATCCCAGCACTTTGGGAGGCTCAGGCGGGCGGATCACGAGGTCAGGAAATTGTGACCATCCTGGCTAACACGGTGAAACCCCGTCTCTAGCAAAAATACAAAAAATTAGCCAGGCGTGGTGGCACGCGCCTGTAGTCCCAGCTACTCGAGAGGATGAGGCAGGAGAATCGCTTGAACTCGGGAGACAGAGGTTGCAGTGAGCTGAGATCGCTCACTTGAGATCGCGCCACTGCACTCCAGCCTGGGCGATAGAGCGAGACTCCGGCTAAAAAACAAACAAACAAACAACAAAAAAAAACAAATTTGTAGAGACGGGGGGGGGGGGGGTCTCACAATGTTGACCAGGCTAGTCTCGAACTCCTGACCTCAAGCCGTCCTCAGGCCCGGCCTCCCAAAGTGCTAGGATTAAGGCCTGAGCCACCGCGCCCAGCAGAACGCATTTAGTTCTCACTGCAACTTTCTGAGGCAGGCTGTGCTGTTATCCCCACCACACAGAGGGAACTGCGGTGCTCTTCTTAGACAAGAAAAGCGCCAGCCAGCGGGTGGTGAGGCAGGATTTGAACTCGAGCACACGGAGCCCATCCAGTCCCGATGGACTGACTCCTCCGTCAGCGGAGGAGGGAGCGAGTCGTTAGGTGAACAGTGAGTGTCTCAGGGTCCCGAGTGTGAGGTGGGGCGTCGGATGTGTCGCGGGGTCCTGCCTGGCCGTGTCCGGGCCGAGGCAGGGGAGGACGATCCGGGGCAGGGCAGCCAGCACTGCTCTCCCTGAGGGCCGGGGCTGTGCGCGCTGCGCGGTCTGTGCGTGGGATACGCCGGGCCCCGCCTCGCCTTCCCGCCCCGTCTCCCAGTCCTCCGCCCTGGCCCTGCCATAGGGAGCCCGGCCCGGGGGTTCTGCGGCTGCCGCAGCCCTGACAGGGGCCGGGGACGTGGAGGGAGCGGGCCGGCGCTGGCGCAGCCGCAGAACTGTGCAGGAGAGACTGTGACCCCGGTGGCCCTCTCTGAGTCTTGGTTTCTTCCTCCGTGAAATGGGGCTTGAGCAGCGCCTCCTCGACGGGGAAGAGGGCCCGCAGAGACAGCGCGCCAGAGAGTCCAGGGCAGCGCAGGGAAGGAGCCTGTGGATCCCTCCCAGACCCATCCCACCGCCGATCCCGCCCAGGGGCGGCCCAGAGCATTTCCTGAAGGGCCTCAGGAAATACCAGGCCCCCGCCCCCAACCCTCCCGCCACCCCCGCCGCCCCCGCCCGTCCGCCCGCTAGCGTCCAGCTCCCTGGCCGCCCCTCCCCCGCCTCCTTCCGGCCGGCCCCCTGCTCGCATCTTGGCTTGCTGAGGCTGCGGGTCTTGGCCGGGCCTTCGAGAATCCCCCGCCGCCTCCCCTTCTGGATGTATCTGCGCCGCCTCCTTTCTCCCTCCCCTTCCTTCCAGCCCTTCATTCCCTCGGGGCGGGCGGGCAGGCCGGCAGGCCCCGCGCAAACCTGGGGAAAGGTAGGTGGAGGGTGCGGGGTCCGATAACTGGCGGCCACACCCAGTAGGCCAGGCAGCTGCAGGAAAGAGGTTAAAGGAGTTGGAAGAGATTCTGGGAACTCGGGGAAGGAATCAGGGAAAGCTGCCTGGAGGAGGCGACATTTAAGTTTGGACTGGAAGAGCAAGGCGGGTCAGACAATAATTCATGTATTTACCAAGCATTTATCGAGCACTTACTGTGTTCAAGACCCTGGGGTTGGGGCAGGAGGCAAGATAACTGTGTCCTTATGGGTTTTGCAGTAGGGAAAACAGTGAAGGCAACCATCTCACAAACTGCTGGAGTTGAGACCACCAGAGGGGACAATAGAATGTTAGTTCCATTTGATCAATGAGACCAGAGAGGACTGGGGTGAAATTACTTTCCCACAGTCACAAGTAGTAGAACTGGGATTCGAACGTGTGCTACTGTAACATGAGCCCCTAACCACAGGAGTCTCTGTGGCTTTTCAAAGCAGACACGCTGCTGCACACAGGAGCAGCTGCCAGCCTGCCTTGCAGCAGCCATGGCCATGCTGCAGGGCCCACCCGGGGCAGGTGCTGGCAGAGGGGACAGCCAGCCACTGGTGGGAGATCTTGCCCTGGGAGAGGCAGCAGCGGAAATTGCTGTGGGATGGTGGAGGCTGTGGTGGCCATGATGTGGTTGCTTCGGGGCCCCTGTGGTTCCAACCAGGGCACTGTGCCTGCCTTCTGTGGCTTCTTCACCCACAGAGAACCCTCACTGGGGCCATGTCCTGCTTCCTGGAGCTGAGATTGAGTCTGGGAGCCCAGGTGGAACCCTTCTCACTCTCTGGGGACCTCCCACCCTTTATCTCCTGGGAGGCTGGGCTAGCATTCCTGCTTTATAGAAGAGGAAACCAGGGTCAGAGAGGCATGATGGCTCGTCCAGGGCCACACAGCAGAAGGCCCGTGTCTGCTCAATGACTGAAGATACGCGGCTCTTTTCTTGATTCTCCATTCATTCGTTCATTCACTCACTCACTGTAACACACGCACATATCCTCTGGGTACTCACTATTCCATTGCACAGCAACCTGAAGGCTTCCAGCTAAGCTTGAGCACCTGAGGACCAGCGACTCTGCCTGGGGGCTTCATCCAGCAGCTGCAGCCTGCTGGCCCCTGCCCCAGAAGGCCACCGTGGTGCTAGAGTAGGCTGTAAAGTGCTATCCCCCGAGTAGCCTTGATGCACAACTGACCTGGTGAGAGTTAGTGATAAACAGTTCTGCATCATCGCCCAAGGTTCCCCAGCTGTCCATAGTGTTATGTGCTCATTCCCATACCCTTTGTTGGCTCCTTCCCTTCCCTGTATCATTTTCCTGACAACCTGAAGGTGATTCTTGGGATCTCATTCAAGCCAAAAACCTTGCACTGGAATATTTTTCCGGACTGGGCTTCTGAGGGTAGCAAATGAAGACATTCATTTATTCAGTCTTCAAACACGATTGACCTAACCTGAGCCCGCCCCATGCTGGGCTCTGGGGGTGTGGGCATGATTCATAGGCATTTTCTGGCCTCCAGAGCCCCTTGCTTGACGGAAGAGGCAGGAACAGCTTCTGATGATTCTAACCCAGTGTGGTTAATGACGTGACCACATCTCCAGGGAGAATGACCCCTTCTGCCTGGGAGGTCAAGCGGCATCTCCAAAGATGTTCCCTTCCAGCTTGGCTTTGAAGGATGAGGAGGTGTTCCCCATCGGGACCAGGGGGCTGGGGAAATGGCATTCTTGGCAAAGAGAACAGCATGTGCAGACCAGGAGCAGGAGCAAGGAGGGGCTGACAGATGGTGGCACTAGGGACGTTGGCAGGGTCAGACTGTGCCAGCCTTGAAGGCCAGGGGAGACCCTGGGACTGTGGCGTGGTCATGGGAAACCACCACTGACAGTTTTGGAGCAAGGGCAGGATTTGGTTTTAGGAAACGCACTTTCTCTGGAAAGACCTACAGGTTTAACGGTCCTTCCTTCCTCATTGTAACTCCCAGCAAGTCAAGGGAGTCCACCCTGGTGCAGCTGAACAGCAGCATCGCTATACGTGGAGCTCTTATTAACACTTCATTCACTGGGTCTTCACACCCTTGAGTGAAGCATCCTTTTTAGTAACCTCTTTTTATAAGTGGGGAAACTGAGGCACGGTACAGGACTCAATCAAGGTCCCATAGCTAGGAAGCGGGGGCATTGGGATTAGAACCCATGTTTCTTGGCCAGGCATGGTGGCTCACGCCTGTAATCTCAGCACTTTGGGAGGCCGAGGTGAGCGGATCACCTGAAGTCAGGAGTTCGAGACTGGCCTGGCCAAGATGGCAAAACCCTAAACATACAAAAATTAGCCAGGCGTGGTGGCACACGCCTGTAATCCAAGCTACTCGGGAGGCTGAGGCAGGAGAATTGCTTGAACCCAGGAGGTGGAGGTTGCAGTGAGCCGAGATCGTGCCACTGCATCCAGCCTGGGCAACGGAGCAAGACTCCGTCTTAAAAAAAAAAAAAAAAAAAAAAGACTGGGCACGGTGGCTCATGCCTGTAATCCCAGCACTTTGGGAGGCCGAGGTGGGTGGATCATGAGGTCAGGAGATCGAGACCATCCTGGCTAACATGGTGAAACCCTGTCTCTACTAAAAATACAAAAAATTAGCTGAGCTTGGTGGCAGGTGCCTGTAGTCTCAGCTACTCGGGAGGCTGAGGCAGGAGAATGGCGTGAACCCAGGAGGCAGAGCTTGCAGAGAGCCAGGATCACACCACTGCACTCTCGGGACAGAGTGAGACTCTGTCTCAAAACAAAACAAAAACAAAAACCCAAACAACAACAACAACAACAAAAGAAGCTGTGTTTCTTTGGCTTTAAGCCCATCCTCTACGTTGCGCCACTGCCATGCTTTTCAGAGGCTAGAGGGCTCCAGGAACCACCTTCTTTCCCCGGCACAGCCCTGGGGGTGGGTGGGTGGGCAGAGAAGGGACAAGCAGCCCAAGTCACAGCCAGGGATGGAGACAGCATGGCTTCTTTCGGAGAAATGAAGAAGCAGGAGTGTTATTCTTGGCCAGGATGGGAAACGGGTTGGAATCTTGGCTCCTATGCTCACCAGCCATGTGGTCTGTGGCAAGCCACATCCTCTCTCTGTGTCTTGACTTACCCATCTGTAAAATGGTGGCTCCTCATAACCCCCACCTCATAGGGCTGTTGTGAAGATTGAACGTACTGAAGACTCAAATTCTTAGTACACTGCCAGGCACGTAGGAAGAGCTCTTAGAGTGTTATTTTATAGCCCTCATTTGAGAGGGTGTGGGCAGGAGCACAGCCTCTGGGCTCCAATCCACAAACTGCCATCTACTAGTCCATTTGTGAGCTGGCTGGTAAATTCACCTTCCTGGGCCTCAGTTTCTTCATCAGTAAAATGGGATAATGATGGTGCCTTCCTAGTTGGGTTGTGGTGAAGGTTAAATGAGATGCCATGTGGAAGTGCAGAGGAGAAGGGCTGCTATAAGGGGCTCCAGGTGGGTGCTGCTGTTATGATTGGGCACCTACTGCATGCTGTGTCCCTGCATACAGGAGTCGACCTTTGAGACCTGCTTATTCATGGCTGTTTCACGGATGTCGAAGTGGAGGCTCAGCAGGGTTGGAGGTTCCCGGAGTCTCCCAGCTGGTAAGGGCGGTGTCAGGACTGGAACCCCAGCCAGGCTGACTCAGACATCCCTGGGGCCTGAGCCCAGCAGGGCAGCTGTGACTCAAGTTTGCAGGAAGAGGAGGAGGAGGGTGGGGTAAATGGGTGCTTGACGGAAGCCACAACCTCTATTCCCTCAGAAATGGAAGTGCTTGGTGAGGTTTGGTGTGTCCGAGCCGAAGAGCAGCCAATGACAGGCCTGGGGATCGTCTGGCACAGCCCACTTGACAAGGCCTTGGAAACTTGGTCTCTGCAGCAGCAACCGGATTTCAGCCTGGGCCTCGGACACCTCGGCCTGGGTACGGATGCGACTTGGATGCAGTCCTTCCCTGGCAGTGGAGGGGATGCCCAGGCTGGCACAGGAGTCTCGGGTCCTCTCCGGCTCTACCCCAATCTGCTGTGTGATTTTGGGCCCAGGCAGGGACCCCTCTGGGCTCTGTTACTGGAGAAAAGGCAAATGGCTGGTACGGGTGGGTCCCCAGCCCTCCTTGCCTGGAGGTCTGCGAGTTGGAGGGCTCTGGGGTAAAGCCAGAGCCAGGCCCGGGGAGAGCCTAGGCTCATCTCTGGTGAACAGGGTACCCTCTAGCCAAAGCAGGGGCAAGGCGAGGCACATGCCCCTCATATGGGAGCTGGGGCTGACCCCCTCTCCTAGCCCTGCACACCTTGAGCACGTGGCCTTGGCCCATCTGCCCTGTGGGTGGACACTTTCCAGCCCTGGGTCCTGAACTCTACCAATCAGCAGGAACCTAGACTCCTGAGGGGTGCAGCCTGGATGGGAGGTCAGGGAACTGGGTTCCTGAGCGCATCTCTGTGCCATTCATCTCTCCATTGGTTTCCCAAATGTGGACTGAGCACACACTGTGAGTCAGGCCTGAGCTAGGTTCTAGGGATGCTACTGTCAACAAGACAGATGAAGGTTCCTGCCCTCATGGAGGGGAGGGAGACAATAAGCAAAGAAATAAATGCATGATGTAATGTCAGCCAGGGAGCGATGCTGCAAAGCAGGGTGGGCGTGGGGAGTGACGCAGGCCGGGGTTGGGGAGGCATCGTTGTAGTGGTCGGGAAGACTGCTCCGAGAGGCAGACTGAGGGAAGGAGGATGGACATCTAGATGTCTGAGGGAAGGGCCATTTGGGCAGAGGAAAGAGCACAGGGCTCAGTGTGTGTGGGGGGGAGGTTGGAGGGGGCTCCGTGTGTAAGGGTGCGAATGGGGAAGGGAGGCAGGCTGCGAGTGGACAGGGCTATATGTAGACTTCATTCTAACTGTGACGCAAAGGCCTTGCAGGGTTTGGGAGGGGGACATGATCTCATTTGGTCTTCCCAATAACTCCCTGCCAGAAAGAGACAGAGCCCCAAATTGCAGTGAGGAAGCTGAGGCTTAGAGGACATCCCTGCACATGTCTGGGGTGTCATATCATCATCGGAGGAGCTGGGACTCAAACCCAGCTCTGGAACCTGCTCTGTCCCCAGCTCCATGATAACATTGTGTGAGGTGCTGGGTGCAGCTCCCAACTCCTCCCTGCTCAACCATGCTCTGTTAGCCTGTGGTCTACAGAGTGGCTTCCTCCAGGGATGTCTTGATGTCTTGCCTTTTTTTTTTTTTTTTTTTTGAGACAGGGTGTTGCTCCATTGCCCAGGCTGAAGTGC
Organism: Homo sapiens; assembly: GCF_000001405.40. Lineage (NCBI taxonomy): Eukaryota > Metazoa > Chordata > Mammalia > Primates > Hominidae > Homo > Homo sapiens. The sequence continues at coordinate 19,157,114 of NC_000017.11, read as the reverse complement.
AGTGGTGGGATGATAACTCACTGCAGCCTCAACTTCCTGGGCTTAACAGATCCTCCCACCTCAGCCTCTCAAGTAGCTGAGATTACAGGTGCACACCAATACGCCTGGCTAATTAAAAAACAACAAACAAACAAACAAACAAACAAAAATATGTTTTTTTTGTAGAGATGGGGTCTCACTGGGTTGCCCAGGCTGGTCTGAAACTCTTGCCCTCAAGTGATCCTCCCGTCTCAGACTCTCCAAGTGCTAGGATTGAGCCACCACGCCCATCTGGGATGCCTTGTCTTTTATACCTTTACTCCACAAATATGTGCTTAGGCATTGCTTGCTGTGGCCAGAACCTTGCAGGGGTGAGAGACACAGGTAAATGAGAGCTGGTCCCAGCCCTCCCTCAGAAAGCTGCTGGACCACAGGGTGACAAAACTGAAGCTGTCTGTCACATCCGGGAGCAGGTGCTATGAGGATAAGCAGCCAGAGAAGACCCCTAACTTGATCTGTGGCCATCAAAGAAGGCACCCAAGGCAGGATGCCTCCCTGAATCCTAAAGCCAATTAGCAGTCAGCCAGGACAGCTGCTAGAGGGGGTCTAAGGGGGAGTGGAGAGGATGTTCCAGGCAGAGGGAACAGCAGACAGGAAGGCTCAGAGGTGAGTGTGAGCAGGCAGTCTCAGGGACCCCAGACAGTTGGTGAGGCTGCAGTGCTCAGGGGAGGTGTGCCAACAGGTAAGCTGGCAGGGCCGGGTCCCTGGGGGCTGGCTTGTCCTTTCTGCCATTGTCTGAGAGAGTGGGTGGCTGGTATCTGGTGGCCCAGATGAAGATAATGGAGATGCAATTGTGTTCTTCTTTCTGCTCAGTGCCTCTCAGTTAAGGACATTTGCAAAAATTAATAACAGCATATGCTTTTATGTCCTCCACTTAAATTTCCTTTGGATTAAAGAAAGTAACGGAGGGAAAGGAAGAAAAGCAGGAAGGAGCGAGAGAGGGAGGGGAGAAAGAGACAAAAGAAGGAAAATAATTTGGGGAAAAAAAATTTGTCCTTTTCTGGGCTAAGATAGCCCCAGCCTTTGCATTTTCTCACCCACTGAGTCACCAGCCTCCTGCCCTCTTTCAGGACTGTACATCTTGGCCTCTTACCTACTGTGTCCGCGTCAGCCTCCCTCACAGCCTGATGGCCCCTGCGGCAGCCCCAACCCGGTTTCAGGGGCTAAGAAAACTACAGTTGCATGAACGGGTGGAGGTGAGTGGGAGGCAGAAGCGGCGGGGAGAACCAGTCTGTTCCGAGATCTCTGGACCAACCAGTGGATCCTGATGGTCAGCCTTGTCTAGAGCCCCTTCCAGCGTGCAGGCCAGTCCTCCTGGCATTCTTCTAATTACACCGAGCTGTGAGTTATGTGTGCCAAGTATGTGCTGGATTTTGTACCAAGTGCTTTCCATTCATCAGTTCAGGGTAGTGATGCAGGTAGCTCCAGGCTCAGAGAGGAACAGTGACTTCTCCCAGGTCACACAGCTGGAAAGTGGCTGAGTCTGGATTCAAACCCAGACTTCCTTGTTGCTAGGACCTGTATTTTCAACCACTGCCTATGCCTCTATAACGAGCCAGCTTATGGCTGTGTTCACGCAAAGAGAAAAGCATCCAAATGGGAAGGCTGGAGAATTCAAGCAATTTTCCCGCGTGTCAGACAGTCCTGTTTCCCTCTCCCTTCAAAAAAAGTCCTGGATTATCTCTCTCTCTCTCTCTCTCTTTCTTTTTCCTTTTCCTTTTTGTTTTTTTTCTTTGTTTGTTCTTTCTTTCTTTCTTTTTTTTTTTTTTTGAAACAGGGTATTACTCTGTTACTCAGGCTGGAGTGCAGTGGTGTGATCACAGCCCACTGCAGCCTTGATGTACCTGTGTCCCTGGCCTCAGGTGATCCTCCCACCTCAGCCTCCCAAGTAGCTGTGACTATCCCGAGAAGCTGAGACTACAGGTGTGCGCATGCCATCACGCCTCACTAATTATTTTACTTTTTGTAAAGACAGGTTTTTTTCGCCATGTTACTCAGACTGGTCTTGAACTCCTGGGCTTGAGTGATCCATCGGCTCCCAAAGTGTTGGGATTACAGGCATGAGCCACTGCACCTGGCCTGACATCTCAGTCTTGATTTGCACTTTTTGCCCAAAATAATCGAGTGTAAGGCAGGCCAGAAGTGGTCAGGGGGCAGGGACAGTCCCCAGCAGGGTGGCAAGTCTTTCTGCAACATTTTTGGAATACAAGCAGAAAGTGATTTGCTATTCCACACAAAACATGATTGGGAGGGCACTGGATGAATACAACTAAGATCTAAGCATTACTTCAACAAATATATACACAGAGCTAAATCAGTATCAGGAAGTAGTGGAGAAGCACTCAGAATAGGCACAGATCTCCACAGCTGTTAAGAGTCTTGTTACTTTTTTTTTTTTTTTTTGAGATGGATTCTTGCTCTGTCGCCCAGGCTGGAGTGCAGTGGCGCGATCTCAGCTCACTGCAACCTCCGCCTCCCGGGTTTAAGTGATTCTCCTGCCTCAGCCTCCCAAGTAGTTTGCCTTAAGGAGTGTAGACAAAAAGCAAGGGAAGCGTCCCCAGAGAGATCCCGGCCCACAGGGTCAGTGCCTCATCCCCACATAACATAAAAACAGCCTGGGACAGGCGCCCATCACCATGCCTGGCTAATTTTTGTATTTTTTAGTAGAGACGGGGTTTCACCAAATTGGCCAGGCTGGTCTCGAACTCCTGACCTGGTGATCCACCTGCCTCGGCCTCCCAAAGTGCTGGGATTACAGGCGTGAGCCACCGCGCCCGGCCACATTCTTTTTTTTTTTTTTTTTTTTTTTTTTTGAGATGGAGTCTCGTTCTGTCACCCAGGCTGGAGTACAGTGGCATGATATCAGCTCACTGCAATCTCGGGCTCCCGGGTTCAAGCCATTCTCCTGCCTCAGCCTCCCAAGTAGCTGGGATTACAGGTGCACACCACCACGCCCAGCTAATTTTTGTATTTTTTAAGTAGAGACGGGGTTTCACCATGTTGGTCAGTCTGGACTCGAACTCCTGACCTTGTGATCCGCCCACCTCTGCCTCCGAAAGTGCTGGGATTACAGGCGTGAGCCACTGTGCTCGGTCAGCTGTTTATTGATTTTGAGTATGTTATTGATTTTGTGAATGGAGAAGGGATCATCGGGTAGGGTTCTTTGATCTGGAGCAAAAGATATGGATTCTGATTAACCAAAGGGGAAAAAAGAGGGGGGTGGATTTAGTGGAAAGAACTGGAGTAGTTCAGAGAACCAAAGGCAAGCCAGCACGGTGGCTCACGCCTATAATCCCAAAGACTTGGGAGGCTGAGGTGGGAGGATCGCTTGAGCCCAGGAGTTTGAGGCTGCAGTGAGCCATGATCACGCCGCTGCACTCCAGCCTGGGTAACAGAACAAGACTGTCTCAAAACAAATAAACAAAACAAAACAAAGGCCAGGCTTGGACAGGCCACCACCCAAGGTAGCTGCAGGATCTCAGAAATGAGAATTAACAGGCAAGTTTTTTGTTTGTTTGTTTGTTTGTTTGTTTTTGAGACGGAGTCTCGCTCTATCGCCCAGGCTGGAGTGCAGTGGCGCGATCTTGGCTCACTGCAAACTCCGCCTCCCGGGTTCATGCCATTCTCCTGCCTTAGCCTCCCGAGTAGCTGGGACTACAGGCGCCCGCCACCACACCCGGCTGATTTTTTGTATTTTTATAGAGACGGGGTTTCACTGTGTTAGCCAGGATGGTCTCGATCTGACCTCGTGATCCACCTGCCTCGGCCTCCCAAAGTTCTGGGATTACAGGCGTGAGCCACCGCGCCCGGCCTGTTTGTTTTTTGAGGTGGATTCTCGCTCTGTCACCCAGGCTGGAGTACAGTGGCGTCATCTCGGTGCACTGCAACCTCTGCCTCCCACGTTCAAGGGATTCTCCTGCCTCAGCCTCCCAAGTAGCTGGGACTACAGGCGTGTACCACCATGCCCCGCTAATTTTTGTATTTTTAGTAGAGACAGGGTTTCACCATGTTGGCCAGGCTAGTCTTGAACTCCTGATCTCATGTGATCCGCCTGCCTCGGCCTCCCAAAGTGCTGGGATTACAGGCATGAGCTACTGTGCCCGACCAGCAGGCAAGTTTTTGAAGGCAACACTGCTGTGGGTGGTCCACAGGGTGGACAGATGCTGGGCAGTTAATTCAACAGAGGACCTCTCCAGGTGGCTAGGGTGTTGGCTGACAGCATGCAAATCCCCAGAGCTCTCACCTGCAGCTGGCATGTGAAACCCCACTGAACATGAAGCAGTTTTGTTCTGTAAATCCTACCTTTGGATCTGAGAACCAAATATAGGTTGAGATACCTGGCCTACCAGTAACCTTTAGTCTAGACTATGGAATTTCCCTTCTAGAAACTTACCCTGCAGTTAAATTTGCGCAAGAACATGTATGAGAAACAGAATGCAGGGTATAATGTACGTCATCTGCTGGGGACTGGTTAAATATAGGAAGGCTTTAAGAATGAGGTTGGGTACAGGGGCTCACGCCTGTAATCCCAGCACTTTGGGAGACCGAGGTGGGTGGATCACCTGAGGTCAGAAGTTCGAGACCAGCCTGGCCAATGTGGCGAAACCCCATCTCTACTAAAAATACAAAAATCAGGGGCCGGGAGTGGTGGCTCACGCCTGTAATCCCAGCACTTTGGGAGGCCAAGGTGGGTGGATCACTTGAGGTCAGGAGTTTGAGACCAGCCTGGCCAACACGGTGAAACCCCATCTCCACTAAAAATACAAAAAAGTAGCTGGGCATGGCGGCACATGCCTGTAATCCCAGCTACTCGGGAGGCTGAGGCAGGAGAATCGCTGAACCTGGGAGGTAGAGGTTGCAGTGAGCCAAGATCACACCACTGCACTCCAGCCTAGGCAACAGAGTGAGACTCCGTCTGAGAAAAAAAAAAATTTGGGCCGGGTGCAGTGGGTCACCTGAGGTCAGGAGTTCAAGACCAGCCTGGTCAACATGGTGAAACCGCATCTCTCCTAAAAATACAAACGTTATCTGGGCATGGTGGTGCATGCCTGTAGTCCCAGCTACTCGGGAGGCTGAGGCAGGACAATCATTTGAACCTGGAACACGGAGGTTGCAGTGAGCTGAGATTGTGCCACTGCACTCCAGCCTGGGCAACAGAGCAAGACTCTGACTCAAAAAAAAAAAAAAAAAAAAGAGCCTGGGCGTGGTGGCTGACGCCTGTAATCCTAGCACTTTGGGAGGCCGAGGCGGGTGGATCACCTGAGGTCAAGAGTTCAAGACCAGCCTGGCCAATATGGTGAAACCCAGTCTCTACTAAAAATACAAAAGAATTAGCTGGGCATGGTGGTGCATGCCTGTAATGCCAGCTGCTCGGGAGCCTGAGGCAGGAGAATTGCTTGAACCTGGGAGGCGTAGGTTGCAGTGAGCCGAGATCGTGCCACTGCACTCCAGCCTGAGCGACAGAGACTCCGTCTCAAAACAAACAAACAAACAAACAGAATAAGGCAGTTCTCTTTTGGTGGGTGTGCAACAATCTCCAAGAGTTACACTGTTAATGATATAAGCATGAGGTAGTGTGTGGAGGGAGTTACTGTTTCCATGCGTGGGGGTGAAGGAAATACATACAATAAGATTATGTCAGAATCTCTGTTACACTGTAACAGTGATTGCCATTAGGGAGGGGACCTGCAGATCAGGAGAAACAGTAGGAGGGAGACTTGTTGCATATGTCCTTATGCACTGATTGAACTTTTTTTCTGTGCATGTATTTTTTTTTTTTTTCTTTTTCTTCGAGATGGAGTATTGCTCTGTCACCCAGGCTGGAGTGCAGTGATGCGATGTCAGCTCACTGCAAACTCCGCCTCCTGGGTTCAAGCAATTCTCCTGCCTTAGCCTCCTGAGTAGCTGAGATTACAGGCATGTGCCACCACGTCTGGCTAATTTTTGTACTTTTTTTTTTTTTTTTGTAGAGATGGGGTTTCCCTATGTTGCCCAGGCTGGTCAAATGCTACTCTTTTGAGCAGACTTCTTTGTATTACAGTTTGGAGTGGTTATGTTTTAACTCTCAAGCCAAGCTGAAAGTTTTAAGTGTGTGAAACTTGTCTGTAAATTTTCTGAAGAAGCAAGCACCGTGCCCTTCTGAGGCAGGTGAGGAGCTACGGCTTTCTCAGAACACACTAAGAGTCTCTTGTAGAAAGGTGCTATGCACATTTCCAAAGAAGGGGCGCTCTGAGAGAGGACAGCAGAGAATAGTGGATAGATGTTGGTCCCTGGCTCTGACTGACATGTGAAAATCTCAGCCTATCAGCTGGGCCACCAGCTATTGCCCCTCTCTGCACCTCAGTTTACTTTGCTCATCTGTTAAACAGTGATAAGTGTGCCTGTCCTACCCTGTTGCAACGATCTGTCAAGAAAACAAGCCAAGACCGGGTGCCGTGGCTCATGCCTGTAATCTTAGCACTTTGGGAGGCTGAGTCAGGCAGATCACTTGAGGCCAGGAGTTCAAGACCAGCCTGGCCAACATGGTAAAACTGTGTCTCTACTAAAAATACAAAAGTTAGCCGGGCATGGTGGCCTGCACCTGTAATTCCAGCTACTCTGGAGGCTGAGGCAGGAGAATCACTTGAACCTGGGAGGTGGAGGTTGCAGTGAGCCGAGATCTCACCACTGCACTCCAGCCTGGGTGACAGAAAACAAAAAAGACCTGAAGCCAAGGTTGTGTCTGTTTACTAAAACAATGCACGTGAAATGTTTTGTCCAGGTAGTTACCATTTCTTTTTCTTTGGGTGGGAGGGGGGTGTTGTTTGCTTTTTGTGGTTGTGTTTTTGTGTTTTGTTTGTTTGATTTGTTTTTGAGACAAGGTCTCGCTACTGGACCCAAGCGATTCTCCCACCTCAGTCTCCCAAAGTGCTGGGATTACAGGTGTGAACCACCAGGCTCAGCTTATGATAACTGTTTCAAGTCAGAATTTGACAATCTGAAGAAAACTTTTTTTTTTTTTTTGAGACGGAGTCTTGCTCTGTTGTCCAGGCTGGAGTGCAGTGGCGTGATCTTGGCTTACTGCAACCTCTGCCTCCCGGGTTCATGGGATTCTCCTGCCTCAGCCTCCCGAGTAGCTGGGATTACAGGTGTGCACCACCACGCCTGGCTAATTTTTGTATTTTTAGTAGAGACGGGGTTTCCCCATGTTGGCCAGGCTGGTCTCAAACTCCTGACCTCAAGTGATCCACCCACCTCGGTCGGCCTCCCAAAGTGCTGGGATTGGGATTACAGGCATGAGCCACTGTGCCCAGCCAAAAACATTTTCTTTTCTTTTGAGAAAGAGTCTCACCCTGTCACCCAGGCTAGAGTGCAATGGTGTGATCTCAGCTCACTGCAACTTCTGCCTCCCAGGTTCAAGTGATTCTCTTGCTTCAGCCTCCCGAGTAGCTGGGATTACAGGCATGCACCACCATGCCCAGGTAATTTTTTGCGTCTTTAGTAGAGACAGGTTTTCATAATGTTGGCCAGGCTGGTCTCGAACTCCTGACCTTGTGATCCAGCCACCTCGGCCTCCCAAAGTGCTGGGATTATAGGCGTAAGCCACGGTGACCAGCCTGAAAACGTTTTCTAAATGGCCCATTTTGTTTGGAATCTTCACCACTTTGGGAAAAAGCCTAAAGATTAATGGAACAGAAATGTGCCATAAGATCAGAGACTAGATATTGAGTGGATGCTATCTTTTTTTTTTTTTTTTTTTTTTTTTTTTGAGACAGAGTCTTGCTCTGTTGCCCAGGCTGGAGTGCAGTGGCACGATCTCAGCTCACTGCAACCTCTGCCTCCCAGGTTCAAGCAATTCTCTGCCTCAGCCTCCTGAGTAGCTGGGATTACAGGTGCCCGCCACCACGCCCGGCTAATTTTTTGGTATTTTTAGTAGAGACGGGGTTTCACCATCTTGGCCAGGATGGTCTCAAACTCCTGACCTTGTGATCCACCCTCCTCGGCCTCCCAAAGTGCTGGGATTATAGGCGTGAGCCACTGCGCCCAGCCACGGATTTTTCTCTCTCATTTCCCGTCTGTGCCCAGCCTTCCAGCCAGCCCACTATCGCCAAATCGCCCCAAGTACCTTCTAGCCCAGCGGAGGAGAGAGCCTGCTCTTTCTTTTTTCTTTTCTTTTTTTTTTTTTTTTTGAGGCGTGGTCTCGCTCTGTCACCCAGGCTAGAGTGCAATGGCGCTATCTCGGCTCACTGCAAGCTCCGCCTCCCAGGTTCACGCCATTCTCCTGCCTCAGCCTCCCGAGTAGCTGGGACTACAGGCGCCCACCACCGCGCCCGGCTAATTTTTTTTGTATTTTTAGTAGAGACGGGGTTTCACCGTGTTAGCCAGGATGGTCTCGAACTCCTGACCTCGTGATCCACCCGCCTCAGCCTCCCAAAGTGCTGGGATTACAGGCGTGAGCCACCGCACCCAGCCGAGCCTGCTCTTTCAAACTGGCCAGAGGCAGAGCCTGTCCTGGCTGGGACTGGGCAGAGGAACTAACTGGAACCTCTCACACTCGGCGTGTCCACCCAGGACAGGCCTTGTGGGGCTGGGACTGGAGGCGGTGCAGCTGTGGGTCAAGATCATGGCAGACATGACTGCAGCGCTGCCCCGCTGTGCTTCGGGGGTGGCTGGCCTGCCTCACGGCCCAGGAGGAGCAAATTGGGCCCTATGTTTCAGTTTCTCCACCAGTCATCCCTGGGGCAGCTTGCTGCTTTATTGATGTTTTAAGATGAAAGATTTCAGATAAAGATGTGTTCAAGGCCGGGCGCGGTGGCTCATGCCTGTAATTCCAGCACTTTGGGAGGCCGAGGCGGGCGGATCAAGAGGTCAGGAGATCGAGACCATCCTGGCTAAACCCCATCTCTACTAAAAAACAAAAAAAAATTAGCCAGACGTGGTGGCGGGTGCCTGTAGTCCCAGCTACTCCAGAGGCTGAGGCGGGAGAATGGCATGAACCCAGGAGGTGGAGGTTGCAGTGAGCCAAAATCGCGCCACTGCACTCCAGCCTGGGCGACAGAGCAAGACTCTGTCTCTAAAAAAAAAAAAAAGATGTGTTCAAGGTTCCCACCCTCTGATCTGTATGAGGCATAGGGCAAAACAGGATTCCCCCTACTCCATTCCAGTCAAGGGGTCCAAACCACTTCTAAACACACCTCCAGGCATTTGCACACAGAGTGTCCTCCAGCTAGAGGGAATTTTTCTTGAAATCCTCATGCCCCAGTGGGGAAACTGAGGCCCCGAGTGCAGCCGCGACCTGCCCAGAGCCACAACAGCAAGAAAGGTCAGAGCTGGGGCCACATTTGAGCTCATACATGTAAAACGTTGCCTAATGCCCTCCTGATTGGTTATTATCACATAACAATAGCAATAATAATTATTCCAATTATGCTATTACTATTGTTCCAGAGCTCATCATTCCAAGTCCATTTCTACTTTGCCATGTTGCTACCTGGGCTGTGCCCCCCAGGAGGCCCTCCCTCCCTGCCTCATCCTCTCTGCCTGGCCAAACCTTAGCTACCCTTCCCAGCTCTATAGCCAGCCTGCCTGGACTTAGACCCCAGCCCACCTCTCTGGGCCTCTGCGTCCTGGCCTGCCAAATGTGGGCGATAGTGCACTCCTTGCAAGGGAGCTGAGAGGCCTGGGACCCTGGGGGCTGTGTGGGTGCTGCCAACAGAGCCACCCTAGGCCCACCTGGCTGGGCTAGGGGCTGTGGGGAGAACACAGAACAGTCCCAGCTCCCAACCAGAAAGAAGACAGTTTAGGACCCCGAGGGAGGGCACCTGTTCAGGTGGCTGGCGGAGCTAATAGCTGGGAAAGCCTGGGGCCCTGTGAGCCGGGTGAGGCAGGGTAGGGGCACAGGATGACCACTGGGAGGTAGATAGCCCCTCAGCCTCCTGAGCCACAGGCTAGGGATCTTTTTGTTCACATTTGGGCTAAATGAGATCCAACCACCAGTCCAAAGCACTTGATGCCTTGATGGGACACATGCACGCGCGCGCGCGCGCACACACACACACACACACACACACACACACACACCCCTACCTCTCCTGGGTTGTAAATTGAAATCTGGTTAAACAATTTGGTCGCAATACATTTGCAAGCTTGGGTTCACCCACAGCCTGAGTTCCTTCAGGTCTATGGTTCTCCTGAACAAGAGGGTGGTGTCTGTCACCCCAGCTGCCCAGATCTGCTGCTCCATCTGTCCTATCCCTGCCTGTGGTTGAGTTTCTCCACCAGTCATCCCTGGGGTGGCTTCCTTCCTTATTGATGTTTTAAGATGAAAGATTTAAGATAAAGATGTGTTCAAGTTTCCCACCCTCTGGTCTGTATGAGGCGTAGGGCAAAATGGGATTCCCCCTACTCCATTACAGTCAAGGGGTCCAAACCACTTCTCCCTTTTTTTTTTTTTTGAGACGGAGTCTCGCCCTGTCACCCAGGCTGGAGTGCAATGGTGCGATCTCGGTTCACTGCAGCCTCCGCCTCCTGGGTTCAAGCGATTATCTCATCTAAGCCTTCTGAGTAGCTGGGATTACAGGCACCTGCCACAACGCCTAGCTAATTTTTGTATTTTTAGTAGCTGGGATTACAGGCACCTGCCACAACGCCTAGCTAATTTTTGTATTTTTAGTAGAGACAGGGTTTCACCATGTTGGCCTGGCTGGTCTCAAACTCCTGACCTTGGGTGATCTGCCCACCTCGGCCTCCCAAAGTGCTGGGATTACAGGTGTGAGCAACGGCGCCCAGCCCCAAACCACTTCTAAATACACCTCCAGGCATTTGCACACAGTATTTCCTCCAACTGGAAGGAATTTTTCTTGAACTCCTACTCATGCCTCAAGGCCCAGGTAAAATGGCGCATCCTGTGAGAGCTGCATCAGACCCCATCACGCAGTCAGGGCCTTCTTGGATCCCTCAGCCCCTCTCATAGCCTTCTTGTAACTTGCTACTCAAAATGACTTGCATATGAGACACTAAAAAGGCAGGGAGGCAGGAGTGGGCCCTGAAGGTCCAGTCTAGCTGGGACTCAGCAAACAGAGCATCACTTTCCAGGTCTTAGGTCCTCATTGCGATGCTTTGTTCTTGAAACCCACTTCTGTTGGTTCTGAACTGGGATTGCAGCCCACCAGGTGTTCTGACCCTGAACCCAGGCTCCGGTGGCCAACCCATTGCTCTAAGATGCATCCAGCCCTCAGGGTCACACAGCCAGAAAGAGAGCTAGTTCATGTGCTCGTGACGCGGAGGTGGGTGTGCAGGCAGATGTGTGTCTCCTGCCCTGTCTGGCCTTCCGAAGCCTCCCAGAGGCTTCCGAGAGGCAGCCTCTGAGCCCCATGACTCCCTAGTGCCACGTGCTAACCAGCCCAGGGTTTACTGAACTTTGGCCGTGGTGCCTGGGGAGGAGCACTGCTTCAAGCAGTGGAGTGACGGTGACCCACAGCTGGGCAGGCGAGAAGCCTGGAGACAGGGATCCCAGTGGCTCCACCTCTGGGGCACCGGGTACCCAGGCAGAAGGCCCTGACTCCCTGTTGGCCCCGAGGAGGGGCCTGCATACAGGTGGCCCCACTCCTCTGGGTGAGGGGACAGAAAGGGTGTGGTGGGTTTGAAAATGATTTCAAACCCAAACGACCACAACTTTGAATTTTATGGTATTTGAAGTTCATCTTTAGATACTTGGAAAGTTATCTAGAGCAGATAGAACGTTATCTGGAGCAGTTCTTTGATCATATAGTAGAGTCAGGGAGTGGAGAACAGGAGATAAGGGAAAGGGAGCCAGGGACCCAGGGATTCTAGGGCTTTCCAACCTGGGAACTGGAGAATTCTCAAATCTGGGAAACGTGCATGTGCCAGCCCCTACCTAGTCTGTGTGTGGCACATACTAGGTGCTCAGTAAATGGCAAATCTTGCCCCTTCTCCCACCTGGTCCAAATGTCCTGCTTTACAGCAGAGGACAGTGAGGCTTGGGTGCAGCCCCTCCTGCTGAGCCAGCCCCTGCCTGAGGCCAAGCGGTGCTGTCTCTGTCATCTCACAGCCCAGCATCCCAGCTGTCACTCCCTCTCCCAGCCTGGCCCTTTTCCCTAGCCTGGCTGGGCTCTTGCTCATGGCCCTCACCAGAAATAATGCCTTTTCCCTTTTCTCTGTCTAGTCTTGACCTTAGCCATCCTTCAAGGCCCAGGTGGAGCCTCAAAGCATTTGAGAATCCCCCAGACTGGGGCTACCCTCTGGGGCCTCTCCAGACCTCATCTCCACTCCCCTTCCCAAGGCCTGTGGGAACTTCAGGGCTTGCAGGAGGAACTGAATCTGAGTCCAGATGGCCCCGGAACCGGGAGGGCTGGATCCAGTGCAGCCGGCTCTGCTGCATGAGCCTCCCAGAGCCAGAGGAGGGAGGGGGCACTGGGATTGTGGGCCTGAGTTGGTGAGAGGAGAGGCTGCTGGAGCCATTCACTTCAGTGGGCAGTGCCGGGGGTGTGAGAGCGTCTCCATTGTGTCTGAGTGTGCATTCCTGGGATGCTTGTGTGTGTGTGTGTCTGTGTGTGTCTCCCACTGTGTGGAGTGACTGTTATGTGTGAGTCTCTCACTGAGCAATCATGAGTATCTTTGTCTCTCTGTGTGACCCCTACATCCACCTACCCAGGGGAACAAGGGGCTAGGCTGACCCCTGGGCTGTCAGAAAAGCCCCAAGGACCAAGTCAGGCCTAATGCTGGCAGCAGCCAGTCCTGCCCAGCGAGTTTTTCTGGCCTGGTGGCGGCAGCAGCAGCAGCAGCAGCAGCAGCAGCAAAGGTAACAGTGTCAGCCCAGAGAGGAAAAACAAGGCTGGGGTGGGGGCAGGAGCCCTAGGACACCCCCTCCACCACCCCAACCAGGGCTTGTGGACGTGTGGACCCACCTGGGTGCTAACTGCCCGCTGGGCGATCTCCATCAGGCATGGCCCCTCTCTGGCCTCAGTTTGCCCATCTGTGAAAAGGAGGGGTGGAACAACCTGTTCGGCAGCAGACAGGAACCAGAGTCAAGCTGAGCTTGGGAGGGGCAGGACACTGGTGCAGACAGACTCCTGCTGGGTCTTTGGAGCTCAGGGAGGGTGGGTGGAGGACAGACCAGGTCTGTCAGGGCACAGAGGTCGGTGGGCACCAGCTCTAAGTTCCTCGCTGTGTGACCTTGGGGAAGTTGCTGCACCTCTCCAGGCTTCAGTTTCCTTACCTGCAAGCTGGGCTTCTGGGGATCAGGCAGGTCTCCTCACTTCCTCCCTGTCCTTGCCTGCAGCCAGTCCCTTCCTCCTAAAATTGCACCCCCCCTCCACCACTTCCCTGCTTCATTTTCTCCAAAGCCTTGGTCATTGTGTAAGATTTTATACAATTTCCTAATCACTTATTGTCTGTCACCCAGTAGCACATGGGCACTTGAGGGACAGAGAGCTTTGCCCTATTTTGTTGCTGGCTGAATCCCCAGGCCCTGGGACAGGGCTGGCACACAGCAGGGGTTCAGTGACCAGATGGGCAGGGCAAACACATGTGCATTGACTCCAGGGTACCTCTGGCTAGAAAGGAGGCAAATATGTCACTTGGAGACAAACTGTCATTTATGGCAGAAGAGTCCACAGTAGCTTGGATAGGAGTGTGGGGCAAAAGTTAGGCAGCCCAGACATTGCACGCCAGCCTTGGCCCCTGGCCCGCTGCCCGCCAGCTCAGACATGCTCCCTGGAGGAGGAGGGGGACAGCCCTTTGTAAACTCATAAAGGGCAGCTAGCTATGGCCACAGTTGCTCTAGGAGGCAGCATGAGGCCCATAAACCCCACCTCTGACAGCTTTACAGGGCTTGGTGTGAGTATGCCAGAGATGCCATGCATAGTGCCATCAGAGTTCCCAAGTACCAACCAGCAAGGGTGGAAGAGCTCTTACACACAAATCTGCCAGGCTGTCATTTTCCGAGGTGGCCATCAGGTCACCCGGCTTCCCAGCATCTGGGTTCCCTGACTCCCTGTGCTGCTGCCTCTTCTCTAAGAGTGCTGGATTCATGGGCAGGGGGTGGGGGGCAGCCTTCCAGGCCAGGAGGGGCTCCCTAATTCCTCCCCAGCTTGGTGTGCAGTCCTTGGAGCCTTAATATAATTATGATAACTGGCACTTATCATGTGCCAGTCATCATAAAAAACACGTTACATAGCTGTCCATTTTATAAATGAGGAAACTGAGGCTCAGAGGGGTAACTTGCCCAGGATTATACAGCGAGCAGCTAGCAGGTGTCAGAGCTGACTGTTGCTCAAAATACCATGCTCTTAGCCACATGCCCCATTTGAGTCTCAGCTTCCAACTCTGACCCCTGCTTGGTGGTTGTCCAAGGACCACTGAGAGGCCCCATGACAGATGATGGACAGAATGGGAGCAGGACCCAGGAGCCTGGGCCCAGGCAGGAAGAAGCCAAGGGTCAATGGCTCCACCTGCTGGTGCTGTGTACAACCCACAGCCAGCCAAGCCCAGGAAGCTCCTGACAGTTTTGACCTGGGCACACTTGGCCAGTATGCCTTGGACAAAAGGTTCGGGGGCACAGGCCAGGATTTCTCTGAGGGTCGCTTCCAGATCCCTTCCCAGGAAACACCGGTGCTGGCTCGCCTGCTCAAGAACTGCTCCCTAAGACTGTCCATCTTCCCTCCTGGTCAGAAAACACGTTGTTATCCAAACACACCCCTCGCTTCCCCACCTCTAGATCTCTACTCATGCTGTTCCCTGTGCCTGGCATATCATCTACTCTCCTTGTGCGCCAAAATCCTACTCATGCTTTAGAGCCCAACTCAGATGTCACTTCCTCCCTGGTGCCTTCACTATGTGGAATGTATCCACTGTCATTGAATTTCATTTATTCATTTGCTCATCATAGAGACCCCTGGGCCAGGCTGTGACCATTTCCCCTTCACATGCCTCTGGTTTGTCTCCTGTTTCAGTCCTGCCTTGTGGTTTTCACACAGCTGATGCTCAATAAATGCGTGCTGAGCAAACTCACAAGGCTGGGGTGTTCAGGTCTGATCATGTGCGTGTGCGCAGGTGGCTGCACTTACAGAGAGACGCCTGAAGAGGGCAGCACACTGGGGCGCTAACTTGGAGAGTGAGGCCGCGTGATTTGTTAGAGGAGGAAGCCGGAGGGCGGAGGGAGGGCCAGCCCCTCCCCCTCAACTCGGGCTCCAGACGTAGTTTGAGTCCCCTGTGCCCCCACTTTGCTGGGTGACCTTGGGCTTTGGGGTTGGTTCCAGGAGCCACTCAGCCAGGCCAGCCCGCCTGGCGGACGCCATTCCCAGGAGATGACCAGGCCCTGGACAGCCGACACTTGGAAGACTGCCACGTCCTGCCTCCGCAGGAGCCGCAGCTCCCCGGGGCTGCAGGGAAGTGGTGGCTGGGCTGGGGGGGTGGGGGGTGAGCCCGCGGGGACTCCAGGCTCCAGGTGCCCACACCATCCCGGGGGTGGGCAGTCAGGGCCAAGAACGCACAGTAAACCCCCAGCACACACAAGCGCACACACGCACATGCTGACAGCACTCGCATTTTTAAGATGGGGAAATAGAGGCTCAGAGGGGGCATGCGCGTTCCTGCCCCTCAGGATCACCAGCCTGCCCCCAGGAGAAAAGGGAAGGGAACAAGGCTGATGGCTGGTTCCACCAACTGGGCGCCCGGGCTCAGGGTGAATGTGGGGGGCTGTGACCCCTGAGACGTTGGATCTGCCTCCCTGGTATGGTTTGGATGTTTGTCCTCTCCGAATCTCTCACTGAAACGTGACTCCCAGTGTTAGAAGTGGGGCCTGGTGGGGGGTGTTTGGGTCATGGGACAGACCCTCATCAGTGGCTCTTTGCAGTAATGACTGAGGTCTGGTTGTTGAAAAGAGCCTGGCACCTCCCTCCCCGACTTGCCCCCGTCTCGCCATGTGATGCGCCGGATCCCCTTCCCCGTTTACCATGCGTAAAAGCTTCCTGAGGCCTCACCAGAGGCACATGCCGGTGCCATGCTTCCTACACAGCCTGTAGAACACCAAGTCAAATAAACGCCTTTTCTTTATAAATTACCCAGCCTCACGTGTTCCTTTATCACAACACTAAATGGACGAACACACCCCTAGAGCCGCCTTCCTGACCATAGGCTCCTATTCCTTGCGGGTGCCTCCAGGCTCAGGGGAGCTCGCCACCCTGCAGGGCTAGCAGCAGACGTGCTGATCCCACACAGTGAACAGCTTGAGCTTGTTTCAAAACAGGCCGGCTGAACACATGGGAGTCACAGGGACCCGGCAGAGCCTGGAAGGCATCAGGTGGGTGGGAATGCTTTTCCCCCAGCAGGAGCCCTCATGGGCTCCTGGCCCAGCCTGTCTGAGTCTGCCTTTGTCTGCTTCTTTGGGACCCCCTGACTCCAAGCCCCATCAAGCTTGCATCTCCACACCCAGCCCCAGTGTTAGCTATCGACCCAGGCCTGTATTTCTTTGTCCTTTATTTTTATTTTTATTTTTATTTTTTGAGACAGAGTCTTACTCCATCACCCAGGCTGGAGTGCAGTGGCACAATCTCGGCTCACTGCAGCCTCTGCCTCCCGGGTTCAAATGATTCTCATGTCTCAACCTCCCGAGTAGCTGAGATTACAGGCGTGCGCCACCATGCCTGGCTGATTTTTGTATTTTTAGTAGAGACGGGGTTTCAGCATGTTGGCCAGGCTGGTCTCAAACTCCTGACCTCAAGTGATCCACCCGCCTTGGCCTCCCGAACTGCTGGGATTACAGGCGTGAGCCACCACACCTGGCCTTCATCCTTTAGGAGATCATGAGAGGCCACTCTGCCCTCCTCTGGGGCCACCCCTTCCTTCATCCCTTCCTCCCGGCTGGACTCTTTACCACCCCAGTGCTAGCTCCGCTGGTGGCAGTAAGAGCTGGCATGGTAAGCGCCTCCTCCATTCCGGGCTCTGTGCCCACAGCAGCCCTGAGAGCTGGTACTGCTGGTGGTCCCCCCGCACACCTCCATGCCTGGGCCCAACCATTTCTCTGTGTCCCCTCATCAGCCCCTACCCGTACAGTCCCAGAGGCCATCATCTCCCTCCTGACTCCCCACGGGCCTCCCTGCCACCACGCTCTCCCCCAACAGTTCTTTCTCCTCACAGCACTCAGAGTCATCTGCTAAAAATGGAGTCCAATTACATCTCTCCCCTGCTCAAGACCCTCCATGGCTCCCTATTGCTCTGAGAGAAAACCCGACCTCCTTTCAGGCCCTCTGTGATCACTGGATGTGGGTGGAACTCCAGCCCCTGCCCTTCGCTCACTCTGCTCCAGCCACGTCACCTCCTCCGGGCTCCTACATGCCCCAATCACATTCCCACCTCAGGGTCTTTGCAAATGCTATTCCCTCTGCCTAGAAGCCTCTCTTCCCAGGTCCTCCTCATTCCTGGGCACCTGGGAAGCCTCCACCTCCTAGTTCAGATCTTTGCTGCAAGGCCACCTCCTCAGAGAGCCCTTTCCTGACCACCTTGGTTCATTCTGTATTAACATGTTTTCTTGTTCACTCACAAAGACTGAAACCCACGACAGCAGCAACTTTGTTTTTTTTCCCATTTGGTTTCCCCAGCCCCTAGAGCATCCTGGCACATGGCACCTAATCAATAAATATTCCTTGAATTAATGCATCTAGATTCTACCAAGGCCTAAGAGTAGGAAGGACAGAGACTAACTAGGAGCCTGACCCTGTCTACCCCCACCCCCATTCCTGCTGCTACTTTCCAGCCTGGATTCCTCAATCACTCCAGGGTGGCCCTTTAGGATTGGATTCTGTGCTGCCCAGAGGCTGCCACACCACAGCTGAGGGCCGCCCTAATACAATGCCAGATGTTCCCCAGCACGGCCACCCTGCCTCCATGCCAGGGACTATTCTAATTGCTTTAAATATACCAACTTGTTTCTTCCGTGCAATAGCCTATTTTACATGTGAAGAAACAGGCACAGAGAAGGTAAGTGACTTGCCCAAGCTCACACAGCCAGGAAGTGGCAGAACTAGCATTTGAGCCCAGGCAGCCTGGCCTCAGGGTGCATCTTCCCAACTATATCACATAGAGTGGGACCCTGTGCGGAGCACATCCTGGACACCCGCCCTGGGCGTTTCAGCACTCTCCTGCCCTCAATCTCTTGCCACATCACCACCCTGGACATCGCCCTCTCCTGATGAAGAACCTATGATGGCTCCTATACTCGTAGAAGCCTGGACCTTCAGCCTGGCATTGAGGCCTTGCACAGCTGGCCTGATCCTGCTTTCCCAACACACCCCACTGCTCTGGGCTGCACCCTGGGGTGCCCAGACCACCGCCTGTGTCCGGAAGGCCTCTGCCCGGACTGCTCCCTCTGCAGGGATGCCATTCCTCCACCCTCACTCCGTGAGCCCGTCCCGGGCCCCAAGGCTCAGCTCAAATGCTGCCCAACCCCGCCCACCCTCCTCTGCACACACCCCCAAGGGCCAGAGCTCACTTCACAGACACAGAGAACTCCCCTGGGGAGCTCTCACTCTCCCGGATCAGGAAGGCTCCCAGATGGTTCCGCTTCATCAGAATCTCTTCGGCCAGCTGCCGGGAAATCCTGCCCGAGTACCACCTGCGGAGAGAGGGAGCCGGTGAAGGCAGTGTGAGACCAGGCTCTCAGCCAGCCTCCCACCCCGTGCCAGGTGTTCAAGGTCTGAGACAAGGGAGATGTGATTGCACCCATTTTACAGATGGGAAAACTGAGGCACAGAGAGGTGAAGCAATACACCCACAATCACACAGCAGAGGCAGGCAGGAGCTGGAACACAATCCCAGCATTTTAGCTCCTGAGGCCAGCCTCTCCTACCATGCCAGCAAACACATACCCTTATGGAAACAGAAAAGTCACACTCCAGTGAGCCACACCCCAGCCAACCTCAGTCTAACTTTCCCTTTGAGATGGTAGATTCTTTAAAGTCAAAAAATAAATCAGGCTCGGTGGTGCGTGACCGTAGTTCAGCTACTCGGGAGGCTGAGATGGGAGGATCACTTGAGGCCAAGACTTTGAGACCAGCCTGGGGAATAGAGAACCTCCCACCCCCATTCCTTAAAAAAATACTTCTGGCCGGGTGCGGTGGCTCCCGCCTGTAATCCCAGCACTTTAGGAGGCCGAGGCGGGAGGATCACGAGGTCAGAAGATCAAGACCATCCTGGCTAACACGGTGAAACCCCATCTCTACTAAAAATACAAAAAAATTAGCCGAGCGTGGCGGCATGCACCTGTAGTCCCAGCTGCTGGGGAGGCTGAGGCAGGAGAATGGCATGAACCCAGGAGGCGGTGCTTGCAGTGAGCCGAGATCGCACCACTGTCCTCCAGCCTGGGTGACAGAGCAAGACTCCGTCTCAAAAACAAACAAACAAACACTTTTTTTAAAAAATAGAGTCTTGTTCTGCCGTCCAGGTTGGAGTGCGGTGGCATGATCTCAGCTCACTGCAACCTCCGCCTCCTGGGTTCAAGTGATTCTCCTGTCTCAGCCTCCCGAGTAGCTGGGACTACAGGTGTGTGCCACCGCCCCGGCTAATATACATATATACATATTTTTTTGTATTTTTAGTAGAGACAGGGTTTCACCATGTTAGCCAGGATGGTTTTGATCTCCTGACCTCGTGATCCGCCCACCGCAGCCTCCCAAAGTACTGGGATTACAGGCGTGAGCCACCGCACCCGGCAAAAAAAAAAAAACTTCTTAAGTCGAAAATATAAAAACATGACAAAAATAATAGTAGCTTTGATATGGTGAGGAAATATCCATTCCACAGTCTCAGGCCACCTGAATTTTTTTCACAGGCACAAGTTCCTTTTGCTGCTGACCAAACAGAACTGGGTATGCAGAAGTTGCCTGGTAAATGCTTAGACTCTTGCAAGATCCCCAGGGTCTGGGAGTGAAACTCCTTTTCCAGTCCTGCTTATCTTGCTGTGTGGCTCCTGGTAGCTCCTGGTAGCCCCCGGCCTCTTCAGGAATTTGCCACTGCTATAGGCTGACTTTCTGTCCCCCAAAATTCAAATATTGAAACCTAATCCCCCATGTGACAGCAGTAAAAGGTGGGGTCATTGGGAGGTGATTAGCAGTCCCCATGAATGGGATTGGTGCCCTTATGAAAGAGACCCCAGAGAGCTCACTTGTCTCTCTGCCATGTGAGGACACAGCTAAAAGACACAGCCGTCTGTGAACCAGGAAGTAGCCTCATCAGACGTGAATTTGCCGGCACCTTGATCTTGAACTTCAGACTCCAGAACAGTGAGCAACAAATGTCTGTTGTTCATAAGCTACCCAGTGGATGGCATTCCGTGACAGCAGCCTGCAGGACTAGAACACCCACCATCGGAGGGGCTGTGTGGTCTCTGACTGGCTTTCCTAACTCCAGTGTTTTAGCCCAGCTTTGGCTCTGACCCCTTTATTGTTCGGATGGGGAAACTGAGGCCCAGAGCAGCCACAGGTCTCGTGGTGGCACCATGACAGAATGTTCCCCTTCACTCCTTCCATAAATGCTCCTCTCCCTGAGTCAGACTGAGCTCGGCACAGGTGGTGGAAGCCAGGCGGGGCTTTTCCTGTTGTTTCGGATGTTGATGAGCCCTCGGGGCTGAGTGCAGAAGGCGTGCGGTGCTGCACATGCCGCTAGTGTCCTGGCCATGTCCCGGCGCCGGCCTTGGCAGGATGAAGGCTGCTCAGTACAGACCTCGGGGCCTTTTTTCTGGTGATTGACATATTTGGCCTGGGTTCAGGGCAGGCTGAGGCTCCCAGGAACAGTCTGACTCCCAGTGGTGACTGATGGAGCAGAGGGGTAGACGCCCCAGCGCCTGGCCTTCCGGAGGCATGACTCCTAGGTGCGCATTCTGTACTGTCTCCAGCTGGCCCTGGTCCCCAGCCAGATGGAGCTCCGGTTACCCCCAGCAGCGATGACGCCAACAGTTTGCCCCACTGGCTCCCCCACTTCCCTGTCCTCTTCTCCACTGTTATATAAATTCCTTGTTATCAGGCTCGTGTCTCAGGGACGGCTTCCGGAGAAACCCGAACTCCTAGACATGAGATTCTAGACCACTGCTGCCCCCAAACGAATGGGGGCCCCTCGGCCCCTGTCCCAGCGAGTTTCCTTCTGGGAGGGGACGTGGGGAAGGTAGCCGCTGGGTATAGGGCTCAGGGCAACCATCCGGAGAGCTCAGCCTGGGTCTTCTGGGGTTTGGAGACCTGAAGGCAGGTGCCCAGCCAGCCTGGGTGTCTCAAGGCCAGAGGTGAATGCCACAGGCTGCAGCAGGAGGGGAGCGTAGGGGGCCCAGGGTTGGGGTTACCAGGCAGGGGAGCTGCAGAGAGCTTCTCCACCAGGAAGCCCCCAGCTCCGTCCCGCAACAGTGCCCAGCGTGGCCCAGGGCGGGAGTTTCCTGAGGGGGCAGGTTTCTTCGAAGAACCCACAAAACTCCTCAGGCGGCATCAGTGTGTGGGTGGCTGTTGCCCTCAGAGAGCATCGCAATCACACCCTCCCAGGAGTTCCCACGTCCCCTGCCAGCCCTGCCCCCACCATGGCTTGACGGATGGAGGCAAGAAGAAAGCACTTCCTGAAACTCCAGGGCCCGGCTCCTTCCCCCACACCAGTGTCACTCCATTTGTGGCCATCTCGCATCATTCCTGTTTTACTGATGTGGAAACCGAGGCCCAGATAGGGGCAGAGACGCCCCCACACCCCACCAGATTGCATAGCAAGTGCATGGCCTGGGACTCTCCCAGTCCCACAGCTGTTCTTATGAGCTTCCCCGCTGTCCTCCAGGGTGTCCCAGCCCAGGGCCATGCCACACGGCTGCAGTCCCGCTCCACCTCGTGCCAGCTGTGAGATCCTGGGGGGGCACTCAACCTCTCTGTGCCTCTGTCTGCTAATCTCAAAGATGGCGATGGTGGTGCTCAGCTCTCAGGGCCTTGGGAGGATGCATGAGCTGCTCGTACGCGGGTGTTTGCTGCTCCCCCCACACATCCCCCTGCCAGGCTTGTCTCTGCCTTCCCTGGCAGACATCTACTTGAACTTCCAGGCCCAGCGGGCCACACCCTTCCTCTAGGAAGCCATCCCTGACTCCCATGGGCCGTGAGGCTGGGTCACTTGCCGCTGTGGCCCCTGCTGATGGGGCTGGCTCTGGAGCACTTGGCGTACATTGTGCCTCCCCCGGGGGCTCCTGGGGTTGGCAGGGGTGAGAGGGGGTGCCCAGGGAAGGAGTGGGCCTGGCATAGGCACGAGGCCTACCTCTGAATTTCTGAGGCCCCAGCCCTCCCTCTGACCCCACACCTGAGGCCTTTATGGGCTAAGTCAGGTATGGAGCTGGAGTTTCCCCATAGTTATTTTGGGGAGCAAGGCAGGTGCTGAGGTTAGTCGAGGACACACCTGGGCATCACTTCAGGCAGGTTACTCGGGGGCTTGACCCCATCCCTGCTGTGTCCCAGACACAAATGGCCAGAGATGACCCCAGAGGCATGGGAGGCTGAAACCCTCCATGGCTCCCAACTGCCCTGCTAGAGTCTTGCCTCGACCACTGGCATCCCCTCGACAGGCCTGGCCCGGCACTGCGGTCTTTTGTCATCTTTTCTCCCCTGCCTGAGCAAATGCGACCCTCTCAGCAGCTGTAGGCCAGCCAGCCTTCCAGCCATTGCCAGGCCATTTCCTCCACCTGAAGGCCCCTCCCTGACAGCTTGGCCCAGGGGGATTGCTCCCGTTCATGCCCTCTGGCATGTCTGGATGGTCCCATTGGCTTACAGGGGCCTGGGGCACTGGCTCCAGCTTGTGGCCCTGGGTCGGATTCTCTCGTCTCTCTCCCTCTTCGCACACCCCCCTCCCTCTCCCCCTTAATTGACAGAAAGATCACAGAAACCTGCCCAATGTCACACAACCACGCGGGACATAGTGGGGCCTGGAACCCAGGCTGCCGCCCCAGATGCCGACTGGAAGCTGCAGCCTCTGTGGGGGAGGCTGGGAGTGCCTGCAGCCCGGGCAGGTGGCTGAGGACCTGGGTCGGAGGGGGCCTCGCCCAGCACAGGAAGCTGGAGGTGGTGGCAGCTTTGGAACTAACTTAAAGAGAGATAAAGAGGAAATACCTCTCATGCCCCACCCTGGCCCTGCACCTCCTTCCCTTCCCACCGCACAGCCACACACACATCTCAGCTCCCAAACTGTCCCGCCAGCCTGCTTGGCCCTGTCACCTGTCTCCATATCTGACTGAGTCCTACCATAACACCTCCATGGCTCCCCACATGGCTTGGCATTTGGGGGCCTCCTGCCAGTCCCACATGCCACAAGTTCTCTCTCATTGCTCTCCCTTTGCTCATCCTGACCCTCTCCCAGGGATGCCTTTCTCTTTTTCTACTTAACCAACTCCTACACATCCTTCAAAACCTCACTCATTGCCACCTCTTCTGAGAAGCCTTCCCTGAGAAATCACCTTAATGCTCACTGTCTTCCCATGTAGTATGTCCTTCATGTCCTCTTTCTCCCCCAGAACACAGCTGCTCTGACCCCTTGTGTCTCCAGCATCACCCGGGCTGGACCCCCTGGAATTGTGGCCAGTGTTTAGTGAATGACTAAGTGGCTGTATCTTGGGGCTGCCTCAGCTGCCATTTAAAGCATATCCAGTTGGTTTGCATAGATTTCTTGGGCCCCATGCCTGTTCTGAGGCTGGGCCCTGCCCCAGTCATTCTCAGGGCAGCAGTGTTGGCTGCCACCTGCCCAGAGCCCAACCTGGGACATCCCTAGGCTGGTAGGTCCCAGGCCCCAGGATAGCTGGGCCCCAGGCCCAGTTCTTGCTCCACCCTGGTACCAGACTCTGCTCTGCCAATGTCCAACTCCCCCCCAGACTCCAAAGGCAGGGCCTACAGGGTCTGCTTCCCGCCCAGCCCTCTCCCAGCCACAACCCAGGGCCGGGCCAGCTCTCAGCAAGAGCTCTAGAACCCTCCACCCTGAACAGATTGGAGCATCTGCCCTCCTTGAGTTATAGATAGGAAAACTGAGGAACAGAGGGCAGGGACCTGCCTGAGGCCACACAGCAGCCAGTGGCGCAGCCAGCTGAAAGCCCAGGGCCTTGTCCTCTCTCGGGGACCTCCTGGACATTCTCCAGTGGCTCACGTCCTCAGTGTGGAAGCCTGGGCTTGCCCTGACTCTGTCCCCACTCTGGGGAAGTCCTCAGAACTCAGTCTCCTATGCCTGCCCAGGCTGGTGGCCTCTGTGGAGCCTGGGGGCCCCAGACAGATGGACAGAGGCCCAGGAGTGAGGGGGTCCCATGGCCAGGAGAGATAGAGCCACGGGGATGGGATGGGGCTGTCCACTCACGGATGGGGCTTGACGCGGATGTAGTTCTTGGGAATAAATCCCTCGACACCCCGGAGCTCGGCCTTGTACCAGTTCTGGTCATCCTCCATGTTCAGGATCTGTGGGCAGGAGACACAAAGCCACTCAGTCACCGAGAAGGAACAACTGTCACCCCCGGAGGCCCCACTGCACGCCAGGCCCCAGGTGGGCCTCGCCTGCACCAGCTTCTGTGCCTACTCACAGAGCAGGGCTGGGGGCCTGGGACAGGACTTGCCCATGGTCCCAAGGGCTGAATTAGAAGCCCTCGTTCCTCAGTGCTGCCCATCCCCTGGCCCCAGGACAGCCCATCCTCAGGTGATTCACAGACTCCAAGGGAGGCACAGTCGGGGACTCGTAGGAGGCTTGGGGTGGCTGGAGCTGGATTCTCAGGCTCCGACACCAGGAGCCCTGCGGACCATGGGGTTTGCAGGAGCAGAACTGGGGACCTGAGTTCCTTCCTGGGTTGTGCCCCCGAGTTTGGGGGGCCCACAGCACTTACATGCCACGCACTGAGCCTTGGGGTGAAGGTCGGGGGACCCGGCCTGAGCACAGCCACCAGTGGTCACCTAGGGTCCCTCGCATTTAGACAGCTCAGGGGTGACAATTCAGTGGGGGGACGTCAGGCTCTGGGGAGCAGATAAGGGGGCCTTTGGTCTGAGACAGACTGGTTCTCAGCCCTGGCATGGCCTGCTCGGTCACACGGGCTCCTCTTCCGAGCCTGTGAGGCCCCCATCACACCACAGGTGGGCCCGGAGGAACTGAAATAGCCAGAGCCGGGGTGGGAGTCCCTGAGGGGGAGCAACCAAGCGACCAAGGCGGGGGGCGGGGCCGGGCCTGGGAGGGGCACAGCATGAGGCCGGGGGTCCTGCCTCCATTCCCTGGGCACGCCTTCCGTCTGTCCCCCTGATTCTCATATAGCCCCCAAGGTCAACATCACCAAATGCTATTTTACAAATAACAAAACTGAGGCCCACAGGGGAAGTGACTTGGCCAAGGCCACGCAGCAGGGGAGAGGCAGAGCCTGTTTGGTCAGTCAGGACTCTGAGGCCTGGAGTTTTTGGCTCACTGGTCAAGGGGGTCCTGGCCCACCAATTTTTGCCTCCAGTCCTCTTTGTCACTGGACTCCAGCTTGAGGGGACATCTCTCCTGTGAGGGGACATCTCTCCTGTCAGTCCTGGAGCAGGTTCCAATGTCAGCTCAATCCTTCAGGGGTACTTGAGAGAAAAAATTGGGCACGGGGTACCAAAGGCCCAGGGCGGGCCAATACAGGGGCATCAACTCCAGCAGTGATATTTTGCCAAGAGTAGCTGGGATTGGCCTCCTAGGGCCCAGGCCTGAGGCCCCACCCTCACAGGTGGCCTCTGCACCCCCATCTCCACCCCCGCTTTGTCCACCAGGCCAGGCTGGCTGAGCCTCTTCCTTCCTGCCCCTGCAGCCTGGGCCAGGTCAGCAGACCCAGGGGTGAACGGAAGCAGGTGGCTGACTCAGGAAAACTTTCGCTCAACACAAAACAAAACAGGCCGGGCGCAGTGGTTCACGCCTGTAATCCCAGCACTTTGGGAGGCTGAAGAGGGTGGACCACCTGAGGTCAGGAGTTCAAGACTAGCCTGGCCAACATGGCGAAACCCCGTCTCTACTAAAAATACAAAAAAATTAGCCAAGTATGGTGGCATACTCTCATAATCCCCAACTTTCTCAGGAGGCTGAGGCAGGAGAATCACTTGAACCCGGGAGCTGGAGGCTGCAGTGAGCCGAGATCGCGCCATTGCACTCCAGCCTGGGCAACAGAGTGAGACTCCGTCTCAAAAAAACAAAACAACTCCCCCAACCTAAGGAGAAAATGAGGGCCTGTAGGCCACATACCACAGCCATGGATTCCAGGAGGATGCCCTGAAGCCTGGGGCTCCAGAACATTCTGTCTGCTTCTGACTCTCTCTGTGGCCTTGGCCTCAGTGTCCTCCCTCGTCTGTCCAATGGGTGCATTTATGGCCTGCCCTGCATGCAGCAGTGCGGACACTGGGTGGAATACGTCTCATGCAGTCCCTGCTTCGTTTTGTCTCTTTGTCATCTGCACTCAGAGGACTCAGGAATGTCCCATTGGTTACATTAGCTAATTTCTTTTTCTTTTTTCTTTTTTTTTTTCTTTTTGAGATGGAGTCTCACTCTGTCACCAGGCTGGAGTGCAGTGGCGCAATCTCAGCTCACTGCAACCTCTGCCTCCTGGGTTCAAGCGATTCTCCTGCCTCAGCCTCCCGAGTAGCTGGGACTACAGGTGTGTGCCACCACGCCCAGCTAAATTTTTGTATTTTTAGTAGAGATGGGGTTTCACCATGTTGGCCAGGCTGGTCTCGATCTCTTGACCTCACGTTAACTGATTTCTTACTGTGAACATTGTTTGAAAGCCCCAGACCCTCTGAGACCCGGGAATTCTCACAAGGGAGAGAGGCCAACTCCTCCCTGGAGGAGTATCACTGCTCAAGGTGAGAGGCAGAACTTGGCCTGCCCCTGAGCCTTTGCCCACATGGTGCCCTCCACCCAGGCTGCCGCCCCACTTTACCATCCCAGCCCGATGCAGTTGCTGCTTGATAGTTGTTTACTGAGCACCTACTGTGTGCCAGGCACCCCACGACAGAGCAGGGAACAAGAAGCTCACATTCTAGTAGGCAGAGACAGACCATAAACAAGGGAAGAAACAAATAAGCAAGGTAGTTTAATGGAGCAGTAAGCGCTGTGAAAAATGGACATCAGGTGACAGATGGAGAATGTCTGGTTGGGTGGGAGCAGGGAGATTGTCAACACGGGACAGGTGGGGTGGTCCAGAAAGGCCTCTCTGAAGAAGTGACATGGAAGCTGAGACCCGAATTACAAGAAGGAACCAGCGGTAAGAAAATGTGGGGAACAGTGTCCAAGACGGACGGAACAGCCAGTGCCAAGGCTCTGAGGTGGGGCCAAGCTCTGTCCCTGAAACAGAAAGGAGGCCAGGGTGTCTGGAGCTGAGGGAGGGAGGAGCAGATGTCATAAGATGTACGGGGGAGGACCAGGCTCTGAGTCATGGCCACTGCATGGAGACTGGGCTGGGGAGCAGGGATTGTTGCGGGGAGGCCTTGGGAGCCACCACGCAAGCCCAGGTAAGTGACAATGGAGGCCTGGGCTGGAGGAGGGGCTTCGGGTAGGTTTTGCCAGAGTTGCCGACAAGACAATGACAGGCAGCAGAAAGTAGGTTCAGGGAGCCCAGGGCTGGCTGTGTTGGGTCTGGACCGTCGCCCTTTCCCATGGAGATGTCAAGGTGACATGGGCTTCCTGAGTCTGGGTCTCATCATCCAGGCTGCTCGTGCAGAGATGGGAGTGAAGCCACTAACCACATGCCCCTCCAGCTGGCAACAGCATGGGGGTGCGTGCACCCAGAAACGCCTGGCCTATCAGGGAGGGAGGCTTTGTCCCAGGGAGGTGATGTTTGGGGCCATTTGTCCAGGGTGAGTCCATGAGCCAGAGTTTTCATCCAAGACCAAAGTTCAGATTTCAAGAACGGGCTTCATCGCCCACTCTCCCAGGCTGGACTCAATCTGTAGGCAGGCAGTGCCATGGCAGGGGCTGGCCCACAGGGAGCACTGGAAAATACTTGCTAGACGAGAGGACAGGATGGTCGCGGAGCTCAGCTTCCACCCCAGCCACTTGATCCCTCCAAGCCTGGCTCAACGCCTCCCGCGCACCCCATTCCTATTTCATCACTGCCCCACTCCCTCCCAACACCACACTTGGGTCTAGAGACCTCGAAGTGCTCTCAGATGAGAAACCAAGACTTGGATCCCCGCAGAGGGTCATGCCTTGGGCTCACAGCCCCAGTGCTCAGCCTGGCCCTGTCCCCATCTGGCCACATGTCCACGAGGCCGACAGCCAGCACTGCAGTGACCCCAGGTGCCAGCACCAGCACCCCAGCATAGAGAAGGAGGAATTGCTCCTCCTCCTCTGGACCCCAACCCCCAGCCCAGCCTGTTCAGACCAAGCGCAAGTTCCACAGCCAAAGGGACACGGGTTCAAAACTGACTCCATACCGAGCAGGTCATGTTGCCTCCCTGTGCCTCAGTTTAGTCACCTGTGAAATGGGGGTGCCAGTCCCCATTGCTTAAATGGTACATGAGGTGTGCTGCTGAGTTCGGGGCCTGGCTATAGCAGGGTGATGGCACAGGGAGCTCTCCCGTCTTGTGCTTGAAGCTTGTGGCCAAGGGCAGCGCCCAGGGCTCAGCGCAGAGGAGCATCCAGTCTAACACCCATTGCTCCAGTGGGGAAACTGAGGCCCAGGGAAGGGCAGTCACTTCCCTAGTGTGGTTTACTGGCAGTTCCAGTGCACACGTCTTGGCATGGCCACTCCCAGAATCCTGGGCATGGCTTTCATATGCAAACTTTTAAGCAAGGACATTTCCAGAGACACATTCCACAGGCCCAACTGTCTAGACCGTCTTGGAAGGCTGCAACATCTGTCAAAAGCGGCCCAGACAAGGAGAAATGAACGGTGGTATGACTCTATTTTCCCTTTTC
This sequence comes from Homo sapiens, assembly GCF_000001405.40. Taxonomy (NCBI): domain Eukaryota; kingdom Metazoa; phylum Chordata; class Mammalia; order Primates; family Hominidae; genus Homo; species Homo sapiens. Next base: position 19,128,185 of record NC_000017.11, on the reverse strand, counting down.
TCCACACTACTGGGAAGCTCATCCTTGACACTTTCATCTTAGCTATTTTAGCCCTACTAGGTTAGCATGTGTACTTATTTCTTTCCTAAGACCTTCTCTCTCTCCCTCTTTCTCGCTCTGTTCTCCATTCCCATACTCTGTCTCTCTCTCTAGCTCTCATTCTCTCCCTCTCTCAACAATTTTCTTTTCAAACTTTTTCCTGGAAAACTGGGGGTTGAACTAACTCCTGCCAGACACTGTGGTAATATCTCATCGAATCCTCACAACAGCCCCAAAGGAGGGTCATTAGTTATCTCCCCATTTCCTAGATGGAGAATCTGAGGCTCCGAGGGAAAAGGTGGCTTGTCCAGAGTCACACAGCCAATAACTGGAGAGGCTGGGCCTGTCTTCCAGGGGCCACAGTCTGCTTGGGACAGTCCCAGGTCCCTGGTTCCTAAATCCACCCCCACCCCGTGTGGGGCCAACTCAGCAGGCTCCAGCCCCCCTACCTTGAGTGTGTCTCCCTTGTTGAAGGCCAGCTCGTCGCTCTCTGTAGCCTGAAAGCTGTACAGGGCCACGGACTCCATGCCGCTGCTCGGGGCTCCAGCAGCTGGGCTCAGAGCTGGGCCGACAGCTTCCTGCTTCCTCTGCAGTCGAGGACGGTCTTCCTTTGTTTTGAGTGCGCGTTTGTTCTTTTGAAGTTGAGACTGAAACTGCTCCTGATGGGGGAGAAACAGGAAACAGACATGTCACAGAGCAGGGAGGGCTTGTGAGCCAGCTCTGTCCCTACCTCAGACCCCAGGTGCCAGGAATGGCCCTTGGGGAGTCTCCCTGAAGCTCTGGGAGTGGGGCCCCCTTGTGCCCATGTTTTATCATCCGTAAAAGTGAGGTGCCTGGAGGAGAAGTGCCAAAGCTGTCCTGCTGGCTCAGGCACTGAGTCTCATGGCACCAGATGCTGGCCTCCCTTCACCAATCTGCCAATGACTCTCCATCTTTTCCTAAACCCTGATGCCTCTTGTGATGCCCTGCCTCCTGCTCCTTCAATCCCAAGCTCCTCACCTGGCATTCAAGGCCCTTGCAATCCACCACCTCCACCTGCCCCTACAAACAGCCCCCATTCTCATCCTTTGTCATCCCCTTCACTCTAAACAAACCCAGGGCTTCAGCCACAGCAAGGGGCCACACCAAACTCTCATTTCAACCCCAGACTTTTGCACACGTGGTTCCTCTGCCTGGTGTTCTCCTCTTTCTGCTCCCAGGAGACTCCTATTCATCCATCAAAGACCAGCTCAGAAGGTACCTCTTCTGGTTTAGACACTGGGCACCTTAGGTGGGACTTAAATCCTAAGGTCAACAAGACTTGTAGGTCGGTCGCGATGGCTCATGCCTATAATCCCAGCACTTTGAGAGGCCAAGATGGGCGGATCACTGGAGGTCAGGAGTTCGAGATCAGCCTGGCCAACATGGTGAAGCCTCATCTCTAATAAAAATACAAAAAATTAGCCTGGCATGGTGGCATGTGCCTGTAATCCCAGCTACTGGGAAGGCTGAGGCACAAGAATCGCTTGAACCCGGGAGGCAGAGGCTGCAGTGAGCCAAGGATCCATCCAGGCTCCAAGCAATCCTCCCACCTCAGCCTCCAGAGTAGCTCGGACTACAGGTGCCCACCACCATGTCTGGCTAATTATTTGTATTTTTAGTAGAGATGGGTTTTCACCATGTTACCAAGGCTGGTCTTGAATTCCTGGACTCAAGCGATCCTCCTGCCTGAGATTGCGCCATTGCACTCCAGCCTGGGTGACAGAGCGAGTCTCCTTCTCAAAAAAAAAAAAAAAAAAAAAAGAGAATTGTAAATAAATCTCTACCTTTCCTTAGTGGGTTTGTTATGAGCAGTGTTATCGGTGTAGCAATTCTGAAACTGTTTTGCAAGTGTTGCAGGATAGCGCACAAATGGACAAGCACAGCTGTATTGTTTGGAACCAGGGTTCTCCCTGGGAAAGAAGGGAGACACAGACGTGGAAGGAAAACCAGGCAGAGCCCTGTGGTGTTGCATGGACACTGGATGAATCAGTGTGAAGTCACATTGTTTTTTTTCTGTAAAGAAGTTTTTCTTCCTTCATTTATATTAATATGGACTCATGGTTTCATATTTTAGCCAGTGGATTATAATCCATTACTATTACATTTATTTTGATGCTTAAAATGCCCCTGATTAGGCCAGTGGGGTCTCCTTCAAGCTGTCTCCTTATCCTTTTGACATGGACCCATCATTCTATGAACACACCCTGACCTTCTGGCCAATAATAGAAGAATCGCTTGAACCTGGGAGATGGAAGTTGCAGTGAGCCGAGATCGCACCATTGCACTCTAGCCTGGGTGACACATCAAGACTCCATCTCAAAAAAAAAAAAAAAAATAGTTGAGAGGGAAGAAGAGAAGATGACAGCTGCCCGCCGCCCACTCTGGAGTCCCTGAGCCAACCAGGCAGGATGGAGCTGGCCCTGGCCTCACCCAGCTCCATTCCAGGGCTTCTCCACGCTGCCCTCTACTCAAAGACCCCTGCCTTCTGGCTGCCCCCGACCCCAAGGGTGACAGGATGTTATAAGGCCCCTCTTTCCGGCTCTGTTGCAGTTGAGGTTTCAAAGCCTCAGAATGATGCAATGGAGGGGTTGGGATCGGCCCCCGCCTCAGTTCTGAGGTGCTTCTAGCCATATGAGGGGAGGAGGACTTCCCCTTATGAAGCTGAATGGGTGTCCCCTGGGGCGGTGGGACAGATGCCGGGTTTATTTTTATGTGTTTTAGAAGTATTTATTCTCTGCCAAGTCCTTTACAAAGAGGTAAGTGACCAATAGTTGGTAGGTGGCAGGGCTGGGGTTCAAACCCAGGCAGGCCTGAGGGCCAAACCATGCCTACAACTCCTTCGCCGCATGGCCTCAACCCGAAGGATTCCTGCCCAAGGTGGCTCGGGCCAGAGCTGGGAGCCTGGGCTGCCTACTGTACAGTGAGCTCAAGGAGTGCAGTGAGGTAAGCAGCAAAGCTTTGTTGGAGGGTAAATCTGCCCTGATTCCGGGAGACCAGAGAGGACCCCACAAATGGGACTTGACTGAGAGGACCCTTGAAGAATGCAGCACCCCAAATGAGGCAGACGCTGGGGCCTGGAACGAGGGGCCATCGGAAACTGGAGGCTTGGGCCAGGCGCGGTGGCTCATGCCTGTAATCCCAGCACTTTGGGAGGTCAAGGCAGGCAGATCACTTGAGGCCAGGAGTTCGAGACCAGCCTGACCAACATGGTGAAACCCTGTCTCTACCAAAAATACAAAATTAGGCTGGGCACGGTGGCTCACATCTGCAATCCCAGCACTTTGGGAGGCCGAGGCAGGTGGATCACCTGAGGTTAGGAGTTTGAGACCAGCCTGGCCAACATAGTGAAACCCCGTCTCTACTAAAAATAAAAAATTAGCTAGGCGTGGTGGCGAGTGCCTATAATCCCAGCTACTTGGGAGGCTGAGGCAGGAGAATCACTTGAACCCAGGAGACGGAAGTTGCAGTGAGCCAAGATCATGCCACTGCACTCCAGCCTGGGCGACAAGAGTGAAACTCCATCTCAAAAAATGTATATACAAAATTAGCCGGGAGTGGTGGCGCACGCCTGTAATCCCAGCTACTTGGGAAGCTGAGGCAGGAGAATTGCTTGAACCCAGGAGGCGGAGGTTGCAGTGAGCCGAGATCACCCCATTATACTCCAGCCTGGGCAACAAAAGAGAAACCCTATCTCAAAAAAAAAAAAAAAACAAAAAAACAACAAAATAAGGAGTTTTGGAAACCAAGGTTTTATTATGCAGATGAAGCCTCCAGGTAGCTGGCTTCAGAGAGAATATAGTGTAAATGTTTCTTATCAGACTGAAAGAGTCCGTTCTAACAGTAATTCCAAAAGCGAGGAGGTTATAACAAGGCATGTCCAGCTCCCCCTTCCCATCATATCCTGAACTCATTTTCAGGTTAACTTTGGAATGCCCTTGCCGAGAGAAGGAGTCCATTTGGATGGTTAAGGGGCTTAGGATTTTGGTTTTGGTTTATGGAGGTCCCTCAAAAGCTGCTCACAGGAGGAAAACTCATCACTGGCCACAGGCCACACCAGGCCAGGGCAGACCCAGCCACTGTCTCAGTGCTGAAACCCTAACCCCCTGTGATCAGCTGAGTAACAGCCCCGAAGACATCCAGGTCCTGATCTCAAGAACTTGGAACGTTCCCTTATATGACAAGAGGGACTTTGCCGGTGCGATTATGTTAAGGGTCGTGAGATTGGATGGAAACTGCAATTTCAATGCAGTTTGAGTTCTGTAATTAGTAGACTGGGCTAGACTACTGGACCCTGGAACACTCCAAACAGGCTGATTGGGGAACTTTTTATCATCAGAGATTGGCTGAAACACCTGAGAGAACTCCCTGAAAAAAAATTTTTTTGAGACAGAGTTTTGCTTTTGTTGCCTGAACTAGAGTGCAGTGGCATGATCTCAGCTCACTGCAACCTCCACCTCCCTGTGTCTACTTGAAATACAAAAATTGGCCAGGCATGGTGGCGCACGCCTGTAGTCCCAGCTACTTGGAAATAGAATCACTTGAACCTGGGAGGTGGAGATTGCAGTGAGCAGAGATCGTGCCACTGCACTCCAGCCTGGGTGACAGAGGGAGACTCTGTCTCAGAAAAAAAAAAAAAAAAAGAAAGAAAGAAAGAAAAGAAAATGAAGAAACAGGCCAGGCATGGTGGCTCACACCTGTAATCCCAGCACTTTGGGAAGCTGGAGCAGGAGGAATGCTTGAACCCAGGAGTTCAAGACCAGCCTGGACAACATAGTGAGAACCCATCTCTACAAAAATAAACAACAACAAAAATAGGCCAGGCATGGTGGCTCTCACCTGTAATCCCAGCTACTCAGGAGGCTGAGGTGGGAGGATCGTTTCGGTCCTGGATTTCAAGGTGATAGTGAGCTATGATCACACCATTGTACTCCTGCCTCTGAGGACAGAGCGAGACTTTGTCTGGAAAAAAAAAAAGAAAATGCAAATGAAGAAACATGGATTCATGAACATCTATGAATATTTGGTTTAAAAAGGTGAGGCCATGGTGTTTGCACTGAGATCATGGCCCCTCTTGCCCTTCCTCTCAGCTCAGTGAGGCTGAGACTCCACTCTGGACAGCTGCAGCCAAGAACATGGGGTCCCCTGCTGCCTCCAGACCAGGGAAACAGGGCTCCCTCTGCCCCCAGCTCCCAGTGGGAGGGCTTGCCTCCCACGAAGAACAGGACATCCATTTCCTATTCTACCCCCAGCCACCTGTTGCTGAGACTAAGTCCTGGATGAGTGTAGCCAAGAGTTGGGGGCCCCCTTCTTGCACCCAGCCCCACTCAAGGAACAGAGGCTCTGCCTTGGGTGCAGTGTGCTGCGAGTGCTGGGGTCCTGATCACTCCGGCCCTGGCTCATGTGGAAGTAGCTCGACAACAGGAGAGGCAAACTTTGAGGACCTCGGCCATTGTCCCCACTCCCACCAAGTCCTCAGCCCCTAGCGCAGGGTGTCACTCAGAGAGAAGCTTTCCAAAGTCTCCACCCCCAGCTCCAGGGCCCTGGCTCAGAGAGATTTTTGTCTAATGAAGAAACAGGCCATAAAAAAGAGACTTCCTAATCTCTTCCCAAAGCAACTGACCTCATTTGCTACAGAGAACGAAGGAATTCAAGGCAAAAGTTGCTTTTGTTTTGATTTTGGTTAGGTTTGTTTGAGAGTGCAGTGATGCGATCTCCGCTCACTGCAACCTCCGCCTCCTGGGTTCAAGCGATTCTCCTGCCTCGGCCTCCCGAGTAGCTGGGATTACAGGTGCCTACCACCACACCCAGCTAATTTTTTTTTTTTAAGTAGAGACGGGGTTTGCACCATGTTGACCAGGCTGGTCTCGAACTCCCGACCTCAGGTGATCCGCCCACCTCAGCCTCCCAAAGTGCTGGGATTACAGGCGTGAGCCACCGCACCCGGCCCAAAAGGTGCTTTTGAGAATAGTAGAGATTATGGTGAGAGATAATTAGGAGAAGATTCAAGACACAAGCTGAACTCTAGGCTGCTCGTTTACAGGAGAGAACAGGGAATAGCACCAGTAGAGGGAGCCCTCCTGAGGTCAGAACAAATAGCAGACATTGACCTCACACACTATTTCTTCCAAGGAGCCAAACTTGATAGGATCAGTGTGTAGTGCAGGGCATTATAGGAAATTATAAAGCAATCCATTGGCAACTTGCAGAGCTTATTTCAACCAAGCAAGGATTAGAAAAAGAAGGGCTGGGTGCAGTGGCTCATGCCTAAAATCCCAACACTTTGGGAGGCTGAGGTGGGTGGATCACTAGGTCAGGAGTTCAAGACCAGCCTGGCCAAGACGGTCAAACCCCGTCTCTACTAAAAAACAAAAAATACAATAATTAGCCGGGCGTGGTGGCAGGTGCCTGTAATCCCAACTACTTGGGAGGCTGAGTCAGAGGATTGCTTGAACCCGGGAGGCGGAGGTTGCAGTGAGCCGAGATTGTGCCACTGCACTCCAGCCTGGGCGACAGAGCGAGACTCCATCTCAAAAAAAAAAAAAAAAAGAGAAGAAAGAAAGAAAGAAAAAAGAAAAGAAAATTTGCATAGCTTAACAGCTGGATATGGTCAGGGAAAGAGGAAGAGAGCCTTCCAAAACCACTGTCATCCCAGAGTAACTGCAGGCATACTCAAAGCTGGGCCCCCTGAGAACGACCATAGAAGCTGAACATCGTACGGAAGAAATAGACTTCACTAAAACAATCCAGCCAGTCACTAAACAAATAAACAAGAAAATAATAACAAGCCCAGGTCAGGGGAGACTCATACCCAGAATTGCTACAATGTATTATTTAAATGTCCTGTTTCCAAAAAAAAAAAAAAAAATATGAAGCCTGCAAAAAATTTAATAAACAGGAAAGCATGACCCATAGATAGGGGGAAATGCAGGCAAAGGAAACTGCCTGTGAGAGGGCACATGTTGATTTATCAGAAAAAGACTTTAAAGTAGCCATTATACACACGTTCATAAAACCAAAGGAAACTGTGACTAAATAAATAAAGGAATGTATGATGATGGCGTTTCATCAAATAGAGAATACCGATAAAAAGATAGAAATTGCCAGGCACGGTGGTTCACGCCTGTAATCCCAGCACTTTGGGAGGCCGAGGCGGGTGGATCACGAGGTCAGGAGTTTGAGACCAGCCTGGCCAACATGGTGAAACCCTGTCTCTACTAAAGATTAAAAAAAAAAAAAATTAACTGGGTATGGTGGTGCATACCTATAATCCCAGCTACTCGGGAGGCTGAGACAGGAGAATCCCTTGAACCTGGGAGGTAGAGGTTGCGGTGAGCTGAGATTGCACCATTGCACTCCAACCTGGGCGACAGGGCAAGACTCCGAATTAAAAAAAAAAAAAATCGAAATTATAAAAAAAAAAAACAAATGGAAATTATGAAGTTGAAAAGTATAGTAACTAAAATAGCCGGGTGCAGTGGCTCACCCCTGTAATCCCAGCACTTTTGGAGGCCAGAGATGGTGAAACCCCATCTCTACTAAAAATACAAAATTAGCCAGGCATGGTGGCGGGCACCTGTAATCCCAGCTACTCGGGAGGCTGAGGCAGGAGAATCGCTTGAACCCGGGAGGCAGAGGTTACAGTGAGCCAAGATCACGCCACTGCACTCCAGCCTGGGCGACAAGAGTGAAACTCTGTCTCAAAAAAATAAAAAAAAAGAAAAGAAAGAAAAGAAAAGTATAGTAACTGAAATAAAACATTCATTAAAGGGATTCACCAGCTAATTTTGAAATTCATATGGAATTGCAAATGATCTACAACGGCCAAAAAAATCTTGATAAAGAAAAAAAAAAATGGCTGAGTGTGGCGGCTCGCGCCTGTAATCCCAGCACTTTGGAAAGCCCAGGCAGGAGAATCACTGGAGCCCAAGAAGTCAAGTCTGCAGTGAGCAGAGATCGCATCACTACACTCCAGGCTGGGCCACAGAGCAAGACCTTGTCTCAAAGAATAAAAACCAGAAACAACCAACAAACAAATAACAATAATTAAATAAAAATAAAAAACGCAGGGGTACGTTTTCATGCCTTGTATTTGTCAATGGAACCTTTGATATGATACTCAAAATACAAGCAATGAAATGATAAATTGTATTTTATCAAAATTAAAACTTTTGCTCATCAAAGGACACTTTCAAGAAAGTGAAAAGATAACCTACAGAATGGAAGAAAATATTTGTAAATAACAAATCTGGTGAAAGTTTCATATCCAGAATACACAAGAACTCATAGAATTCAATACTAGAACACAAACAACAATTTAAAACACAATTTAAAAATGGGCAAAGGATCCTAAAAGACTTTTCCTCAAATAAGGTATACAAATGGCTCACAGCTCCTGAAAGATGCTCAACCTCATTTGTCATTAGGGAAATGCAAGTCGAACCCACAATGACACACCCTTCACATCCCTAGGATGGCTATTAAGCCATGCCTGCTGTCTTGATGACCCCTGCCCCTGTCTGCCCCCCTGTCCTTGCTGGTGCCTGAGCTCCATTGGAGCGGACTCATTGCTGGCTCCCGGCACTACCAAGCTGGGACCTGGAATATCTTGGTGCCGCTAGAGTGAAAAGACTCATTAATCACGGTCAGTCAGATCCTTCCAGGGCTAAGAGACCAGCCAGGGTGGCCTCAGCTTCTCCCTAACTTTGGATCCTAAAAAGGAAGCCCTGGCTGGGCGTGGTGGCTCACGCCTGTAATCCCAGCACTTTGGGAGGCCGAGGCAGGAGGATCACCTGAGGTCAGGAGTTTGAGACCAGCCTGGCTAACATGATGAAATCCCATTTCTACTAAAAAAAAATACAAAAAATTAGCCAGGCATGGTGGCATGAACCTGTAATCTCAGCTACTTGGGAGGCTGAGGCGGGAGACTCACTTGAACCCGGGAGGCGGAGGTTGCGGTGAGCCGAGACTGTGCCACTGCACTCCAGCCTGGGCGACAGAGCAAGACTCCATCTCAAAAAAAAAAAAAAAAAGGAAGCCCTGAGTTCTACCCAGTTTGGCCCTTTGAGGGTGAGAGATCCCACTATTACCCAAGCCTGGCTGTTCTGGGTATGTAAGTTGGGGGACAGTGCGGATCACAGTTCAGGAACCACTCCCACAGCCCCAAGAGCCTCCCTAACCCCACCAAGTCCACCTTTGACCTCTTCTCTGAGCTCCAAATGCCTCTTGGGCGCCATCCCCTGGACGTTTCTCAGATGTATAACAGCCCAGATAAAACTCATCATTGCCGGGCGTGGTCGCTCACCCGGCACCCGTGACAAATAAAATGTTTTTTTAAAGTATCTATAGGCTGGGCATGGTGGCTCACGCCTGTAATCCCCGCACTTTGGGAGGCCAAGGTGGGCAGATCACGAGGTCAGGAGATCGAGACTATCCTGGCTAACATGGTAAAACCCCGTCTCTACTAAAAATACAAAAAGTTAGCCGGGCATGTTGGCACGCACCTGTGGTCCCAGCTACTTGGGAGGCTGAGGCAGGAGAATCGCTTGAACCCAGGAGGCGGAGGTTGCAGTGAACCGAGATCGTGCCACTGCACTCCAGCCTGGGCTACGTAGCAAGACTCCATCTAAAAAAACAAACAAAACACCACATTTTATTTGGGCCAGGCTTGGTGGCTCACGCCTGTAATCCCAGCACTTTGGGAGGCCAAGGCGGGCGGATCACCTGAGGTCGGGAGTTGGAGACCAGCCTCACCAACATGGAGAAACCCCATCTCTACTAAAAATACAAAATTAGCCAGGCATGGTGGCACATGCCTGTAATCCCAGCTACTCGGGAGGCTGAGGCAGGAGAATTGCTTGAACCCGGGAGGTGGAGGTTGCGGTGAGCTGAGATCATGCCATTACACTCCAGCCTGAGCAAGAAGAGTGAAACTCCGTCTCAAAAAATAAAAATATATATTTGTGGTTAGGCATGGTGACTCAGGCTTACACCTGTAATCCTAGAACTTTGGGAGGCCGAGGTAGGAGGATTGCTTGAGGCCAGGAGTTCAAGACTAGCCTGGGCAACATAGCAAGATCCCATCTCTACAGAAAAGTAAATTTTTAAAAATTATGACATTTTGAGCTGCATGATGAAAAAAATTTAAAAAGAAAGAAAGAAGGGCCGGGCGCGGTGGCTCACGCCTGTAATCCCAGCACTTTGGGAGGTCGAGGTGGGCGGATCATGAGGTCAGGAGATCAAGACCATCCTGGCTAACGCGGTGAAACCCCATCTCTACTAAAAATACAAAAAATTAGCTGGGCATGGTGGTGGGTGCCTGCAGTCCCAGCTACTCAGGAGGCTGAGGCAGGAGAATGGCGTGAACCATTCTCCATTCTCGGAGCTTGCAGTGAGCCGAGATTGTGCCATTGTACTCCAGCCTGGGCGACAGAGCAAGACTCCGTCACAAAAAAAAAAAAAAGAAAGAAAGAAAGAAAGAAAGAAAGAAAATTGGCCACGTGTGTTAGTGCACACCTGTAGTCCCAACTAGACAGGATGCTGAGGCGGGAGGATCTCCTGAGCCCAGGAGTTCAAGGCTGCAGTGAGCTGTGATCGTGCCACTGCTCTCCAGCCTAAGATACGGGAAAAACCAAAGCGTTTTTCTTTTCTTTTTTTTCTGCTGTCATTGTATGAAATAGTCCATAGGTTTCCATTATATCCAGTTATAGAGGGTGTTACTGAGTTACGGATTTTCTGCCTGCTGGATCTGTCCGTTTCTGATAGAGGGACATTGAAGTCGCCAACTATAATAGTTTCTCCTTGCGGTGCTGTCGCTTTTTCCCTCACATATTTTGATGTTCTCTTGTTAGGATCATACATGTTAAGGACTGTTATGTCTTCTTTGAGCATTGACTCCTTAATCATTATGTAATGCCCTGTCCTTATCCCGGATGACTCTCTTTTCTTTTCTTTTTGTTTTTCAGACAAGGTCTCTGCGAACCAGGCTGGAGTGCAGGGATCTCGGCTCAATGCAACCTCTGCCTCCCACGCTCAAGCGATTCCCGTGCCTCAGCCTGCAGAGTAGCTGGGATTACAGGCTGGGATTACCACCACGCCCTGCTAATTTCTGCATTTTTAGTAAAGACAGGGTTTCATCGTGTTGGCCAGGCTGGTCTCGAACTCCTGGCCTCAGGCGATCTGCCCGCCTTGGCCTCCCAAAGTGCTGGGATTACAGGTGTGAGCCACTGTGCCTGGCCTATTCCTGATGACTCTCCTTGCTCTGAAGTCTGTACTGTCTGAAATTAATATAGAGACTCCTGCTTTCTTTTGATCAGTGTTGGCATAGATCTTTCTTTATCCATTCGCTTTTAATACATAAGTCTTTAAAGTGTAGTTCTTGTAAGCAACATATAGTTACGTCTTGTTTTTTGCTCACTCTGACAATCTCTGTCTTTTAATTGGTTCATCTGGACCACTGATATGCAAAGGGATGTTGATATAATTGGATTAATAGCTGCCTTTTTTTGTTTTTACTGTTTTCTATTTGTTGCCTTTGTTTCTATTTTTGTCTTCCACTCTTTTTCTGCCTCTTGTAGTGTTTTGCCTTTGGGGTTTTTCTTTTTTTTATTTTCTTTTACTTTCTTTTTTTTTTTTTGAGACAGAGTCTCCCAGGCTGGAGTGCAGTGACGCGATCTCAACTCACTGTACTCTCTGCCTCCCCGGTTCAAGCAATTCTCCTGTTTTAGCCTCCCAAGTAGCTGGGACTACAGACACGCACTGCCACGCCCGGCTAATTTTTGTATTTTTATTAGAAATGGGGTTTCACCATGTTGGCCAGGATGGTCTTGATCTTCTGACCTCGTGATCCACCTGTCTCAGCCTCCCAAAGTGCTGGGATTACAGGCATGAGTCACCACACCCAGTCTATTTTTTTTTAAGTTTTTTGGTTTTTGTGTTTTTTTTTGAGATGGTATCTCGCTCTTGTTGCCCAGGCTGGAGTGCAATGGCAAGATCTCTGCTCGCTGCAACCTCCGCCTCCTGGGTTCAAGTGATTCTCCTGCCTCAGCCTTCCGAATCGCTGGAATTACGGGAGCCCGACACCACGCCCAGATAATTTTTTGTATTTTTAGTAGAGATGGGGTTTCACCATGTTGGCCAGGCTGGTGACGAACTCCTGACCTCAGGTGATCCACCCGCCTCAGCCTTCCAAAGAGGTTAGATTACACGCATGAGCCACCACGCCCGACCCTAAAAGTATTTTTTTTATAGAGATGGGGTCTCCCTCTGTTGCCCAAACTGGTCTCAAACCCCTGATCTCAAGTTACTGCCTGCCTCAGCTGCCCAGGTAGCAGGGATTACAGACACAAGCCACCGCCCCCGGCTCTATTTAGGAACATCTTAGTTCCAAGTTTTGGCAATTATGGATAAAGCCGCTATAAACATATGTTTCCAGGCTTGTGCGGACATACATTTTCAACTCATTTGGGTAGACACCAAGAGCTGCATTCCAGCCTGGGCAACAAGAGTGAAATTCCGTCTCAAAAAAAAAAAAAAACACAGAAATGTAGGCCGGGCATGGTGGCTTGCACCTATAATCCCAGAACTTTGGGAGGCCAAGGCAGGCAGATCACTTGAGCTCAGGAGTTCAAGACCAGTCTGGCCAACATGGTGAAACCCTGTCTCTACTAAAAATACAAAAATTAGCCAGGCGCGGTGGCGCATGCCTGTAATCCCAGCTACTCAGGAGGCTGAGGCATGAGAATGACTTGAACCCAGGAGGCAGAGGTTGCAGTGAGCCCAGATCGTGCCACTGCACTCCAGCCTGGGTGATGAAGTGAAACTCTGTCAAAACAGAAATTATTCTCTCGCAGTTCTGGAGGCTCAAAGTCAGGAATCAAACTGTTGAAGCCTCGAAGGGGGATCCTTCCTTGACTCCTCCGGCGTCTGGAGGCTACTGGCCATCCTGGTGTTACTCAAACACCAGGGGTTCCATCTAGGGCCTGCCACTCACCTCACAGAAAGCCAATCAGTGAGACAACGATTCTTGCCAAGGAAGAAGGCTTTAATCAGGTGCTGCAGCTGAGGGGATGGGAGGGCTTCATCCCAGGAATGCAGGGGGTGGTTCAACATAAGAAAATCCGTTAACGTAATGTACCGCATTAGTAGAACAAAGGGAAAAAAACAGTCATTCCAGCTGACACAGAAAAAGCATCTAAGAAATTCTAACATTTCATCATTAAAACATAGAGAAAACTATGAAACGAGGGGATCTGCCTCAACATTATAAAAGGTATTTGTGAAAAAACCACAGTTACCATCATACTTAGTGGTGAAAGACTAAAAGCTTTCCCCCTAAGTTCAGGAACAAGACACAGAGGTTCACCTTTACCACTGCTACTCAATGTTTTTTTTTTTGTTTTGTTGGTTTTGTTGTGTTTTCGAGAAGGAGTCTTGCTCTGTCGCCCAGGCTGGAATGCAGTGGCGTGATCTCGGCTCACTGCAGCCTCTGCCCCCGGGGTTCAAGCAATTCTCCTGCCTCAGCCTCCCCAGTAGCTGGGACTACAGGTGCGCACTGCCACGCCTGGCTAATTTTTGTATTCTTAGTAGAGACAGGGTTTCACCATGTTGGCCAGGATGCTCTTGAGCTCCTGACCTTGTTATCTGCCTGCCTCGGCCTCCCAAAATGCTGGAATTACAGATGTGAGCCACCGCGCCTGGCCTAGTCAACATTTTGCTAGAAGTTGTAGCCAGAGCCTTTAGGTAAGAAAAGGCACCAAATTGAGAAATAAGAAATAAAACCATCGCTTTAAATAGGGAAAATCCCAAAGAATACACGCACAATAATTACTAGAGCTAATAAGCAAATGCAGCAAAGTTTCAGGACACAAGATCAACTCACAAAAACCAGTTGTGTGGTTTCCTGTTTGTTTTTTTGAGGAGTTATGCTCTTATCGCCCAGGCCGGAGTGCAATGGCGTGATCTTGGCTCACTGCAGCCTCTGCCTCCCGGGTTCAAGCAATTCTCCTGCCTCAGCCTCCCCAGTAGCTGGGATTACAGGCGCAGGCCACCACGCCCGGCCAGTTTTTGTATTTTTAGTAGAGACGAGGTTTCACCACGTTGGCCAGGATGGTCTTGATCTCCTGACCTGGTGATCCACCCGCCTCGGCCTCCCAAAGTGCTAGGATGACAGGCGTGAGCCACCGTGCCCGGTCCAGTTGTGTTTTTATGCACTGGCAAGGAACAATTCAAAAATGTAATTAAGAAAACCGCTGGGCGTGGTGGCTCACGCCTGTAGTCCCAGCACTTTGAGCGGCCGAGGCGGGTGGATCCCTTGATCCCAGGAGTTCAAGACCATCCTGGGCAATGTGGTGAAACCCCCTCCCTACAAAAAATACAAAAAATTAGCGGAGCGTGATGGCATGTGCCTACGATCCCAGCTACTCAGGAGGCTGACGTGGGAGGATCACCCGAGCCCTGGGGGTCAAGGCTGCAGTGAGCTGTCACATCATGCATCATTGCACTCCAGCCTGAAAAAGGAGTGAAATTCTGCAACATGTTACAACGTGAATGAACCTTGAAAACGTCATTCTAAGTGAAATAAGCCAGATACAAAAGGACAATATTGCATGTTTCCACTTATAGAGATACCTACAAGAATCAAATTCATAGAGACGGAAAGTAGAATAGTGGTTAAAGGGGTCTGGGCGGAGGGAGGAAAGGGAAGTTTGTTTTACGGGTAGAGTTTCAGTTTGGGATGTCGAAAAAGTTCTGGAGATAAATAATGGTGATGGTTACATGCCAATGGCTACACGAATGTACTTAATGCCACTGAATTGTATATGTGAAAAATGGTTAAAATGGTAAATTTTGTATCTATTTAATACCATCCCCCCTAAAAAAAAAATTGTTTTTAAGAGTCAAGATCTCACTCTGTCTCCCAGGCTGGGGTGCAGTGGGGTAACTGATCAGAGCTCACTGCAGCTTTGAACTCAGCCAGCTTCCCTGACTCAAACGATCATCCCGCTTCAGCCTCCCGAGTAGCTGGGACTACAGACGGTGCCATCACGCCCAGCTCATTGTTGATTCCCGCCCCCTTGGTAGAGACGGGATTCCGCTATATTGCCTGGGCTGGTGTCGAACTCATAGAACAAAGGATCCTCCCTCCTGGGCCTGGGCGTGGGCTCGCAAAACGCTGGGATTCCCGGATTACAGGCGGGCGCACCACACCAGGAGCAAACACTTCCGGTTTTAAAAATTCAGTTTGTGATTGGCTGTCATTCAGTATTATGCTAATTAAGCATGCCCGGTTTTAAACCTCTTAAAACAACTTTTAAAATTACCTTTCCACCTAAAACGTTAAAATTTGTCAAGTGATAATATTCGACAAGCTGTTATTGCCAAACTATTTTCCTATTTGTTTCCTAATGGCATCGGAACTAGCGAAAGTTTCTCGCCATCAGTTAAAAGTTTGCGGCAGATGTAGACCTAGCAGAGGTGTGCGAGGAGGCCGTTAAGGCTATACTTTCAGGGATCATTTCTATAGTGTGTTACTAGAGAAGTTTCTTTGAACGTGTAGAGCACCGAAAACCCCGAGGAAGAGAGGTAGCGTTTTCTCCTGAGCGTGAAGCCGGCTTTCTGGCGTTGCTTGGCTGCAACTGCCGTCAGCCATTGATGATCGTTCTTCTCTCCGTATTGGGGAGTGAGAGGGAGAGAACGCGGTCTGAGTGGTTTTTCCTTCTTGATGGCTCAATGACAGAGACTAGCTCGTAAACTCCGGGCCGTTTCCGGGCTGTTCGCTCCTGCTTGGCAATGTCGCGAGAAAGGTTTTCGCCTCCTGTTTCAGCGGTGACGGCTCTTGGGTTTTCTCGGGGTGGCTTTTTAATTTTAGTCTTGGCGCGAGGCGGGGGATGCTGTGTGGCACCTCCTATTGTCTCTTTTTGCGTTTTCTCCCATTCTCGCTCCCTCTTTTGTCGCCGTTTCCCGCCCGCCACTCCCACCCCCAGACGGGGTCTCCGGGTCTCTTGTTCTGTCTGCCGGCCCCGGCTGGAGTGCAGTGGCGCGATCTCGGCTCCTAGCAACAACTGCCTCCCGGGCTCAAGCGAGTCTCCCGCCTAAGCCCTCCCGAGTAGCCGGGGCTTAAAGGCGCACACGCCACTCCAGGCTTTTTTTTTTTGGCAGAAACGGGGTGTCAGCATGTTAGCCAGGCTGGTCTCCAACGCGTGATCTCAGGTGATCCGCCCGCCTCGGCCTCCCGAAGTTCTGGGATTACAGGCGTGAGCCACTGCACCCGGCCCTTCTATTTTTTTAAATAGCGACGGGGTTTCACCATGTTGGCCAGGCTGCTCCTGAACACCTGAGTTCAGGTGATCCGCCCGCCTCGGCCTCCCGAAGTTCTGGGATTACAGGAGTGAGCCACCGCGCCCGACTGAGAACTGTAAGAAATAAATTTGTGTTATTTAAGCCACAAAGTCTGTGTATTTTGTTATGGAGCCCAAGAAAAGCAGCTTCTTCTGAAACTAAACACTTTCGGTATGATCAGAACTCGTGCCTCTTGGTGTCTACCCAAATGAGTTGAAAATGTCCACACAAAAACCTGCACACCTGTTTATATAGCAGCTTTATCCATAATTCCCAAAACTTGGAACTAAGATGTTCCTGAATAGAGCCAGCGGCTGTGGCTTGTGTCTGTAATCCCTGCTACTTGGGCAGCTGAGGCAGACAGTCAGTCACTTGAGATAAGCAGTTTGAGACCAGTCTGGGCAACAGAGTGAGACCCCATCTCTATAAAAAGTACTTTTAGGGCCGGGTGCGGGTGCGCCGCTGCGGCCACCGGCAGCGCTCGAGAGGCGGGAGCGACCGTAGCCCGCGGAGCCGCCGCCACCGCCGCGTCTGGCTCAGTTTGACACCCACACACCAGCCAACATGGCGGCCGGGAGGGGGCGCGCCGGAGGCGTGCGCGCGCCCTCAGGCCCCGCCCCCGAGGTCCCGCCCCCACGCCCGCAGACCGCGCCCCTGCGACCCCGCCAGAGCCCCTCCCTAGTGGCCCCTGCGCGGCTTCCCCTCCGCCTCCTGCGCTCCAGGACCCCACGCGGACGACCCACCCTTCCGCAGCGCCCCACAGTCGACGCCCGAGCCCCCAAAAAACCCCCAATCCCGAGCGCCACACAAACCCTGGCAAATTAATACCCGAACGCGCGCACTCTAATCCCCTTCAGGCCACTCCACCCCGTACACACTCACGGCCCCCCCACACTCACGGCCGGGCAGCACGCGCAGACCCCGCCCCGTCAAGCAGAAACTCACGCTCCGGCCTGCCGGTTTCACTCAAAAACCTTGTTCAGTAGGAGAGACTGGAAGGGGGCCAGGGCCTGCCGGGCGCTGGTAGGGTTGGGTTCTTAGGCTACAAGTGTGTTCACTTTATGAAGATGCGCGGAAGTACACTTTGGATTTGTGCGCTTTTCCGTGCGTGTATTTCACGTCAATAAAATATACTCAAAAACGGAGAAGTCTCTAGGCTTCTTTAGGCTGCTCAAGGGGTTACCTAAGGGCACGAATGGCAAGGGGTTACCTACATGGCACGAAAACGGAAACCCTTGACTGGCGGGCACCCACAAAGCACCTCCTCTGTGCCAAGCCCTGTGCTGGGCACAGAAATGAGACAGCCCCAAATGCCTCGAATGAGAGTCCCGGAACTGGAGGGGCCAGAACTGGAGGCTGCACCTCAAAGCTGACTAACCTGCTCCAATCAGGGTGGGAGTCAGCAGAGACTTCTCACAGCAGGGGCGCGGAGCATGAGTCAGGGCTTGCTAGGTGGGCAGAGGGCACCATCCCTGTTGCCTGGGTGACATCAACACTCTGCCTAGCCTTGGCTTCAGGGAAGCTGTGGCCAGAAGTCTTCCTCTGCCCTAACTCACTGAGGGACCTTAAACAAGTCACTGTACTTCTCTGAGCCTCAGATTCCTCCTCCCTGTACAGGAACCAGGGGATGAAAGTATCCCTTAAGGTTCTAACAACCCAGGATCTGGAATTCCATTCTCTGGCAAAAAAAAAAAGGTTGTATCTTTCCAGGAATTCATCTATTTATTGTAAGTTTTTTAGTGTGTGTGCATAGACGTGTTCATAATAGTTTTTGAGGGCTTTTTTGTGTTTGTATGGGGTCGGTGGTAATGTCCTCTTTGCCCTTTCTGATTATGTTTACTTGTATCTTCTCTTTTTTCTTTATTAGTCTAGCTAGTGATACAATAAATACGATAAAAATGGAGAGAGCTTGTAACACGTTTGCAAAACCACATAGCCACTTTTCCTTTGAAAAGTCAAACACTGGTAGCTCTAGATGCTAGAAACACTCTCCAGTTAACCACCCTTCCCACTGCTTGGTGCCCCTTCTCCACCAGCAGAGGGAATTATGCCCTATGTGCCTGCCTTGCAGCAGAAGCCGGAGCTCCCCGTTTTGAACTTGGTCCACCCTCATCCCAGAGAATGCCCTCAACCAGTCCAACATTCCTTGTGAGCCTCACCTCTTTACCCCATCTCCAAGGAAAGCAGAACTTTACACTGCAATCATGCTTCTGCCCTGAGTTTACAATGTCAGATGAGTTATAACACAGAGCTGATGCACAGCACGGGCGTGATGCTTCTAAATCAGCACTGTTCAGCAGAATTTCCCTCCACGATGGAAATGTTCTTTCTGCGTGCTGTCCGTAGGATAGCTACGAGTCACAGGAGGCCAGCGAGCACTTGAAATGTGGCTAGTGAGACTGAGGGGCTGAATTTTTTAAACTTCATTAAACTTTTATTAATTTAAATGTAAATAGCCATATGTGGCTAGATGCTACCATGCTGACCAGTGCTGGTCTAAAACCTTACCACAATTCCACAAGTGCACATTCTTTTTTTATTTATTTGCTTTGAGACGGAGTCTCACTCTATTGCCCAGGCTGAAATGCAATGGCACAATCTCAGCTCACTGCAACCTCCATCTCCCAGGTTCAAGTGATTCTCCTGCCTCAGCCTCCCACGTGGCTGGGATTACAGGCCCGCACCCCCACACCTGGCTAATTTTTGTATTTTTAGTAGAGACAGGGTTTCACCATGTTGGCCAGGCTGGTCTCGAACTCCTGACCTCGTGATCCTCCCGCCTCAGCCTCCCAAAGTGTTGGGATTACAGGTGTGAGCCACCGTGCCCAGCAAGGTGCACATTCTTGCTGTTCACATTTTACAGACAAGAAATTGAGGTTTGGAGATATGCTGGGGCTTGGCCACCCAGGCCCACTTTTCCATATGCAGAGCCTAATACTCCCTTCACTACCCACCTAGCAAGTGTGTGTAGCCGCACAGATAATATGCAAGCCTGGAAAGAGAACTGGATACAGATAATGAGATGATGAGCTAACCTACAGGACAGGAAGTGAGTTGGAGAACACCAGATTAGCCCAGGCTTGAGAAGTGGGGGAGGGTGTCCTGAGGCCGGAAGACCGCCACGTGCAAGGTCAGAGGGGACATTCTTGCATTCCTCAAAGTCATTTCTCTTTCCTGGACCCCCTCCTTGAAGCGTATCAGCCCCCTGGCATTCCTCTCTCAATTCATCCTCATGATGATCCCTTGACGTCAGCAGCCCTATTCCTATTTTAGATGCGGAAACTGAGGCAGCATGTGGCAGGGCTAGGATTCAATTCCAGGTTCTATGAGTCTAGAGCACATAAGCAGTCTTGCAGAGGAACTTGCAGGATAAGCTGAACAATTTCATCCGTGCCCAAAGCAGTCCATGGAAAACAGGGCTGGAGGAGACACTCTCATCTGCCCTTGCAGAGGTTTGGAGGTTGGTTCCAGGTGGATAATGGAGCAGACTGATGGGGGCCGGTTGGAGAGGTGTATTTCAGAAGAAAGAGCTGGCAGTGCAGGCCAGGGGTGTCTCTGGGGTTAGGGAAGGAGGGTTTCAAGCAGGAAGGGACTTTGGGGGAAAGACTGGCAGGCAGCAGACAGGGACAGACTGCATGCTGAATGAAAAGAATCACTTAGCACAGGTGCAGAACAGGCTCCCCGGGATCTTCACCAAAGGCTTGAACTCTATATTCAAAACTATTTGTCCCACAAAAAGAAACTTGTGTTGGCAATCCAGAAACACCTAATTTCTTGTCCACCGACTTGCTGCTTGACCATGACGTCACTGCCCCTCCCTGGACCTCAGTTTCCCCATCTGTGAAGTGGGAATAATAACCCCTCCCACTCCCTAGGATTGCATTCTGGCTCAGGTGAAAAGGCAGAGGAGGAAATGCTTTGGAAACTGTAAATGCACTGGATGGGTGTTGATGGCAGTTCTCTTATTAAGGACATTGAAAAGAATGGAGCCATCCTTTCCCTTCTAGGGGTTGAAAGTCTAGGACAGAGAAGTTTTGAGTTTGGGCAGCATGAACATGAGCAGAAACCAAATGCCACATAGACAATCAAGAGAAAGAGCTATGACAGCTCTCACAGGAGGAAGTTTCCTTCTAGCCCATGGGGAAGGAAGGACCTGTGCCAACATCCTGGAAGTGCAGGTGCTGGAGAAAGGAACTAGTAACAATGACAACAAAGTAGTGAGCATTGTGCAAATGTTTTGCATGCAGTACCTCATTTCCTCCTCATAAAAAACCCTAAGAGGTAGAGACTACCGTTATCCTTATTTTACAGCTGAGGTTCAGAAAGCTTCCATTATTTGCCCAAGATAACACAGCTAAAAAGTGGTAACCCTGGAAAACCCAAGCCTAAACTCCAAAGCTAAACTTTTTTTCTTTGTTTTTTGAGACGAAGTTTCGTTCTTGTTGCCCAGGCTGGAGTGCAGTGGCGCGGAGTTCACCGCAACCTCCGCCTCCCAGGTTCAAGCAATTTTCCTACCTTAGCCTCCCAAGTAGCTGGAATTACAGACATGTGCCACCACACCTGGCTAATTTTTGTATTTCTAAATTTATTTATTTATTTATTTATTTAAGATGGAGTCTCACTCTGTTGCCCAGGCTAGAGTCCAGTGGCGCAATCTCGGCTCATTGCACCCTCCGCCTCCCTGGTTCAAGCGATTCTCCTGAGTAGCTGGGATTACAGGCATGTGCCACCATGCCCAGCTAATTTTGGTATTTTTTTAGTAGACACGCCGTTTCACCATGTTGGTCAGCCTGGTCTCGAACTCCTGACCTCAAATGATCCGCCTGCCTTGGCCTCCCAAAGTGATGGGATTACAGGCATGTGCCACCATGCCCAGCTAATTTTGGTATTTTTTTAGTAGACACGTGGTTTCACCATGTTGGTCAGCCTGGTCTCCAACTCCTGACCTCAGATGATCCGCCTGCCTTGGCCTCCCAAAGTGATGGGATTACAGGCATGAGCCACTGCACCCGGCCCTTCTATTTTTTTAGAGACGGGGTTTCACCATGTTGGCCAGGCTGGTCCTGAACACCTGAACTCAGGTGATCTGTCCACCTTGGCCTCCCAAAGTGCTGGGATTACAGGAGTGAGCCACCATGCCCAGCCTTTTGTGTGTGTGTGTGTGTGTGTATGTGTGTGAGAGAGAGACCGGGTCTTGTTCTGTCACCCAGGCTAGAGTGCAGTGGCACAATCATGGTTCACTGCATCCTCAATCTCCTAGGCTCAAACAATCCTCCTACCTCAGCCTCCCAAGTAGCTGGGACTACACCACACCTGGCTATTTTTTCCAATTTTTTTGTAGAGACAGGATCATATAATGTTGCCCAGGCTGGTCTCAAACTCCTGGAGTTGATCCCCCTGCCTCAGCCACCCACTCAAAGTGCTGAGATTACAGGGATGAGCCACCATGCCTAAAACTAAACTCTTGGGAAGAATCTGAATAGGCTGAAGGGAGCGACTCCTTCTCCCTTCCAGCTCTGAGCCTGAGTCAATCAGAGCTTTCCCTCCCTGGTCAGTGATTAGTTCAGGAATGGGCACCTGACTCATAGCAGAGCAATGACTCTCAAGCCAAGCCTGGGACTTCTACAGAAATCATTGAAAAAAGAAGCTTCTAGGGGCCGGGGTGCAGTGGTTCATGCCTGTAATCCCAGCACTTTGGGAGGCTGAGGCGGGCAGATCACCTGAGGTTAGGAGTTTGAGACCAGCC
This sequence comes from Homo sapiens, assembly GCF_000001405.40. Taxonomy (NCBI): domain Eukaryota; kingdom Metazoa; phylum Chordata; class Mammalia; order Primates; family Hominidae; genus Homo; species Homo sapiens. Next base: position 19,106,044 of record NC_000017.11, on the reverse strand, counting down.
TGGCCAATATGGTGAAACCCCGTCTTTACTAAAAATACAAAATTAGCTGGGTGTGGTGGCGTGCACCTGTAATCCCAGCTATTCAGGAGGCTTAGACAGGAGAATCGCTTGAACCTGGGAGGCGGAGGCTGCAGTGAGCCGAGATCATGCCACTGCACTCCAGCCTGAGGAACAGGAGCAAAACTTCATCTCAAAAAAAAAAAGTTAGCCAGGCGTGGTGGTACATGTAATCCCAGCTACTTGGTTGGGAGGCTGAAGCAGGAGAATCGCTCAAACCCAGGAGGCAGAGGTTGCAGTGAGCCAAGATTGTGCCATTGCACTCCAGCCTGGGCAACAAGAGTGAAACTCCGTCTCAAAAAAAAGAAAAAAAGAAGCTTCTCTTCCTATCAGGTTACTGAGCTAGTGGGATATAAGCCTGGAGTAGCTCCATAATGGAGAACCAGCCTAAGAATGAAGCCAACACAGATGGGAACAGAGATGAGAGAAAAGATAGAGTCCTGCTGATATTAAGCACCTTGAACCAGCCAGCCAGCCATGCCTGAAGCTTTAAGCATAGACTTTTCAGCACACAAGCCAATACATTTTTTGGAACTATTGTGATAGAAAACCCAACTCAGGCCAGGCACAGTGGCTCACGCCTGTAATCCCAGCACTTTGAGAGACCAAGGCGGGTGAATCAGGAGGTCAGGAGATCAAGACCATCCTGACCAAAATGGTGAAACCCTGTCTCTACTAAAAATATGAAAAATTAATTGGGCATGTTGGTACGTGCCTATAATCCCAGCTACTCAGGATGCTGAGGCAGGAGAATTGCTTGAACCAGGGAGTCAGAGGTTGTAGTGAGCCCAGATTGCACCACTGCACTCCAGCCTGGCAACAGAGTGAGACTCCTTCTCAAAAAAAAAAAAAAAAAAAAAACAGAAAAAGAAAACCCAACCCAGGCCAGCTGAGGTGGCTCACACCTATAATCCTAGCAGTTTTGGTGCTCCACACGGGAGGATCACTTGAGTTTAGGAGTAGGAGGCCAGCCTGGGCAACATAGTGGGACGTTGTCTCTTAAAAAAAAAATTTTTTTTTTACTTAGTTGGACGTGGTGGTGCTCACCTGTAGTCCCAGCTACTTGGGAGGCTGAGGCGGGAGGATCCCTTAAGCCTAGCAGGTTGAGGTTGCAATGAGCCATGATTGTGCCACTGTATTCCAGCCTGGACAACAGAGCAAGACCCTACCCAAAAAAAAAAAAAAAAAAGAAAGAAAGAAAGAAAGAAAGGAAGAGAAAAACCCCACTGAAACTGGCTTAAATGATAATTGGAATCAATTGGCTCATTTAACCAAAATTTCCAGAGCTAGGGTTCAAGTGCAGTGCGATCAAGGCTCTGGCTCCATTCTTTAGCATATGCCTCTTGGACATGTGGCCATTTTCCTTGGCTGGTGTCTTGACTAGCTGCAGATTGGCTGTGGCACATCCATGCCTCAGATCTCTGGCCATGCCATGGAAAACAGAGAGCAGTCTGGGTGCAGTGGTTCACACCTGTAATCCCAGCACTTTGGGAAGCCGAGATGGGCAGATCACAAGGTCAGGAGTTCGAGACCAGCCTGGCCAATATGGTGAAACCCCATCTCTACTAAAAATACAAAAATTAGCTGGGCATAGTGATGCGCGCCTGTAGTCTCAACTACTTGGCAGACTGAGGCAGAAGAATCGCTTGAACCCGGGAGGCGAAGGTTGCAGTGAGCCGAGATCATGCCACTGCACTCCAGCCTGGATGACAGAGCGAGACAGAAAGAAAAGAGAAAGAGAGAGAAAGAAAGAGAGAGAGAGAGAAAGAGAAAGAGAGAAAAAGAAAGAGAGAAAGAGAGAGAAAGAGAGAAAGGAAGACAGGAAAGGAGGAAGGAAGGAAGGAAGAGAGAGCATCTCTTTCTCTCAATTCAGCAAACTAAAATCCTAGGCTTGCTCTGAATGGAAGAACTTGGATCATGGGAGGGTGAAATGGGGAATTATGATAATTGGCGTAGTCAAATCAGGGCTCATTCCCGGAGTTGCGACAAGAACAAATGCTGACCAGGAGTGCCCACCACACTAATGAATTCCCTCTTCTCCTTCTTCAGCCAGACCACTAGCATTTTCTTTCTTTTTTTTTTTTTTTTTTTTTGAGACGGAGTCTTGCTCTGTAGACCAGGCTGAAGTGCAGTGGCGTGATCTCAGCTCACTGCAAGCTCCGTCTCCCGGGTTCACGCCATACTCCTGCCTTAGCCTCCCGAGTAGCTGGGACTACAGGTGCCCGCCACCACACCCGGCTCATTTTTTATATTTTTAGTAGAGACGGGGTTTCACCGTGTTAGCCAGGATGGTCTCGATCTCCTGACCTCGTGATCCGCCCGGCTCGGCTTCCCAAAGTGCTGGGATTACAGGCGTGAGCCACCGCGCCCAGCCCACTTGCATTTTCATTAGTCAGTATCCAGATTCCTGATAGTAACCCCATTTTCTGTTTTTTGTGGGTTTTTTTGTTTGTTTTGTTTTGTTTTTTGAGACCGAGTTTCGCTCTTGTTGCCCAGGCTGGAATGCAGTGGCTCGATCTTGGCTCACTGCAACCTCGGCCTCCGGAGTTCAAGCGATTCTCCTGCTTCAGCCTCCTAAGTGGCTGGGATTACGGGCACGCGTTACCGCCCCCGGCTAATTTTGTATTTTTAGTAGAGACGGGGTTTCACCATGTTGGTCAGGCTGGTCTCAAACTCCTGACCTCAGGTTATTCTCCTGCCTCGGCCTCCCAGAGTGCTGGGATTAAGTAACCCCATTTTGAAATGGTTTCCATTTAGCTTTTTTGATAGTTCCAAACTTTCATACTTTCAGTCTTCATTAAATCAATTAATAAACTGATCATTCTGCTTGGGATTTACATAATATCTTTCTTCCAGAGCTTTAATTATATTTCATAAGCAAATTTCAATGACCTTCATCATTTTTCCTCCCTAGAGCATAATGTGTAACTATAAAAATAGCATCCGTGGCTGGGCGCGGTGGCTCACGCCTATAATCCCAGCACTTTGGGAGGCCGAGGAGGGTGGATCACAAGGTCAGGAGTTTGAGACCATCCTGGCCAAGATGGTGAAACCCCGTCTCTACTAAAAATACCAAAAAATTAGCCGGGCGTGGTGGCGGGCACCTGTAATCCCAGCTACTCAGGAGGCTGAGGCAGAGAATTGCTTGAACCTGGGAGGCAGAGGTTGCAGTGAGCTGAGATCGTGCCACTGCACTCCAGCCTGGGCAACAGAGCAAGACTCCGTCTCAAAAAAAAAAAAAAAAAAAAAAAAAAAAAGATAGCATCCACTCAATATCTAGTCTCTGATCTTATGGCACATTTCTGTTCCATTAATCTTTAGGCTTTTTCCCAAAGTGGTGAAGATTCCAAACAAAATGGGCCATTTAGAAAACGTTTTCAGGCTGGTCACCGTGGCTTACGCCTATAATCCCAGCACTTTGGGAGGCCGAGGTGGCTGGATCACAAGGTCAGGAGTTCGAGACCAGCCTGGCCAACATTATGAAAACCTGTCTCTACTAAAGACGCAAAAAATTACCTGGGCGTGGTGGTGCATGCCTGTAATCCCAGCTACTCGGGAGGCTGAAGCAAGAGAATCACTTGAACCTGGGAGGCAGAAGTTGCAGTGAGCTGAGATCACACCATTGCACTCTAGCCTGGGTGACAGGGTGAGACTCTTTCTCAAAAGAAAAAAAAAATGTTTTTGGCTGGGCACAGTGGCTCATGCCTGTAATCCCAATCCCAGCACTTTGGGAGGCCGACCGAGGTGGGTGGATCACTTGAGGTCAGGAGTTTGAGACCAGCCTGGCCAACATGGGGAAACCCCGTCTCTACTAAAAATACAAAAATTAGCCAGGCGTGGTGGTGCACACCTGTAATCCCAGCTACTCGGGAGGCTGAGGCAGGAGAATCCCATGAACCCGGGAGGCAGAGGTTGCAGTAAGCCAAGATCACGCCACTGCACTCCAGCCTGGACAACAGAGCAAGACTCCGTCTCAAAAAAAAAAAAAAAGTTTTCTTCAGATTGTCAAATTCTGACTTGAAACAGTTATCATAAGCTGAGCCTGGTGGTTCACACCTGTAATCCCAGCACTTTGGGAGACTGAGGTGGGAGAATCGCTTGGGTCCAGTAGCGAGACCTTGTCTCAAAAACAAATCAAACAAACAAAACACAAAAACACAACCACAAAAAGCAAACAACACCCCCCTCCCACCCAAAGAAAAAGAAATGGTAACTACCTGGACAAAACATTTCACGTGCATTGTTTTAGTAAACAGACACAACCTTGGCTTCAGGTCTTTTTTGTTTTCTGTCACCCAGGCTGGAGTGCAGTGGTGAGATCTCGGCTCACTGCAACCTCCACCTCCCAGGTTCAAGTGATTCTCCTGCCTCAGCCTCCAGAGTAGCTGGAATTACAGGTGCAGGCCACCATGCCCGGCTAACTTTTGTATTTTTAGTAGAGACACAGTTTTACCATGTTGGCCAGGCTGGTCTTGAACTCCTGGCCTCAAGTGATCTGCCTGACTCAGCCTCCCAAAGTGCTAAGATTACAGGCATGAGCCACGGCACCCGGTCTTGGCTTGTTTTCTTGACAGATCGTTGCAACAGGGTAGGACAGGCACACTTATCACTGTTTAACAGATGAGCAAAGTAAACTGAGGTGCAGAGAGGGGCAATAGCTGGTGGCCCAGCTGATAGGCTGAGATTTTCACATGTCAGTCAGAGCCAGGGACCAACATCTATCCACTATTCTCTGCTGTCCTCTCTCAGAGCGCCCCTTCTTTGGAAATGTGCATAGCACCTTTCTACAAGAGACTCTTAGTGTGTTCTGAGAAAGCCGTAGCTCCTCACCTGCCTCAGAAGGGCACGGTGCTTGCTTCTTCAGAAAATTTACAGACAAGTTTCACACACTTAAAACTTTCAGCTTGGCTTGAGAGTTAAAACATAACCACTCCAAACTGTAATACAAAGAAGTCTGCTCAAAAGAGTAGCATTTGACCAGCCTGGGCAACATAGGGAAACCCCATCTCTACAAAAAAAAAAAAAAAAGTACAAAAATTAGCCAGACGTGGTGGCACATGCCTGTAATCTCAGCTACTCAGGAGGCTAAGGCAGGAGAATTGCTTGAACCCAGGAGGCGGAGTTTGCAGTGAGCTGACATCGCATCACTGCACTCCAGCCTGGGTGACAGAGCAATACGCCATCTCGAAGAAAAAGAAAAAAAAAAAAAATACATGCACAGAAAAAAAGTTCAATCAGTGCACAAGGACATATGCAACAAGTCTCCCTCCTACTGTTTCTCCTGATCTGCAGGTCCCCTCCCTAATGGCAATCACTGTTACAGTGTAACAGAGATTCTGACATAATCTTATTGTATGTATTTCCTTCACCCCCACGCATGGAAACAGTAACTCCCTCCACACACTACCTCATGCTTATATCATTAACAGTGTAACTCTTGGAGATTGTTGCACACCCACCAAAAGAGAACTGCCTTATTCTGTTTGTTTGTTTGTTTGTTTTGAGACGGAGTCTCTGTCGCTCAGGCTGGAGTGCAGTGGCACGATCTCGGCTCACTGCAACCTACGCCTCCCAGGTTCAAGCAATTCTCCTGCCTCAGGCTCCCGAGCAGCTGGCATTACAGGCATGCACCACCATGCCCAGCTAATTCTTTTGTATTTTTAGTAGAGACTGGGTTTCACCATATTGGCCAGGCTGGTCTTGAACTCTTGACCTCAGGTGATCCACCCGCCTCGGCCTCCCAAAGTGCTAGGATTACAGGCGTCAGCCACCACGCCCAGGCTCTTTTTTTTTTTTTTTTTTTTGAGTCAGAGTCTTGCTCTGTTGCCCAGGCTGGAGTGCAGTGGCACAATCTCAGCTCACTGCAACCTCGGTGTTCCAGGTTCAAATGATTGTCCTGCCTCAGCCTCCCGAGTAGCTGGGACTACAGGCATGCACCACCATGCCCAGATAACGTTTGTATTTTTAGGAGAGATGCGGTTTCACCATGTTGACCAGGCTGGTCTTGAACTCCTGACCTCAGGTGACCCACTGCACCCGGCCCAAATTTTTTTTTTTCTCAGACGGAGTCTCACTCTGTTGCCTAGGCTGGAGTGCAGTGGTGTGATCTTGGCTCACTGCAACCTCTACCTCCCAGGTTCAGCGATTCTCCTGCCTCAGCCTCCCGAGTAGCTGGGATTACAGGCATGTGCCGCCATGCCCAGCTACTTTTTTGTATTTTTAGTGGAGATGGGGTTTCACCGTGTTGGCCAGGCTGGTCTCAAACTCCTGACCTCAAGTGATCCACCCACCTTGGCCTCCCAAAGTGCTGGGATTACAGGCATGAGCCACCACTCCCGGCCCCTGATTTTTGTATTTTTAGTAGAGATGGGGTTTCGCCACATTGGCCAGGCTGGTCTCGAACTTCTGACCTCAGGTGATCCACCCACCTCGGTCTCCCAAAGTGCTGGGATTACAGGCGTGAGCCCCTGTACCCAACCTCATTCTTAAAGCCTTCCTATATTTAACCAGTCCCCAGCAGATGACGTACATTATACCCTGCATTCTGTTTCTCATACATGTTCTTGCGCAAATTTAACTGCAGGGTAAGTTTCTAGAAGGGAAATTCCATAGTCTAGACTAAAGGTTACTGGTAGGCCAGGTATCTCAACCTATATTTGGTTCTCAGATCCAAAGGTAGGATTTACAGAACAAAATTGCTTCATGTTCAGTGGGGTTGCACATGCCAGCTGCAGGTGAGAGCTCTGGGGATTTGCATGCTGTCAGCCAACACCCTAGCCACCTGGAGAGGTCCTCTGTTGAATTAACTGCCCAGCATCTGTCCACCCTGTGGACCACCCACAGCAGTGTTGCCTTCAAAAACTTGCCTGCTGGTCGGGCACAGTAGCTCATGCCTGTAATCCCAGCACTTTGGGAGGCCGAGGCAGGCGGATCACATGAGATCAGGAGTTCAAGACTAGCCTGGCCAACATGGTGAAACCCTGTCTCTACTAAAAATACAAAAATTAGCGGGGCATGGTGGTACACGCCTGTAGTCCCAGCTACTTGGGAGGCTGAGGCAGGAGAATCCCTTGAACGTGGGAGGCAGAGGTTGCAGTGCACCGAGATGACGCCACTGTACTCCAGCCTGGGTGACAGAGCGAGAATCCACCTCAAAAAACAAACAGGCCGGGCGCGGTGGCTCACGCCTGTAATCCCAGAACTTTGGGAGGCCGAGGCAGGTGGATCACGAGGTCAGATCGAGACCATCCTGGCTAACACAGTGAAACCCCGTCTCTATAAAAATACAAAAAATCAGCCGGGTGTGGTGGCGGGCGCCTGTAGTCCCAGCTACTCGGGAGGCTAAGGCAGGAGAATGGCATGAACCCGGGAGGCGGAGTTTGCAGTGAGCCAAGATCGCGCCACTGCACTCCAGCCTGGGCGATAGAGCGAGACTCCGTCTCAAAAACAAACAAACAAACAAACAAACAAAAAACTTGCCTGTTAATTCTCATTTCTGAGATCCTGCAGCTACCTTGGGTGGTGGCCTGTCCAAGCCTGGCCTTTGTTTTGTTTTGTTTATTTGTTTTGAGACAGTCTTGTTCTGTTACCCAGGCTGGAGTGCAGCGGCGTGATCATGGCTCACTGCAGCCTCAAACTCCTGGGCTCAAGCGATCCTCCCACCTCAGCCTCCCAAGTCTTTGGGATTATAGGCGTGAGCCACCGTGCTGGCTTGCCTTTGGTTCTCTGAACTACTCCAGTTCTTTCCACTAAATCCACCCCCCTCTTTTTTCCCCTTTGGTTAATCAGAATCCATATCTTTTGCTCCAGATCAAAGAACCCTACCCGATGATCCCTTCTCCATTCACAAAATCAATAACATACTCAAAATCAATAAACAGCTGACCGAGCACAGTGGCTCACGCCTGTAATCCCAGCACTTTCGGAGGCAGAGGTGGGCGGATCACAAGGTCAGGAGTTCGAGTCCAGACTGACCAACATGGTGAAACCCCGTCTCTACTTAAAAAATACAAAAATTAGCTGGGCGTGGTGGTGTGCACCTGTAATCCCAGCTACTTGGGAGGCTGAGGCAGGAGAATGGCTTGAACCCGGGAGCCCGAGATTGCAGTGAGCTGATATCATGCCACTGTACTCCAGCCTGGGTGACAGAACGAGACTCCATCTCAAAAAAAAAAAAAAAAAAAAAAAAAAGAATGTGGCCGGGCGCGGTGGCTCACGCCTGTAATCCCAGCACTTTGGGAGGCCGAGGCAGGTGGATCACCAGGTCAGGAGTTCGAGACCAGCCTGGCCAATTTGGTGAAACCCCGTCTCTACTAAAAAATACAAAAATTAGCCAGGCATGGTGATGGGCGCCTGTCCCAGGCTGTTTTTATGTTATGTGGGGATGAGGCACTGACCCTGTGGGCCGGGATCTCTCTGGGGACGCTTCCCTTGCTTTTTGTCTACACTCCTTAAGGCAAACTACTTGGGAGGCTGAGGCAGGAGAATCACTTAAACCCGGGAGGCGGAGGTTGCAGTGAGCTGAGATCGCGCCACTGCACTCCAGCCTGGGCGACAGAGCAAGAATCCATCTCAAAAAAAAAAAAAAAAAGTAACAAGACTCTTAACAGCTGTGGAGATCTGTGCCTATTCTGAGTGCTTCTCCACTACTTCCTGATACTGATTTAGCTCTGTGTATATATTTGTTGAAGTAATGCTTAGATCTTAGTTGTATTCATCCAGTGCCCTCCCAATCATGTTTTGTGTGGAATAGCAAATCACTTTCTGCTTGTATTCCAAAAATGTTGCAGAAAGACTTGCCACCCTGCTGGGGACTGTCCCTGCCCCCTGACCACTTCTGGCCTGCCTTACACTCGATTATTTTGGGCAAAAAGTGCAAATCAAGACTGAGATGTCAGGCCAGGTGCAGTGGCTCATGCCTGTAATCCCAACACTTTGGGAGCCGATGGATCACTCAAGCCCAGGAGTTCAAGACCAGTCTGAGTAACATGGCGAAAAAAACCTGTCTTTACAAAAAGTAAAATAATTAGTGAGGCGTGATGGCATGCGCACACCTGTAGTCTCAGCTTCTCGGGATAGTCACAGCTACTTGGGAGGCTGAGGTGGGAGGATCACCTGAGGCCAGGGACACAGGTACATCAAGGCTGCAGTGGGCTGTGATCACACCACTGCACTCCAGCCTGAGTAACAGAGTAATACCCTGTTTCAAAAAAAAAAAAAAGAAAGAAAGAAAGAACAAACAAAGAAAAAAAACAAAAAGGAAAAGGAAAAAGAAAGAGAGAGAGAGAGAGAGAGATAATCCAGGACTTTTTTTGAAGGGAGAGGGAAACAGGACTGTCTGACACGCGGGAAAATTGCTTGAATTCTCCAGCCTTCCCATTTGGATGCTTTTCTCTTTGCGTGAACACAGCCATAAGCTGGCTCGTTATAGAGGCATAGGCAGTGGTTGAAAATACAGGTCCTAGCAACAAGGAAGTCTGGGTTTGAATCCAGACTCAGCCACTTTCCAGCTGTGTGACCTGGGAGAAGTCACTGTTCCTCTCTGAGCCTGGAGCTACCTGCATCACTACCCTGAACTGATGAATGGAAAGCACTTGGTACAAAATCCAGCACATACTTGGCACACATAACTCACAGCTCGGTGTAATTAGAAGAATGCCAGGAGGACTGGCCTGCACGCTGGAAGGGGCTCTAGACAAGGCTGACCATCAGGATCCACTGGTTGGTCCAGAGATCTCGGAACAGACTGGTTCTCCCCGCCGCTTCTGCCTCCCACTCACCTCCACCCGTTCATGCAACTGTAGTTTTCTTAGCCCCTGAAACCGGGTTGGGGCTGCCGCAGGGGCCATCAGGCTGTGAGGGAGGCTGACGCGGACACAGTAGGTAAGAGGCCAAGATGTACAGTCCTGAAAGAGGGCAGGAGGCTGGTGACTCAGTGGGTGAGAAAATGCAAAGGCTGGGGCTATCTTAGCCCAGAAAAGGACAAATTTTTTTTCCCCAAATTATTTTCCTTCTTTTGTCTCTTTCTCCCCTCCCTCTCTCGCTCCTTCCTGCTTTTCTTCCTTTCCCTCCGTTACTTTCTTTAATCCAAAGGAAATTTAAGTGGAGGACATAAAAGCATATGCTGTTATTAATTTTTGCAAATGTCCTTAACTGAGAGGCACTGAGCAGAAAGAAGAACACAATTGCATCTCCATTATCTTCATCTGGGCCACCAGATACCAGCCACCCACTCTCTCAGACAATGGCAGAAAGGACAAGCCAGCCCCCAGGGACCCGGCCCTGCCAGCTTACCTGTTGGCACACCTCCCCTGAGCACTGCAGCCTCACCAACTGTCTGGGGTCCCTGAGACTGCCTGCTCACACTCACCTCTGAGCCTTCCTGTCTGCTGTTCCCTCTGCCTGGAACATCCTCTCCACTCCCCCTTAGACCCCCTCTAGCAGCTGTCCTGGCTGACTGCTAATTGGCTTTAGGATTCAGGGAGGCATCCTGCCTTGGGTGCCTTCTTTGATGGCCACAGATCAAGTTAGGGGTCTTCTCTGGCTGCTTATCCTCATAGCACCTGCTCCCGGATGTGACAGACAGCTTCAGTTTTGTCACCCTGTGGTCCAGCAGCTTTCTGAGGGAGGGCTGGGACCAGCTCTCATTTACCTGTGTCTCTCACCCCTGCAAGGTTCTGGCCACAGCAAGCAATGCCTAAGCACATATTTGTGGAGTAAAGGTATAAAAGACAAGGCATCCCAGATGGGCGTGGTGGCTCAATCCTAGCACTTGGAGAGTCTGAGACGGGAGGATCACTTGAGGGCAAGAGTTTCAGACCAGCCTGGGCAACCCAGTGAGACCCCATCTCTACAAAAAAAACATATTTTTGTTTGTTTGTTTGTTTGTTTGTTGTTTTTTAATTAGCCAGGCGTATTGGTGTGCACCTGTAATCTCAGCTACTTGAGAGGCTGAGGTGGGAGGATCTGTTAAGCCCAGGAAGTTGAGGCTGCAGTGAGTTATCATCCCACCACTGCACTTCAGCCTGGGCAATGGAGCAACACCCTGTCTCAAAAAAAAAAAAAAAAAAAAGGCAAGACATCAAGACATCCCTGGAGGAAGCCACTCTGTAGACCACAGGCTAACAGAGCATGGTTGAGCAGGGAGGAGTTGGGAGCTGCACCCAGCACCTCACACAATGTTATCATGGAGCTGGGGACAGAGCAGGTTCCAGAGCTGGGTTTGAGTCCCAGCTCCTCCGATGATGATATGACACCCCAGACATGTGCAGGGATGTCCTCTAAGCCTCAGCTTCCTCACTGCAATTTGGGGCTCTGTCTCTTTCTGGCAGGGAGTTATTGGGAAGACCAAATGAGATCATGTCCCCCTCCCAAACCCTGCAAGGCCTTTGCGTCACAGTTAGAATGAAGTCTACATATAGCCCTGTCCACTCGCAGCCTGCCTCCCTTCCCCATTCGCACCCTTACACACGGAGCCCCCTCCAACCTCCCCCCCACACACACTGAGCCCTGTGCTCTTTCCTCTGCCCAAATGGCCCTTCCCTCAGACATCTAGATGTCCATCCTCCTTCCCTCAGTCTGCCTCTCGGAGCAGTCTTCCCGACCACTACAACGATGCCTCCCCAACCCCGGCCTGCGTCACTCCCCACGCCCACCCTGCTTTGCAGCATCGCTCCCTGGCTGACATTACATCATGCATTTATTTCTTTGCTTATTGTCTCCCTCCCCTCCATGAGGGCAGGAACCTTCATCTGTCTTGTTGACAGTAGCATCCCTAGAACCTAGCTCAGGCCTGACTCACAGTGTGTGCTCAGTCCACATTTGGGAAACCAATGGAGAGATGAATGGCACAGAGATGCGCTCAGGAACCCAGTTCCCTGACCTCCCATCCAGGCTGCACCCCTCAGGAGTCTAGGTTCCTGCTGATTGGTAGAGTTCAGGACCCAGGGCTGGAAAGTGTCCACCCACAGGGCAGATGGGCCAAGGCCATGTGCTCAAGGTGTGCAGGGCTAGGAGAGGGGGTCAGCCCCAGCTCCCATATGAGGGGCATGTGCCTCGCCTTGCCCCTGCTTTGGCTAGAGGGTACCCTGTTCACCAGAGATGAGCCTAGGCTCTCCCCGGGCCCGGCTCTGGCTTTACCCCAGAGCCCTCCAACTCGCAGACCTCCAGGCAAGGAGGGCTGGGGACCCACCCGTCCCAGCCATTTGCCTTTTCTCCAGTAACAGAGCCCAGAGGGGTCCCTGCCTGGGCCCAAAATCACACAGCAGATTGGGGTAGAGCCGGAGAAGACCCGAGACTCCTGTGCCAGCCTGGGCATCCCCTCCACTGCCAGGGAAGGACTGCATCCAAGTCGCATCCGTACCCAGGCCGAGGTGTCCGAGGCCCAGGCTGAAATCCGGTTGCTGCTGCAGAGACCAAGTTTCCAAGGCCTTGTCAAGAAGTGGGCTGTGCCAGACGATCCCCAGGCCTGTCATTGGCTGCTCTTCGGCTCGGACACACCAAACCTCACCAAGCACTTCCATTTCTGAGGGAATAGAGGTTGTGGCTTCCGTCAAGCACCCATTTACCCCACCCTCCTCCTCCTCTTCCTGCAAACTTGAGTCACAGCTGCCCTGCTGGGCTCAGGCCCCAGGGATGTCTGAGTCAGCCTGGCTGGGGTTCCAGTCCTGACACCGCCCTTACCAGCTGGGAGACTCCGGGAACCTCCAACCCTGCTGAGCCTCCACTTCGACATCTGTGAAACAGCCATGAACAAGCAGGTCTCAAAGGTCGACTCCTGTATGCAGGGACACAGCATGCAGTAGGTGCCCAATCATAACAGCAGCACCCACCTGGAGCCCCTTATAGCAGCCCTTCTCCTCTGCACTTCTACATGGCATCTCATTTAACCTTCACCACAACCCAACTAGGAAGGCACCATCATTATCCCATTTTACTGATGAAGAAACTGAGGCCCAGGAAGGTGAATTTACCAGCCAGCTCACAAATGGACTAGTAGATGGCAGTTTGTGGATTGGAGCCCAGAGGCTGTGCTCCTGCCCACACCCTCTCAAATGAGGGCTATAAAATAACACTCTAAGAGCTCTTCCTACGTGCCTGGCAGTGTACTAAGAATTTGAGTCTTCAGTACGTTCAATCTTCACAACAGCCCTATGAGGTGGGGGTTATGAGGAGCCACCATTTTACAGATGGGTAAGTCAAGACACAGAGAGAGGATGTGGCTTGCCACAGACCACATGGCTGGTGAGCATAGGAGCCAAGATTCCAACCCGTTTCCCATCCTGGCCAAGAATAACACTCCTGCTTCTTCATTTCTCCGAAAGAAGCCATGCTGTCTCCATCCCTGGCTGTGACTTGGGCTGCTTGTCCCTTCTCTGCCCACCCACCCACCCCCAGGGCTGTGCCGGGGAAAGAAGGTGGTTCCTGGAGCCCTCTAGCCTCTGAAAAGCATGGCAGTGGCGCAACGTAGAGGATGGGCTTAAAGCCAAAGAAACACAGCTTCTTTTGTTGTTGTTGTTGTTGTTTGGGTTTTTGTTTTTGTTTTGTTTTGAGACAGAGTCTCACTCTGTCCCGAGAGTGCAGTGGTGTGATCCTGGCTCTCTGCAAGCTCTGCCTCCTGGGTTCACGCCATTCTCCTGCCTCAGCCTCCCGAGTAGCTGAGACTACAGGCACCTGCCACCAAGCTCAGCTAATTTTTTGTATTTTTAGTAGAGACAGGGTTTCACCATGTTAGCCAGGATGGTCTCGATCTCCTGACCTCATGATCCACCCACCTCGGCCTCCCAAAGTGCTGGGATTACAGGCATGAGCCACCGTGCCCAGTCTTTTTTTTTTTTTTTTTTTTTTAAGACGGAGTCTTGCTCCGTTGCCCAGGCTGGATGCAGTGGCACGATCTCGGCTCACTGCAACCTCCACCTCCTGGGTTCAAGCAATTCTCCTGCCTCAGCCTCCCGAGTAGCTTGGATTACAGGCGTGTGCCACCACGCCTGGCTAATTTTTGTATGTTTAGGGTTTTGCCATCTTGGCCAGGCCAGTCTCGAACTCCTGACTTCAGGTGATCCGCTCACCTCGGCCTCCCAAAGTGCTGAGATTACAGGCGTGAGCCACCATGCCTGGCCAAGAAACATGGGTTCTAATCCCAATGCCCCCGCTTCCTAGCTATGGGACCTTGATTGAGTCCTGTACCGTGCCTCAGTTTCCCCACTTATAAAAAGAGGTTACTAAAAAGGATGCTTCACTCAAGGGTGTGAAGACCCAGTGAATGAAGTGTTAATAAGAGCTCCACGTATAGCGATGCTGCTGTTCAGCTGCACCAGGGTGGACTCCCTTGACTTGCTGGGAGTTACAATGAGGAAGGAAGGACCGTTAAACCTGTAGGTCTTTCCAGAGAAAGTGCGTTTCCTAAAACCAAATCCTGCCCTTGCTCCAAAACTGTCAGTGGTGGTTTCCCATGACCACGCCACAGTCCCAGGGTCTCCCCTGGCCTTCAAGGCTGGCACAGTCTGACCCTGCCAACGTCCCTAGTGCCACCATCTGTCAGCCCCTCCTTGCTCCTGCTCCTGGTCTGCACATGCTGTTCTCTTTGCCAAGAATGCCATTTCCCCAGCCCCCTGGTCCCGATGGGGAACACCTCCTCATCCTTCAAAGCCAAGCTGGAAGGGAACATCTTTGGAGATGCCGCTTGACCTCCCAGGCAGAAGGGGTCATTCTCCCTGGAGATGTGGTCACGTCATTAACCACACTGGGTTAGAATCATCAGAAGCTGTTCCTGCCTCTTCCGTCAAGCAAGGGGCTCTGGAGGCCAGAAAATGCCTATGAATCATGCCCACACCCCCAGAGCCCAGCATGGGGCGGGCTCAGGTTAGGTCAATCGTGTTTGAAGACTGAATAAATGAATGTCTTCATTTGCTACCCTCAGAAGCCCAGTCCGGAAAAATATTCCAGTGCAAGGTTTTTGGCTTGAATGAGATCCCAAGAATCACCTTCAGGTTGTCAGGAAAATGATACAGGGAAGGGAAGGAGCCAACAAAGGGTATGGGAATGAGCACATAACACTATGGACAGCTGGGGAACCTTGGGCGATGATGCAGAACTGTTTATCACTAACTCTCACCAGGTCAGTTGTGCATCAAGGCTACTCGGGGGATAGCACTTTACAGCCTACTCTAGCACCACGGTGGCCTTCTGGGGCAGGGGCCAGCAGGCTGCAGCTGCTGGATGAAGCCCCCAGGCAGAGTCGCTGGTCCTCAGGTGCTCAAGCTTAGCTGGAAGCCTTCAGGTTGCTGTGCAATGGAATAGTGAGTACCCAGAGGATATGTGCGTGTGTTACAGTGAGTGAGTGAATGAACGAATGAATGGAGAATCAAGAAAAGAGCCGCGTATCTTCAGTCATTGAGCAGACACGGGCCTTCTGCTGTGTGGCCCTGGACGAGCCATCATGCCTCTCTGACCCTGGTTTCCTCTTCTATAAAGCAGGAATGCTAGCCCAGCCTCCCAGGAGATAAAGGGTGGGAGGTCCCCAGAGAGTGAGAAGGGTTCCACCTGGGCTCCCAGACTCAATCTCAGCTCCAGGAAGCAGGACATGGCCCCAGTGAGGGTTCTCTGTGGGTGAAGAAGCCACAGAAGGCAGGCACAGTGCCCTGGTTGGAACCACAGGGGCCCCGAAGCAACCACATCATGGCCACCACAGCCTCCACCATCCCACAGCAATTTCCGCTGCTGCCTCTCCCAGGGCAAGATCTCCCACCAGTGGCTGGCTGTCCCCTCTGCCAGCACCTGCCCCGGGTGGGCCCTGCAGCATGGCCATGGCTGCTGCAAGGCAGGCTGGCAGCTGCTCCTGTGTGCAGCAGCGTGTCTGCTTTGAAAAGCCACAGAGACTCCTGTGGTTAGGGGCTCATGTTACAGTAGCACACGTTCGAATCCCAGTTCTACTACTTGTGACTGTGGGAAAGTAATTTCACCCCAGTCCTCTCTGGTCTCATTGATCAAATGGAACTAACATTCTATTGTCCCCTCTGGTGGTCTCAACTCCAGCAGTTTGTGAGATGGTTGCCTTCACTGTTTTCCCTACTGCAAAACCCATAAGGACACAGTTATCTTGCCTCCTGCCCCAACCCCAGGGTCTTGAACACAGTAAGTGCTCGATAAATGCTTGGTAAATACATGAATTATTGTCTGACCCGCCTTGCTCTTCCAGTCCAAACTTAAATGTCGCCTCCTCCAGGCAGCTTTCCCTGATTCCTTCCCCGAGTTCCCAGAATCTCTTCCAACTCCTTTAACCTCTTTCCTGCAGCTGCCTGGCCTACTGGGTGTGGCCGCCAGTTATCGGACCCCGCACCCTCCACCTACCTTTCCCCAGGTTTGCGCGGGGCCTGCCGGCCTGCCCGCCCGCCCCGAGGGAATGAAGGGCTGGAAGGAAGGGGAGGGAGAAAGGAGGCGGCGCAGATACATCCAGAAGGGGAGGCGGCGGGGGATTCTCGAAGGCCCGGCCAAGACCCGCAGCCTCAGCAAGCCAAGATGCGAGCAGGGGGCCGGCCGGAAGGAGGCGGGGGAGGGGCGGCCAGGGAGCTGGACGCTAGCGGGCGGACGGGCGGGGGCGGCGGGGGTGGCGGGAGGGTTGGGGGCGGGGGCCTGGTATTTCCTGAGGCCCTTCAGGAAATGCTCTGGGCCGCCCCTGGGCGGGATCGGCGGTGGGATGGGTCTGGGAGGGATCCACAGGCTCCTTCCCTGCGCTGCCCTGGACTCTCTGGCGCGCTGTCTCTGCGGGCCCTCTTCCCCGTCGAGGAGGCGCTGCTCAAGCCCCATTTCACGGAGGAAGAAACCAAGACTCAGAGAGGGCCACCGGGGTCACAGTCTCTCCTGCACAGTTCTGCGGCTGCGCCAGCGCCGGCCCGCTCCCTCCACGCCCCCGGCCCCTGTCAGGGCTGCGGCAGCCGCAGAACCCCCGGGCCGGGCTCCCTATGGCAGGGCCAGGGCGGAGGACTGGGAGACGGGGCGGGAAGGCGAGGCGGGGCCCGGCGTATCCCACGCACAGACCGCGCAGCGCGCACAGCCCCGGCCCTCAGGGAGAGCAGTGCTGGCTGCCCTGCCCCGGATCGTCCTCCCCTGCCTCGGCCCGGACACGGCCAGGCAGGACCCCGCGACACATCCGACGCCCCACCTCACACTCGGGACCCTGAGACACTCACTGTTCACCTAACGACTCGCTCCCTCCTCCGCTGACGGAGGAGTCAGTCCATCGGGACTGGATGGGCTCCGTGTGCTCGAGTTCAAATCCTGCCTCACCACCCGCTGGCTGGCGCTTTTCTTGTCTAAGAAGAGCACCGCAGTTCCCTCTGTGTGGTGGGGATAACAGCACAGCCTGCCTCAGAAAGTTGCAGTGAGAACTAAATGCGTTCTGCTGGGCGCGGTGGCTCAGGCCTTAATCCTAGCACTTTGGGAGGCCGGGCCTGAGGACGGCTTGAGGTCAGGAGTTCGAGACTAGCCTGGTCAACATTGTGAGACCCCCCCCCCCCGTCTCTACAAATTTGTTTTTTTTTGTTGTTTGTTTGTTTGTTTTTTAGCCGGAGTCTCGCTCTATCGCCCAGGCTGGAGTGCAGTGGCGCGATCTCAAGTGAGCGATCTCAGCTCACTGCAACCTCTGTCTCCCGAGTTCAAGCGATTCTCCTGCCTCATCCTCTCGAGTAGCTGGGACTACAGGCGCGTGCCACCACGCCTGGCTAATTTTTTGTATTTTTGCTAGAGACGGGGTTTCACCGTGTTAGCCAGGATGGTCACAATTTCCTGACCTCGTGATCCGCCCGCCTGAGCCTCCCAAAGTGCTGGGATTACAGGCGTGAACCACCGCGCCCGGCCTACAAAATATTTTTAAAACGCGTCGATCAGTATAAAGCGCTGTGCCTGGCACATCCTGTGCTCAATCTGCTATTGTGACAAAATCGTGCTCAGGCCCCTGCCACCTGCAAACAAAGTCTCTCTCTCTTTGACATTTTCCCACCACCGTTTCAACCTGCGCAGTCTCTCCTTTTCTCTCTCCTTCTGAATTTTAACAAATATCCCTCTTCTGTAAAGTGGCTGAAAAAAAAAAAAAAGGAAAACAAATCACAATGGCTTAGACAAATAAGGGTTTATTTCCCTTATCACTGTGAACCCGGAGACCAGCCATGGCTGGCATTGTTTCCCCAGCCCAGTGATGGCAGGGCTGACGTCCTCTGTAATGCGCTTGGCGTTTCCCCCTTGTTTACAGCGTGGCTGATGCTGCTCCTGGCGTTGCATCTGCCTCCGCATTTAAGACAGAAAGGAAAAGGAATGGTTACTTTCAGGGTTAATTGAAAGCGTTTGTCACTTTCGTCAATAATTTCCCAGGCACCCCGCCCCCCTCACCCCCCACCCCCACCCCTGCCACACACACATAATGAGATCTAATGAGACTCCTTAGATGTCATTGGCCAAAACTGTGTCACATGGTCACTCCCAGCTGCAACAAAGGCTGAGAAGGTAAGTAGTTTCTCTTTTCCAGCCTCCACAGTGGAAAGCAGCAGGGAAGAGGGGAATTGGGAATGGTACACAAGGATCAGTCAGCTATTATAATAGTGTCTACCACACCTTCCCCCTCCGTCTTCTTCCAGCCCCTACACTCCCCAGGACCTGCCTTCCAGCCACCCCTGACCTCCTCCTTCATCCAGGGGCCACCTGTTTCCATTTCTTTTGGGATATCAGAAGCTCAGAACTCTGGGGCTGCACTTTTACAGGGTAGCAATCAGATGACGCTGAGTAGAACCGCATCTTTCTTTTCTTTTCTTTCTTTTTTTTTTTTTTTTGAGACAGAGTCTCACTCCATCACTCCAGTCTGCACACTAGGCTGGAGTGCAGTGGTGTGAACACTGTAGCCTTGAGCCCCCGGGCCCAGGTGATCCTCCTACCTCAGCCTCTCAAATGGCTGGGACTATAGGTACATGCCACCATGCTCAGCTAATTTTTTTTGTTTATTTTTTTGTAGAAACAGCGTCTCTTGCCAGGCGCGGTGGCTCACACCTGTAATTCCAGCACTTTGGGAGGCCAAGGCAGGTGGATCACAAGGTCAGGAGTTCGAGACCAGCCTGGCCAATATGAAACCCTGTCTCTACTAAAACTACAAAAATTAGCCAGGTCTGGTTGTGGGCACCTGTAGTCCCAGCTACTTGGGAGGCTGAGACAGGAGAATCGTTTGAACCCGGGAGGCGGAGGTTGCAGCGAGCCGAGATCACGCCACTGCACTCCAGCCTGGGTGACAGAGTGAAACTCTGTCTCAAAAAAAAAAAAAAAGAAAAGAAAAGAAAAAGAAACAGCGTCTCTTACTCTGTTGCCCAGGCTGGTCTCAAACTCCTGGTCTCAAGCGATCCACACACCTTGGCCCCCCAAAGTGCTGAGATTACAGGTTTGAGCAGCGCACCTGGCTTTCCATACTCAGATTCTGAAACACAGATCTCATCGTATCACTCCTCTGGCTCAAAATCACCCTTAATAATTGGCTCTACTAGAGCCCCATTTCCCTATACTCCCTGCCTTTGAATATCTCACTGTTGCAACACTGAAACACTTAAAGAATCTCCTCTGCTTTCTCTCTGGTTGCTTCTAGGATCTCCTCTTTGACTTTGGTGTTCTATATTTTCACTACAATATGTCCAGACATGAATTTCTTCCTACCTATCTTGCTTGGGATTCATTGGATCTCTAGAATCTATGCATTTGGTGGTGCTTATTAGATATGGAAAAAAAGTCAGACTTCATGTTTTCAAATATTGAATTTGTCTCGTTTTCCCTTCTCTGTCTGGAACTGCTACCTATGTTAGCTCTTCCTGTTGTATTCTCCCTGGCTCCTAACCACTTTTTTTCTTTGTTTTCTCCTCCTCCTCTTCCTCCTCCTCCTCTTCTTCTTCGTCTTCTTCTTCTTCTCCTCTCCCTCCTCCTCATCCTTCTCCTTCTCCTCCTCCTTCTTCTTCTCCTTCTCCTTGCTACTGCTGCCACCTCCTCCTCCTCCTCCTCCTCCTCCTCCTCCTTCAGCTTTCTCAGGTTGAATTCTTCTTTCCCCCCTGCCCCCATTTTCCATTTATTTTTCTTTCTGGGTTGAATTCTGGATAATTTCTTCAAATCCATCTTCCAGATCATGAATTCTCTATTCAGCTTTGTCTAAACTGTCGTTTAAACTCTCCATTGAGTTTTTAATATGTTACTAGGTGTTAAATTTCTAGAAGCTCCATTTATTTCTCCTGCACATTTGCTTAGTTCTTCTCATTCCTCACCCTTTGCTCATGTTGCTCCATCTTCTCCCACCTCTTCTCCTGGCAAATTCCTATACAACCCATTTCTTTCCATCCCCAGGGAGCTTTCCCTGACCTCCAGGATGGACTGGGGCTTTCTTGGGCCCTTCAGTCCCTGGGACTCCTTTGTCACAGCACTGATCACCTTCAGCCATGATTGGCTGGGTCTGGATCTGGATCTGCCTCCCCCCCTCAGACCTGTGCTTCTAATAAGCAGGGGCCATATCTGCATCCTCTCTCAGGGATAAGTACAGGTGGTTTTCAATAAACTTGTATAAAATAAAAGCAATTTCCTTAGCCCCCCCATCACTCCTTAGTCTTACTTGTTGTTTCATTTACTTATTTTTCTTTTCTGTAAAGTATATTACTTACTGCCAGCTACATGCAATCAATTGTAAAATACTTTCAATAACTAAAAATTGAATAATGGTAAAAAAAAAAACACACATCAGCTTTCAGTATAATTTGCTTAAATTGTTCTAGAAAACACTGCTAATTTTTGTTTCTGCAGAGTGAAGTACAGAAGTGAGCAGACTGATAAATTTTTTTTTTTTTTTTTTGGAGACAGGGTCTCACTCTCTTGCCCAGGCTGGAGTGCAGTGGTGCCATCACAGCTCACTGCAGCCTTGATCTCCTGGGATCAAGTGATCCTCCTGCCTCAGCCTTCTGGGTAGCAGGGACTATAGGTGTGTGCCACCATGCCTGGCTAATTAAAAATACTTTTTTTTGTTTGTTTTTTTGTAGAAACAGGGTCTCACTATGTTGTCCATGCTGTTCTCAAACTCCTAGGCTCAAGTGATCCTCTGGCTTCGGCCTCCCAAAGTGGTGAGATTACAGGTGTGAGCCACCACACCCAGCCCAGATTGATAAATTTATAAACATCATGGAAAGAATGATAGAAAGGAACTGGAGCCACTTGAATGACATTTGGATTCCACTTGTCATAAACCACTCCTCTTTTTTCTACCTCTTGGAAAACATCTTTCTTTGGAACAGAAAAATGTTAGTGTCAGCTGGCAGCCCTGATCCTCCATATGGGATGGAGTAATGGTCACCTCCAGGTCACCATTGGCTTCTTAGATTCTGCTTTATTTTTGCCATAGCAGTGCTAGATCAGGTATTCCAGATAACCAGTCAGCAAAATAGATTTTCTCCACAATGCTTTAATCGCTGCCTGCCTAAAGATCTCTAAACTGTAAGAAACAGACCAACAAAATGGGAGGATTTGAAATTTGGAATCCACTAACCCCAGGGATTAACTGCAGTTGGTTATCCATCTCAAATCTGGTGCTGAGTTCACAGCCAAACCACCCCAGCAGCACAGCTTTAATCATACGGGCATGCTTTTCATGGAAAAAGTACCTGCCAGACCTCCTGCTCCTGCATTCAAATTATTGTGGGAACACCAGTGGGCAAAGTCAACTCTTCTGTCACGTAAGTGAGTTCAGCATTTCCAACTGTACATGCTAGATCAAGCCAGCAAAACATCCCTTCACTTGTCCAGCTTTCGTGGTAGCAGGTATATTAAAGAGCTGCCTAGTATAAAAATGCAGCCCACTGAACAGGATTGCTGTAATTGAGCCTCCTCCCTTCTCAATTGCTTCAGGGATATCCTTTATTTTATTTTATTTATTTATTTATTTTTCTCAGATGGAGTCCTGCTGTGTCACCCAGGCTGGAGTGCAGTGACGCTATCTTGACTCACTGCAACCTCCACCTCCTGGGTTCAAGTGATTCTCCTGTCTCAGCCTCCTGGGTAGCTGGGATTACAGGCATGCATCACCACACCCAGCTAATTTTTCTTTTTTTTTTTTTTTTGAGACGAAATCTCTCTCTTGTCCCCCAGGCTGGAGTGCAATGGCACGATCTCAGCTCACTGCAACCTCCACCTCCCGGGTTCAAGCGATTCTCTTGCCTCAGCCTCCAGAGTAGCTGGGATTACAGGCGCCTGCCACGACGCCCACGCCCAGCTAATTTTTGTACTTTTAGTAGAGACGGGGTTTCACCGTGTTGGCCAGGCTGGTCTCAAACTCCTGACCTCTGGTGATCCACCGGCCTCGGCCTCTCAAAGTGCTGGGATTACAGGCATGAGCCACCGCGCCCGGCCAATATCCTTTATTCTTAAGGTTTCCTCCCCCGTCTTGGCTTTATAATCCCCTTTCCTCAATGTTAACTCCATGGAGTCGTAGCTGTGACTCAACAGTATAATGATTAAAAGAGAAAGCTTTGGCTTCTATAAGAATTTTATACCATTTGGTATAGGCTTAAACAATAACTGGACTAAGGCTGGGCGCGGTGGCTCACACCTGTAATCCAAGGAGTTCGAGACCAGCCTGTGCAACATGGCAAGACCCCATCTCTACAAAAAAATACAAAAATTAGTCTGGCGTGGTGGTGTGTGCCTGTAGTCCCAGCTACCTGGGAGGTTAAGATGGGAGGATCACCTGAGCCCGGGAAGTTGAGGCTGCAGTGAGCTGTGATTGTGCCACTGCACTCCAGCCTGGACAACAGAGTGAGACCCTGGGTAACAGTAGAAGATGTAGATTAACAGTCAGCGCATTCACTAGGGCTATTTCTTTCTCGTAGGCTCCTATAGTCCTTCTGTAGGCCTACAATACTCTCATCTCTGTATCCCAAGGATGCTGCCTTCTTCGTGACCATAGGCTCCCATTTTGCCCCACTCAACTAGCTCTTCTTCAAGATCTGTTTTAACCATTTTTGGTTGAAGGCCAAGAGGATTTTCCAGGAAATAGATAGCATTTTCATCCTTATTCACTAAAGATAAATCAACTGGAGGCAGATCCTGCATTTTGGGGACATAAAAATACTCCCCAGCTGGGCACGGTGGCTCACGCCTGTAATCTGAGCACTTTAGGAGGCCGAGGTGGAAGGACCACTTGAGGCCAGGAGTTTGAGAGCAGCCTGGGCAACAAAGCAAGACCCCCTCTCTGGAAAAAAATTAAAAAATTAGCCGGCATAGTGGTGCAAGCCTGTGATCCCAGCTACTGAGGAGGCTGAGGTGGGAGAATCCCTTGAGCCCAAGAGTTCCAGGCTGCAGTGAATCAAGACCGCACAACTGCAGTCAGCCTGGGTGACGGAGTGAGGCCCTGTCTCAAAAAAATTAAAAACAAACAAACAAAAAAACCTCCCTGAAGTGCCTTAGCTTATGTTCCTGAACTAGGTGGAAACTGTCCCTGTCATCTGCTTGGCGGCATTTGAGTTCAACCATCATGCTCTGCACTGTGACAGCTGACAAATTGTTCTCGGCTAGAATTCTTATGTGATCCTCAGCTCCCAGAACCCCTCAAGAAACTTCTCAAGCATTCTTTACAAAGGTATAGGCAAGACCACCTCAAACGACAGTGCCTCCACTCAGGGCTCCTTCCCCTAATCAGACTCAGGTAAACAAACACTTTCTTCCATGTACTTGCTTTTAACTTCATTAATTCACTTCCCCATCTGTAAATTCATTTCCTCATTCATTCATTTATTCATTATTCACTCGATAAGTCTTTTCTTTTCTTTTCTTTTCTTTTCTTTTTTTTTTTTTTTTGAGACAGAGTCTCGCCCTGTCGCCCAGGCTGGAGTGCAGTGGTGCAATCTCGGCTCACTGCAAGCTCCACCTCCTGGGGTCACGCCATTCTCCTGCCTCAGCCTCCCGAGCAGCTGGGACTACAGGCACCCGTCACCACACCTGGCTAATTTTTTTGTATTTTTAATACAGACGGGGTTTCACTGTGTTAGCCAGGATGGGCTCGATCTCCTGACCTCGTGATCCACCCACCTTGGCTTCCCGACGTGCTGGGATTACAGGCGTGAGCCACCGTGCCCAGCCAAGTCCTTTCTTTTCTTTTCTTTTTTTTTTAGAGATGGAGTCATGCTCTGTCGCCCAGGCTGGAATGCAGTGGCGCAATCTCGGCTCATTGCAACCTCCACCTCCTGGGTTCGAGCCATTCTCCTGCCTCAGCCTCCCGAGTAGCTGGGACTGCAGGCGGATGCCACCATGCCTGGCTAATTTCTTTTGTATTTTAGTAGAGACGGGAGTTTCACCATGTTGCCCAAACTGGTCTCAAACTCCTCAGCTCAGGCAATCCGCCCACCTTGGTGGATTACAGGCTTCAGCCACTGCGCCCAGCCTCAATACATCTTTTCTTTTCTTTCTTTCTTTCTTTTTTTTTTTTTTTTTCTGAGACAGAGTCTCGCTCTGTCGCCAGGCTGGAGTGCAGTGGCAGAATCTCAGCTCACTGCAAGCTCCGCCTCCCGGGTTCAAGTGATTCTCCTGCCTCAGCCTCCCAAGTAGCTGGGACTACAGGCGCCCGCCACCACGCCCAGCTAATTTTTTTGCATTTTTTTAGTAGAGACAGGGTTTCACCATGTTGGCCAGGATGGTCTCAATCTCTTGACTTCATGATCCACCCACCTCGGCCTCCCAAAGTGCTGGGATTACAGGCGTGAGCCACCACGCCCGGCCTCTATAAGTCTTTTCTAAGCACAACATAGGTTGATGCCAGCAGATACGGGATGAACTAATGAGTGACAGAGGCAATCTGCTGTAAGAAATTCTAACAGCCAGGAAGGCTTCAAGTTGGGGTGATACTGGAGCAGGGTCTGGAAGGAGGAAAGTTGGGGAAAATGCTGGGATCCCACAGCAATGTGAAGAGGGCCCCAGTGGGAGGTCGCCAGCCCATGGGACGCAGCCCGTAGGACCTTAATGCTCCCCAGCATATGAGTAGTGCATGTTCTTCCTCTCTTTGCCATGCCTGTCAGGAAGCTCAGAGCTCAGCTTGGTGCAAAGGTAGCAACTGTTGTTTGCCAGAGGTTTTGTAGTTATCTCTGTTTTGTCGCCCAAAATCTTTGACCTTTACATTGTCTATGTCTCTTATGGAAAACTTGAAATTGATGGAGTAAAATTAATAATAATAATAAAGACCTGATTCTCAGTAAGTGATGGATTCAGGACGTAAATGCAGCTCAGAGTCCAAGAGTTGTAGACTGACACCAGGCTTGTATTAGCTATCACTGCAATAATGCCACATAACAAACCACCCCAAAACTCAGTGGTTTAGAACAATCATTTAATTCCCCCTGATGCATCTGCAGGTTAGCTGAAGGTCAGTTGGTCTTGGCTGGGTGGCTCTGCCTCAGGCTAGGCTGGGATACAGGCTCTAGGCTGGGCTCTGGCTGTTCCATGTGTCTCTTGGCGGGGCGAGGCTGAAGGGCCGGCAGCCATTCAGGGGGACAATCTTCTCACAGCAGAAGCCAAGAAGACAGCTCCACTGTGGAAGTGCACCTCAAGCCTTTGGTCTTGTTATAGCCACTGCTATCCCATTGACCAAAGCAAGTTACATGGCTGAGCCCAGAGTCAAGAGACAGGGAGTGCACTCTGCCCACCTAGAGGCCGTGGCCAGCGTGAGGGGCCAATGATCAATGCCACATGCCATTTGCATCATCCAGTCTGGTCTCCACCCCTATTTCTCAGATGGGTACCCCAGGTGGATCAGTGTGGGACCAGGCAGGGTGCCCTGACTTCCCATTCCCTTTTCACAGCCCCGAGCAGGATCTCATATCACCTGGCTGATCCTCCTGGGGTGGGACCAATTCTGGAAACTGCAGTTGCAGGTGGAAGAACCTGGACTTCGGAATCACAAAGACCTGAGTTCTCTGCTCCCCAAGGCCAGCAGTGAGTCCCTGAGCAAGTCCCACCTACAAAGGAGGAAACTGAGGCTCAGAGGGGTTTGGCGACACATAGTAAGTGCTCCATCAAAAGTGGCCATTCAGGCTGGGCATGGTGGGTCATGCCTATAATTCCGGCACTTTGGGAGGCCGAGGTGGGTGGATCACTTGAGCTTAGGAGTTCAAGACCATGGTAACATGGTGAAATCCCCCCTCTACAAAATAAAAAACTAGCCAGGCATGGTAGTGTGGACGTGTAGTCCCAGCTACTCAGGAGGCTGAAGTGGGAGGATCACTTGAGCCCAGGAGATCAAGGCTGCAATGAGCTATGACAGCACCACTGCCCTCAAGCCTGGGCGACAGAGTGAGACCCTGTCTCAAAAAACAAACAGCCAGGAGCCGTGGCTCAGGCCTGTAATCCTAGCACTTTGGGAGGCTGAAGTGGGTGGATCACTCAAGGTCAGGAGTTTGAAACCAGCCTGGCCAACATGGTGAAACCCTGTCTCTACTAAAAAAAATACAAAAAAATTAGCTGGGCGTGGCTTCCGTGGGTTCCCTATCCCATGGAGAACCCACGGGACCAAGCAGGCAACTGCTTTCGTGTATTGCTTCATTGAATCCTCACAACCACCTTGCCTTATAAAAGAGGTGTTGCTATTATCCCCGTTCCACAGAAGGGGAAACTGAGGCACAAAGCAGAAAGGTCACGTGCCTGGAATCACACACCAGAAAGTGGCACAGCTGGGATTTTAACCCATGCCTGCCATGCTAGGACCAGCATCCTAGCAGCCAGGCACCATCCCCCAGCCCAGGCTGACTGCCCGTGCCCAGCTGGACTCCAGGGCTTGGCAGTCCCCAGGATGAAAAGAGGCCCCTCCCTGGGCCCTTCAAGTCACTCTGCCTGGGGGTGACACATGCAGCCACATAGGTCTCCGTGAGTTGCGGTAAGGTCTTGGGTCTCTTTATCCCTGGCATGCGGCGGGGGCACCAAAGTGACCTCAGGGATGCGGAAGTACAGGAGCCAGATTGCCAGCTGTGTGGCTCTGGCAAGTCACCTCCCCTCCCTGAGTCTGTTTCCTCAACTATAAAAAGGGATCAGTAAATGTCTCTTACTCATGGGATTGTGGGGGATTAAATTATTTGATAAATAAATGAATCATTTAGGAAAGTTCCTGGAATATAGAAACACAAGAAGAGGCAGAGGAGGAGGGGGGACAATATTACTATTGATAATATTATCCTGGGAAGCTTTTGCTGCCAGAAGCAGGAGGGACAATTTGCTGGGAAGGAAGACCCTAGGAACCAGTCCTTCCTGTGGACCTGGGACCCAGCACATTGCAGGTAGTTGGAAGGGGCCTCAGACCATCTCTGGAAACTCCATTCTATAGATGATGAGACTGAGGCCTGGGAGAGGCAGCCCCTGGGTCCAGGCTGCTCAGCAGAGCAGGCAGGCTGCCTGGCCCCACCTGGCCCCCTGCCCTCCTTCCATCCAGTCAGTCCCCATCCACCAGTCCCAATCCACCCAGTATCCATCTACCCAGTTCCCATCCACCCAGTCCCCATCCACCAATCCCCATCCACCCAGTCCCCATCCACAAATCCCCATCCACCCAGTCCCCATCTACCAATCCCCATCCACCCAGTCCCCACCCACCCAGTCCCCATCTACCCAGTCCCCATCCACCCAGTCCCCATCCACCAATCCCCATCCACCCAGTCCCCATCCACCCAGTCCCCATCCACCAATCCCCATCCACCCAGTCCCCATCCACCCAGTCCCCATCCACCAATCCCCATCCACCAATCCCCACCCACCCAGTCCCCATCCACCCAGTACCCATCCACTCAGTCCCCATCCACCCAGTATCCATCTACCCAGTCCCCATCCACTCAGTCCCCATCCACCCACTATCCATCCACCCACTCCCCATCCACCCAGTCCCCATCCACTCAGTACCCATTCACCCAGTCCCCATCCACCCGTTTCCCATGCACCCTCACCCAACCCTGGTCTCCAGTCTCTCAGATTGAGGTCACCTCAGCTTCTCTGCACTGCAGTGGCCAGTGCAGGCAGTGCCCCCAGCCCCCCAGCTTGACCTCTGACCTTCCAGGACTCCAGGTTCCCACTCCAGCAGGTTAACAGTGCCAGTAATTCTGCTATCATTGCGCCTCCATGGGGTGCGGGGAGCAGGCTGTGTGGGCCCTTGGAAGCTCCCTAGGAAAGGATGAACCCCACAGTCCAGGGTCCTCTGCACAACGCTCAGAGCAGGATGGAGGAACATTGGGGGAAGAAGGTGGGCAGGCCCCAGTGTAGGAGACACCAACATCCCCCACCCATATCCTGTTCTGAGGCCAGGAAGAGGCCTGACCTACCCCTCCTCCTCCAGTGAGCCTTTCTTGGCTGACCAGGAGGCAGCTCTGTACAAGGGCTCCAGCCCAGGGCTGTGAGCAAGGGAGACCATGGGCCAGCCCCACCCCTTCTGGGTCTCTTGTTCCCTTCATAACTGGAGGACAGATGGCAGCAGCACTCAGGAAAGGCTCAATGCTGATGCACCCGGGAAGTGCTGTGCTGCACGGGCCCAGTGGCTGGACAGGACTGTGGGAGCCCACCCAGCCCCTTCCTCCCTGTCTTAGTGTGTTTGGTGTTGCTCTAACAGAATACCTGAGACTAGGGCATTTACTTCTTTGTTTGTTTTTTAGACAGGGTCTTGTTCTGTCACCCAGGCTGGAGTGCAGTGGCCCCTTCAGCTCACTGCAGCCTCCACTTCTTGTGCTCAAGTGATCCTTCCACCTTAGCCTCCAGAGTAGCTGGGACTACAAGTGTATGCCACCACACCTGGCTAATTTTTTAAATTTTTGTAGAGATCGCATCTCACTATGTTGCCCAGGCTGGTCTCGAACTTCCTGGCCTCAAGCAATCCTCTCACCTTGGCCTCCCAAAATGCTGGGATACCATGCCTGGGCATAATTAAATTTCGGCAGGAGCACCTCCTTTACGCCTCAATCTGTGCCTGAAGACTCACCAAGGCCAGCGCTGCACGACTCCAGGGGGCCATGCATGTGTCCTGGCCGACCATCCTCCCCTGACCAAGATGCATTCTGAAAAGATCCGGGGGCCGGCTCTGGGCCTTCACACATGCTGTTCTCTCCACCTGGAACACACTTCGCTTTCTCAAACGCCACCTCCCATTTATTTTTCAGCATACAGTTAAAAAATAAACTCCTGGGAAACCTGCCTTTATCCAGCTGGTAAAGTTCTCCTGTAGGTTCCCACAGCACCCGCTGCCTCAGTCTCCTCCCCATCCTGTCGCCCCACCGCCCCACCGCCCCACCGCCCCACTGCCCCACCACCCCACAACCCGCCGCTCTCTCTGCCTCCCCAGGCTCAGCCCTACTGGTGCCTCCTTGCGCCCGGACACGTGTAGACAGCGCCCTCTGCTGGCGACTCTCAGCTAGCCGCTCAGCCTCGCCCGCCTGGGTCCCAGCTCTGCCCCAGGCTCAGGTCCGGGGCCCTGGAGGTCCAAATGAGGCCAGAATCCCGGGAAGAGTCACCCGGAGAGGAGCCTCGGTCTCGGAGCCACAGACCCTGCTCAAATCCCTCTCCTGCCTTCTAATTTTCATGTGGCCTCGAGCAAATCATCTTCCTTCCTTGAGATTCAGTTTCCCCTTCCGCAAAATGTATCCTCCACAACTCTTCCCTGAGTACTTACCGTGTGCTAGATACTGAGTTGGGCACCGGCGATACCGCAGGGACAACGATGAGCAAAGTCACTGCCTCAGGAAGCTGACATAGAGGGGACGGGCAATAAACAATAAACACAACGCGGAATGTCAGTTGTCTATCTAGCACAGGGTGAGTGCTTAAAGAAGTGAAGCCGGACCGGGCGCGGTGGCTCACGCCTGTAATCCCAGCACTTTGGGAGGTCGAGGCGGGCGGATCACCTGAGGTCAGGAGTTTGAGACCAGCCTGACCAACACTGAGAAACCCCGTCTCTACCAAAAATAAAAAATGAGTCAGGTATGGTGGGGCATGTCTGCAATCCCAGCTACTCGGGAGGCTGAGGCAGGAGAGTCACTTGCACCTGGGAGGCAGAGGTTGCAGTGAGCTGAGATCACACCATTGCACTCCAGCCTGGGCAACAAGAGCAAAACTCAGTCTAAAAAAAAAAAAAAGCCGGGCGTGGTGGCTCACGTCTGTCATCCCAGCACTTTGGGAGGCTGAGGCGGGCAGATCACCTGAGGTCAGGAGTTGGAGACCAGCCAGGCCAACACGGTGAAACCCTGTCTCTACTAAAAATACAGAAATTAGCCGGGCATGGTGGTGGGCGCCTGTAGTCCCAGCTACTTGGAAGGCTGAGGCAGGAGAATCGCTTGAACCTGAGAGGCAGAGGTTGCAGTGAGTCGAGATCGGGCCACTGCACTCCAGCCTGGGCGACAGAGCAAGACTTCTCTCAAAAAAAAAAAAAAAAAAAAAAAAAAGGGAAGTGGAGCTGGAGGGGCCAGTGTGTATCGGAGGATGCGAGGGGAGGCCTCATGGGGAGGTGGGAACATCGATGCCCCCGCAGCACGCTGTCATAGCCATGCAAATGGCACGAACGCCCAGCATCCTCCCTCATGTGCTCTCCTTGGGCCACCTCCCAGCTCTCCATCCTACTTACTGTGTTTATCGTCTGCCTGCCCAGGAGAAAGTCGGCCTGTAAGTGCGGGGATTTTTGTCTGTCTACTTCCATGGGTAGCCCCAGCACTGAGAACAGTGCCTTGCACACAGTAGGTGCCCATTGGGTGCTGGTTTATCGATTTTTGCGCTAACCATGGGGCAGGACGGTGCCTCTCACTCAGCCGCCCACTCCTCATGGTGCCTCTCACTCAGCCGCCTGCTCCTCTATCAACTCTTCCAGAGCCAGCACTTGTGATCAAATAGGGGACAGCTGGGAGGCCATAGGAACCTGGAGGAGCCTGACGGACTCTGGGGTGAGTGCTGAGAGGCTTCCTGGAGGAGGCAGTGCATGCTGATGTGAGACTTGAAAAGTGGGAATGACAAGGAGGAAGGGTGTTCAAGGCAGAAGTAACAGCAATGAAAGCTGTGAGGCATGGAGATTCTTCAAGTGATTCAAGGTAGCTGGAGAAGAGAGGGCAGGTGGCAGGGATGACCAGGTCAGAGAAAGACTTGAGGACCAGGCCAAGGGGCTTGGATTTCATTCTGGGGGTTGGAGAGGCACTGTGGCCTAATATGTGAACACATGGGCCCTGAGTGGTGTCCACCTGCTACTCAGGAGGCTGAGGTGAGAGGATCACTTGAGCCCAGGAGTTCGAGGTTGAAGTGAGCCATGATTGTACCACTGCACTCCAGCCTGGGTAGCAGAGTGACACCCTGTCTTAAAAATAAAATGAATAGGCCAGGTGCGGTGGCTCACGCCTGTAATCCCAGCACTTTGGGAGGCCAAGGCGGGCGGATCACAAGGTCAGGAGATCGAGACCATCCTGGCTAACACAGTGAAATCCCATCTCTACTAAAAATACAAAAAAATTAGCTGGGCATGGTGGCGGGCGCCTGTAGTCCCAGCTACTCGGGAGGCTGAGGCAGGAGAATGGCGTGAACCTGGGAGGCGGAGCTTGCAGTGAGCCGAGATTGCACCGCTGCACTCCAGCCTGGGCGACTAAGCAAGACTCCATCTCAAATAAATAAATAAATAAATAAGTACATTAATTGACGTTTCAAAATTCATTCTATTTTTCTTTTTAATAACACTTTATCTATTTATAGAACAATTTTACATTTTATTAAGCCCCACTTTCTAGGTGTGAATTCTGCTGCTGTTGCTTGCTGGCAATGAGATGTTAAGTTGCTTAGGCTCTCTATGCCTTGGTTTCCCTGTGTGGAAAATGGACTTAAAGATATTTCAGACGGTTGTTGGTAAGAAGTGAGTTAGTACATCTGAAACATGTATCATATCCAGTAGGGGCTTAATTAATGTTAGCTGTGATTATTACATTCCTGTTTATTTTCCTCTACAGTAAGAGGCAATGCGAGTGAATAACTGGAATAACGGCCATCATTAAACTTAGCGTTTACCCGGCTCTTCCTGTCTTGGTTTGAGTTCTCAAATAGGCCGGGCGCGGTGGCTCACGCCTGTAATCCCAGTACTTTGGAAGGCCGAAGCGGATGGATCATGAGGTCAGGAGATCCAGACCGTCCTGGCCAACATAGTGAAAACCTATTTCTACTAAAAAATACAAAAAATTAGCCAGGCGTGGTGGCACACGCCTGTAGTCCCAACTACTCGGGAGGCTGAGGCAGGAGAATTGCTTGAACCCAGGGGGTGGAGGTTGCAGTGAGTCAAGATTGCACCACTACACTCCAGCCTGGGCGACAGGACGAGACTCCGTCTCAAAAAAAAGACCCTGAGACAAGAATTTCGGTACTGGGAGTTTCTTTGGGAGGTAACCCTAGGAGGCACCAGCAGGCATGTGGAGAAGTGAGATCAAGGGGTGAAAGCCAAGAAGGAGCAGGTCACTGCTGCAGGCAGCAGAGGCTCAGTGCTCTTGGGCGAGCACAGCTCGGAAGTGTCCCAACAAGGGCTGGAGAGGGTGGCACTTGTCCTCACTGTTCTTTTGCCCTTCGCCCGGGCTGAGCATTCTCTTGAAGCCAGAGAAAGTCCGCAGGGTTGTTGAATATATCAAATAAAAATACAGGACTCCCAGTTAAATTAGAAAACAATGAATGAATTTTTTTTTTTTTTTTTTTTTGGTATGAGAATGTCCCACGTTATTTGGGGCATACTTACACTAAATAATTTGTCAGGCCAGGCACAGTGGCTCACGCCTGTTATCCTAGCACTTTGGGAGGCTGAGATGGGCAGATCACAAGGTCAGGGGTTCGAGACCAGCCTGGCCAATATGGTGAAACCCCGTCTCTACTAAAAGTATAAAAATTAGCCAGGAGTGGTGGCGCTTGCCTGTAGTCCCAGCTACTTGGGAGGCTCAGGCAGGAGACTTGCTTGAGCCCGGGAGGCGGAGGTAGCAGTGAGCCAAGATCGTGCCACTGCACTCCAGCCAGGGTGACAGAGCCAGACTCCGTCTCAAAAAAATAAAAATAAAAATAATAGTGATAATAATTTTTCACTATTTTTTCAAAACTCAATTTTAACTGGGAATCCTGTTTTTGTTTCTTTGTTTGTTTTGAGACAGAGTCTCGCTGTGTCGCCCAGGCTGGAGTGCAGTGGCGCGATCTCAGTTCACTGAAAGCTCTACCTCCCGGGTTCACACCATTTTTCTGCTTCAGCCTCCCGAGTAGCTGGGACTACAGGCGCCCGCCACCACGCCCGGCTAATTTTTTGTATTTTTAGTAGAGATGGGGTTTCACCGTGTTAGCCAGGATGGTCTCGATCTCCTGACCTCGTGATCCGCCCACCTCGGCCTCCCAAAGTGCTGGGATTACAGGCGTGAGCCACTGCGCCCGGTCATCCTGTGTTTTCGTGATGTGATGCCATAGGCATGGATAGGAAGTATGTGGCTGGCAGTTGCTGCTGGCTGCCAGCTAGAAGCTTAGCTGGAGCTGTTAGCCCAGGGCCTCAGTTCTCCGCATGGGTCTTTCTGTGTTGCTTCTTGGGCTTCCTCACAACGTGGTGGCTCATTTCCAGAAGGAGCATCCCAAATGATAACAATCAGAAGCTGCTAGTCCTCTTGAGGTCTTAACTTGGAAGTCCCAGAACATCGCTTCTGGTGCATTCTAGTGGGGGTGCATTCTAGGGGTGAAAACAGCCACAAGGCCAGGCCAGATGCAAGGGGAGGGGAAATAGGCTTCACCTTTGGATGTGGGGGTGGCGGAGGGCACAGGGCAGGGAGAAGTTCTTGGTGGCCGCCTCAGTAGACAATCAACTACAGTGGGAAGGCAATTTCCTTCTTCATTCACTTTCAGTCTGCTGATTATGCCCAGGTAAAATCTCTGCACAGTGTTAGGGCTTTACGTATTTTGCACACAGTTTTTCCAATTATGGGGTGTGACTGCTTAGTGAGCTATAAAGTTAGTATACTGAATCCAAATTAGTTTTTTTAAAACTTCTTTTTAAGGCCGGGTGCGGTGGCTCACGCCTGTAATCCCAGCACTTTGGGAGGCCGAGGCGGGCGGATCACGAGGTCAGGAGATCAAGACCATCCTGGCTAACACGGTGAAACCCCGTCGCTACTAAAAACACAAAAAATTAGTGGGGCGTGGTCGTGGGCGCCTGTAGTCCCAGCTATTCGGGAGGCTGAGGCAGGAGAATGGCGTGAACCCGGGAGGCGGAGCTTGCAGTGACCCAAGATCGCGCCACTGCACTCCAGCCTGAGCGACAGAGCGAAACTCCGTCTCAAAAAAAAAAAAAAAAAAAAACAAAAAACAAAATACACGACTTCTTTTTAATTTGCAAATTAAATCTGAACATGCACAAAAGTGGAAGGTATGAGCCCTCACTACCGCCACTCAGCCTCGACCCCCACCTGTTTTTATACTTCTTGCCTCTACCCACCTTTGAGTGCTTTAAAAAATAAAACGAAATAGATGGAATAACATACGATAGAAAATATCAGAAAAGGAAGAATGTTACTTTGTGAAAAATTGTGTCTACTGAGTTGGAATATGAAACATGTTTGCAAAACTGTCCTCACACTTTGCTAAAACTCGTTTTTGAACAGAGCACTCATCCTACACAGCCTCTGTGGGGAAGCATCCAACACCATTTAATAACATTGTTTTGTTTTTATCCTATTCACTTTCATTGTTATTGCCTATGAAAGTGACACAAATTTTCCATTTAAGAGTAGCAATAGATAAAGTCCCCCTTTGAGTACATGTATTGACCAGGTGTGGTGGCTCACGCCTGTAATCCCAGGAATTTTGGGAGGCTGAGGCAGGAGGATGGCTTGAGCCCAAAAGTTTAAGACCAGCCTCCGCAACATAGCAAGACCTCGTCTCTGCAAAAAATACATCAATTAGCTGGGAGTGGTGGCACAAGCCTGTAGTCCCAGCTACTTGGGAGGCTGAGGTGGGAGGATTGCTTGAGCCCAGGAGGGGGAGGTTGCAATGAGCCGAGATTGCGGCACTGCACTCCAGCCTGGGGACAGAGCAAGACCCTATCTCAACAAACAAACAAACAAACACGCCCCCCCCCCCATCTCTTTATAGAACAATTTTAAGTTTTATTAGGTAGTTATAGTTGAGAGAGGGTGTGGTGAGAACACGAGAGTGGCCTCAGCCCAGTCCCACCAGAGTCTGCGGAGCCGCTGTCTGTCCCTGCTCCTGGCCGGTCTGCGGCAATCCCGTCATTTCTGCCTCGGTCTCTGCGTCTATGGGGACCGGTGCGTGGGTGGGTCAGTCTCTCTCTTGCGTTCTGTGTCTGTGTGGCCCGGACGCTGAGGGGTGTGGAGTGGCCCTGCCACAGGCCGTCCTTAGCACAGCCCCCGGGGGACCCCTCATTCACTTCCGGGACCGGAAGGCGACCTGTAGTTCCAGAAGCCGCCGCAAGAGGGCAGAGGCGGCCATAGGATGGGGCGCGGCCCGCTGGGGGCTGCCTTGAGATGCGGCTAAGAAACCCGGCAGCCCTGGGAGGAACCACACTCCCAGCGCCCCACATGTGGGTTCGAACCTGGGCTCCTCCATTCCTAGGTTAAGGCTCTTAATCCTGCCACCAGTAAAATGGGTTACTGTAAGCTTTAAATAATGTGAATATAAGGTACCTAGTTTGTGAACCTGTTTTTCCCGTTTGCTTGGGGAACTGTGGACCTCCCACAGGGGCTGGGACCTTTTAATAAGTCATACAATTTAAGGAATTTTTATTTCCCTAGTGTCTGGTACTGAAAGCAGTGAGCAAGGGAATGACATGATTAGAAAATGAAATAGAAGGAAAAGGAGGAGGGGGAGTGGAAGAGGAGGGGGAAGAGGAAAAAGAATATGATAAAATGCACTTAAAAAAAAATCCAGGGGCCAGACATGGTGGCTCACACCTGTAATTCCAGCACTTCGGGATGCTGAAGTGGAAGGGATTACTTGAAGCCAGGAGATCAAGACCAGCCTGGGCAACACAATGAAATCCTGTCTCTACAATAAATAAATAAGTAAATAAATAAATAAGTCAGGTATGGTGGCGAGCACCTCTGGTCTCAGCTACTTGGGAGGCTGAGGTGGGAGGTTGACTTGAGCCCAGGAGTTTGAGGCTGCAGTGAGCAGTGATCATGCCACTGCACTCCAGCCTGGATGACAGAGCAAGACTCTTATCTCTGAAAAGATAAACAAACAAACAAACAAACAAACAATCTATTATCCTACCCCTCATCAATAACCACATTGGGTTTTTGGGTTTTCATACGTGAATTTGTGGTCTTTTTCTCACAACAAACTCATACATCCAAATATAAATTTATGAATATTTGCTCACAAACTCAAAGGTGCAAGAAATGTCACACTACTTCATTAAATTAAAAAAAAATTTTAAGTACTTGTTTTATAAACATGCTCAACAGAAAAAATCCAAGCCACTTAGAAAGTATACAGAAAAAAAGCAATAAATCTCCCCCATCTGTGGGGTTTTATATTTCATGAACATCATCATAGAATTCTCTCCACACAGCCTCAATCTATCTATATAAGATGAATGAATGGATGGACAGGCAAGTTTTTTGTTTTCTTGAGACAGGGTCTGGCTTTGTTATCCAGGCTGGGGGGCAGTGGTATGATCTTGGCTCACTGCAACCTCCACCTCCTGGGCTCAAGCCATTTTCCCGCCTCAGCCTCCCAAGTAGCTGGGACTACAGATGCGTGCCACCATGCCTGGCTAATTGTTTTGTATTTTTTGTAGAGACGGGGTTTCACCCTGTTGCCCAAGCTGGTCTTGAACTACTGAGCACAAGAGATCCTCCTAACTTGGCCTCCCAAAGTGCTGGGATTATAGGCGTGAACCACCACGTCCAGCTGACAGGTAAGATTTTTTAAGACTGGGATCATAACCCATGCTATTCTGTTTGTGTGTGAACAGCCAGTGACTTGTCATTATGTACGTATGCCTGTGTGTTTTAAGTGTTTTAAAAAATTAATTAGTAGAGGGCAGGCACAGTGGCTCATGCCTGTAATCCCAGCACTTTGGGAGGCCGAGGTGGACAGATCACCTGAAATCAGGAGTTCAAGACTAACCTGGCCAACACGGTGAAACCCCATCTCTACTAAAAATACAAAAATTAGCCAGGCATGGTGATGCATGTCTGTAATCCCAGCTACTTGGGAGGCTGAGGCAGGAGAATCTCTTGATTCAGTGAGACAAGATCGCACCACTGCACTCCAGCTGGGACACAGAGCAAGACTCCGTCTTTAAAAAAAAAAAAAAAAAGAATTAATTAGTAGACTTTTCTGGGAGGAGCGGTTATAGGTTTACAGAAGAATTGAGCACAAAGAACAGAATCCCCATACATCCTCTCTCTCAGACCCCTACACTCATTTCCCCGTTAGTAACATTTTGCATTATAGCGTGATACTTCTGTTACAACTGATGTACCAATATGCATATGGAATTATTAAATAAGGTCCATAGCTCACATTACAGCTCATTCCTGGTGTTGTACATTCTGTGGGTTTGGACAAATGTGTAATGCCGTATCCACCATTGTCATGTCATACAGAGTAGTTTTGTGGCCCTGAAAGTCCCCTGTGCTCTGCCTGTCCATCCCTCCCTCCCCCAACCCCTGCTAACCACTGAGCCTTTTACTGTCTCCATAGTTTTGCTTTTCCAGAAGGTCATGTGTATGGAATCGTACAGTATATGGCCTTTTCACATTGGCTTCTTTTTCTTAGTAATATGCGTTTAAGGTTCTTGAATGTTTTTTCATGGCTTGATAGCTCATTTGTTTTTAGCACTGAATAATATCTAATTCTCTGGATGTACCACAGTTTATTTATCCATTCACCTATGTAGGACTTTTTTTTTTTTTTTTTTGAGGTGGAGTCTCACTCTGTCTCCCAGGCTGCAGTGCAGTAGGGTGACCTCAGCTCACTGCAACCTCTGCCTCCCAGGTTCAAGCGATTCTCCTACCTCAGCCTCCTGAGTAGCTGTGATTACAGGCGTGTGCCACCACACCCAGCTAATTTTTGTTGTTGTTGTTGTTGTTGTTTTCTTTCTTTTTTTTTTTTTTTGAGATGGAGTTTCGCTCTGTCGCCCAGGCTGGAGTGCAGTGGCGCGATCTCGGCTCACTGCAAGCTCTGCCTCCCGGGTTCACACCATTCTCCTGCCTCAGCCTCCTGAGTAGCTGGGACTACAGGCACCCGCCACCACGCACGGCTTATTTTTTGTATTTTTTTTTTTTTTTTTTTTTTTTTAGTAGAGACGGCGTTTCACCATGTTAGCCGGGATGATCTCGATCTCCTGACCTCGTGATCTGCCCGCCTCAGCCTCCCAAAGTGCTGGGATTGCAGGCGGGAGCCACTGCGCCCAGTGTAATTTTTGTATTTTTAGTAGAGATGGGGTTTTGCCATGTTGGCCAGGCTGGTCTTGAGCTCCTGATCTCAGGAGATCCACCTGCCTTGGCCTCTCAAAGTGAAGACATATTTTTTATTTTATTTTATTTTATTTTATTTTATTTTATTAGAGACAGGGGTCTCCCTCTGTTGCCCAGGCAGCTCCTAAACCCCTGATCTCAAGTGACTGTCTGCCTCAGCTGCCCAAGTAGCAGGGATTACAGTCACAAGCCACCGCCCCCGGCTCTATTTAGGAACATCTTAGTTCCAAGTTTTGGCAATTATGGGTAAAGCTGCTATAAACATATGTGTGCAGGCTTGTGCGGACATACGTTTTCAAATCATTTGGGTAGACACCAAGAGCTGCATTCCAGCCTGGGCAACAAGAGCGAAACTCCGTCTCAAAAAAAAAAAAAAAAAAAAAAAAACAAAACAGAAATGTAGGCCGGGCATGGCGGCTTGCACCTATAATCCCAGAACTTTGGGAGGCCAAGGCAGGCAGATCACTTGAGCTCAGGAGTTCAAGACCAGTCTGGCCAACATGGTGAAACCCTGTCTCTACTAAAAATACAAAAATTAGCCAGGCGCGGTGGCGCATGCCTGTAATCCCAGCTACTCAGGAGGCTGAGGCATGAGAATGACTTGAACCCAGGAGGCAGAGGTTGCAGTGAGCCCAGATCGTGCCACTGCACTCCAGCCTGGGTGATGAAGTGAAACTCTGTCAAAACAGAAATTATTCTCTCGCAGTTCTGGAGGCTCAAAGTCAGGAATCAAACTGTTGAAGCCTCGAAGGGGGATCCTTCCTTGACTCCTCCGGCGTCTGGAGGCTACTGGCCATCCTGGTGTTACTCAAACACCAGGGGTTCCATCTAGGGCCTGCCACTCACCTCACAGAAAGCCAATCAGTGAGACAACGATTCTTGCCAAGGAAGAAGGCTTTAATCAGGTGCTGCAGCTGAGGGGATGGGAGGGCTTCATCCCAGGAATGCAGGGGGTGGTTCAACATAAGAAAATCCGTTAACGTAATGTACCGCATTAGTAGAACAAAGGGAAAAAAACAGTCATTCCAGCTGACACAGAAAAAGCATCTAAGAAATTCTAACATTTCATCATTAAAACATAGAGAAAACTATGAAACGAGGGGATCTGCCTCAACATTATAAAAGGTATTTGTGAAAAAACCACAGTTACCATCATACTTAGTGGTGAAAGACTAAAAGCTTTCCCCCTAAGTTCAGGAACAAGACACAGAGGTTCACCTTTACCACTGCTACTCAATGTTTTTTTTTTTTGTTTTGTTGGTTTTGTTGTGTTTTCGAGAAGGAGTCTTGCTCTGTCGCCCAGGCTGGAATGCAGTGGCGTGATCTCGGCTCACTGCAGCCTCTGCCCCCGGGGTTCAAGCAATTCTCCTGCCTCAGCCTCCCCAGTAGCTGGGACTACAGGTGCGCACTGCCACGCCTGGCTAATTTTTGTATTCTTAGTAGAGACAGGGTTTCACCATGTTGGCCAGGATGCTCTTGAGCTCCTGACCTTGTTATCTGCCTGCCTCGGCCTCCCAAAATGCTGGAATTACAGATGTGAGCCACCGCGCCTGGCCTAGTCAACATTTTGCTAGAAGTTGTAGCCAGAGCCTTTAGGTAAGAAAAGGCACCAAATTGAGAAATAAGAAATAAAACCATCGCTTTAAATAGGGAAAATCCCAAAGAATACACGCACAATAATTACTAGAGCTAATAAGCAAATGCAGCAAAGTTTCAGGACACAAGATCAACTCACAAAAACCAGTTGTGTGGTTTCCTGTTTGTTTTTTTGAGGAGTTATGCTCTTATCGCCCAGGCCGGAGTGCAATGGCGTGATCTTGGCTCACTGCAGCCTCTGCCTCCCGGGTTCAAGCAATTCTCCTGCCTCAGCCTCCCCAGTAGCTGGGATTACAGGCGCAGGCCACCACGCCCGGCCAGTTTTTGTATTTTTAGTAGAGACGAGGTTTCACCACGTTGGCCAGGATGGTCTTGATCTCCTGACCTGGTGATCCACCCGCCTCGGCCTCCCAAAGTGCTAGGATGACAGGCGTGAGCCACCGTGCCCGGTCCAGTTGTGTTTTTATGCACTGGCAAGGAACAATTCAAAAATGTAATTAAGAAAACCGCTGGGCGTGGTGGCTCACGCCTGTAGTCCCAGCACTTTGAGCGGCCGAGGCGGGTGGATCCCTTGATCCCAGGAGTTCAAGACCATCCTGGGCAATGTGGTGAAACCCCCTCCCTACAAAAAATACAAAAAATTAGCGGAGCGTGATGGCATGTGCCTACGATCCCAGCTACTCAGGAGGCTGACGTGGGAGGATCACCCGAGCCCTGGGGGTCAAGGCTGCAGTGAGCTGTCACATCATGCATCATTGCACTCCAGCCTGAAAAAGGAGTGAAATTCTGCAACATGTTACAACGTGAATGAACCTTGAAAACGTCATTCTAAGTGAAATAAGCCAGATACAAAAGGACAATATTGCATGTTTCCACTTATAGAGATACCTACAAGAATCAAATTCATAGAGACGGAAAGTAGAATAGTGGTTAAAGGGGTCTGGGCGGAGGGAGGAAAGGGAAGTTTGTTTTACGGGTAGAGTTTCAGTTTGGGATGTCGAAAAAGTTCTGGAGATAAATAATGGTGATGGTTACATGCCAATGGCTACACGAATGTACTTAATGCCACTGAATTGTATATGTGAAAAATGGTTAAAATGGTAAATTTTGTATCTATTTAATACCATCCCCCCTAAAAAAAAAATTGTTTTTAAGAGTCAAGATCTCACTCTGTCTCCCAGGCTGGGGTGCAGTGGGGTAACTGATCAGAGCTCACTGCAGCTTTGAACTCAGCCAGCTTCCCTGACTCAAACGATCATCCCGCTTCAGCCTCCCGAGTAGCTGGGACTACAGACGGTGCCATCACGCCCAACTCATTGTTGATTCCCGCCCCCCCGCCCC
This sequence comes from Homo sapiens, assembly GCF_000001405.40. NCBI lineage: Eukaryota > Metazoa > Chordata > Mammalia > Primates > Hominidae > Homo > Homo sapiens. Next base: position 19,064,561 of record NC_000017.11, on the reverse strand, counting down.
CCCCCCCTTGGTAGAGACGGGATTCCGCTATATTGCCTGGGCTGGTGTCGAACTCATAGAACAAAGGATCCTCCCTCCTGGGCCTGGGCGTGGGCTCGCAAAACGCTGGGATTCCCGGATTACAGGCGGGCGCACCACACCAGGAGCAAACACTTCCGGTTTTAAAAATTCAGTTTGTGATTGGCTGTCATTCAGTATTATGCTAATTAAGCATGCCCGGTTTTAAACCTCTTAAAACAATTTTTAAAATTACCTTTCCACCTAAAACGTTAAAATTTGTCAAGTGATAATATTCGACAAGCTGTTATTGCCAAACTATTTTCCTATTTGTTTCCTAATGGCATCGGAACTAGCGAAAGTTTCTCGCCATCAGTTAAAAGTTTGCGGCAGATGTAGACCTAGCAGAGGTGTGCGAGGAGGCCATTAAGACTATACTTTCAGGGATCATTTCTATAGTGTGTTACTAGAGAAGTTTCTCTGAACGTGTAGAGCACCGAAAACCCCGAGGAAGAGAGGTAGCGTTTTCTCCTGAGCGTGAAGCCGGCTTTCTGGCGTTGCTTGGCTGCAACTGCCGTCAGCCATTGATGATCGTTCTTCTCTCCGTATTGGGGAGTGAGAGGGAGAGAACGCGGTCTGAGTGGTTTTTCCTTCTTGATGGCTCAATGACAGAGACTAGCTCGTAAACTCCGGGGCGTTTCTGGGCTGTTCGCTCCTGCTTGGCAGTGTAGCGAGAAAGGTTTTCGCCTCCTGTTTCAGCGGTGACGGCTCTTGGGTTTTCTCGGGGTGGCTTTTTAATTTTAGTCTTGGCGCGAGGCGGGGGATGCTGTGTGGCACCTCCTATTGTCTCTTTTTGCGTTTTCTCCCATTCTCGCTCCCTCTTTTGTCGCCGTTTCCCGCCCGCCACTCCCACCCCCAGACGGGGTCTCCGGGTCTCTTGTTCTGTCTGCCGCCCCGGCTGGAGTGCAGTGGCGCGATCTCGGCTCCTAGCAACATCTGCCTCCCGGGCTCAAGCGAGTCTCCCGCCTAAGCCCTCCCGAGTAGCCGGGGCTTAAAGGCGCACACGCCACTCCAGGCTTTTTTTTTTTTTTTTTTTGGCAGAAACGGGGTGTCAGCATGTTAGCCAGGCTGGTCTCCAACGCGTGATCTCAGGTGATCCGCCGGCCTCGGCCTCCCGAAGTTCTGGGATTACAGGCGTGAGCCACTGCACCCGGCCCTTCTATTTTTTTAAATAGCGACGGGGTTTCACCATGTTGGCCAGGCTGCTCCTGAACACCTGAGTTCAGGTGATCCGCCCGCCTCGGCCTCCCGAAGTTCTGCGATTACAGGCGTGCCACCCGCACCCGGCCCTAAAAGTACTTTTTATAGAGATGGGGTCTCACTCTGTTGCCCAGACTGGTCTCAAACTGCTTATCTCAAGTGACTGACTGTCTGCCTCAGCTGCCCAAGTAGCAGGGATTACAGACACAAGCCACAGCCGCTGGCTCTATTCAGGAACATCTTAGTTCCAAGTTTTGGCAATTATGGATAAAGCTGCTATAAACAGGTGTGCAGGTTTTTGTGTGGACATTTTCAACTCATTTGGGTAGACACCAAGAGGCACGAGTTCTGATCATACCGAAAGTGTTTAGTTTCAGAAGAAGCTGCTTTTCTTGGGCTCCATAACAAAATACACAGACTTTGTGGCTTAAATAACACAAATTTATTTCTTACAGTTCTCAGTCGGGCGCGGTGGCTCACTCCTGTAATCCCAGAACTTCGGGAGGCCGAGGCGGGCGGATCACCTGAACTCAGGTGTTCAGGAGCAGCCTGGCCAACATGGTGAAACCCCGTCGCTATTTAAAAAAATAGAAGGGCCGGGTGCAGTGGCTCACGCCTGTAATCCCAGAACTTCGGGAGGCCGAGGCGGGCGGATCACCTGAGATCACGCGTTGGAGACCAGCCTGGCTAACATGCTGACACCCCGTTTCTGCCAAAAAAAAAAAAAAAAAAAAAAAAAAAAGCCTGGAGTGGCGTGTGCGCCTTTAAGCCCCGGCTACTCGGGAGGGCTTAGGCGGGAGACTCGCTTGAGCCCGGGAGGCAGATGTTGCTAGGAGCCGAGATCGCGCCACTGCACTCCAGCCGGGGCCGGCAGACAGAACAAGAGACCCGGAGACCCCGTCTGGGGGTGGGAGTGGCGGGCGGGAAACGGCGACAAAAGAGGGAGCGAGAATGGGAGAAAACGCAAAAAGAGACAATAGGAGGTGCCACACAGCATCCCCCGCCTCGCGCCAAGACTAAAATTAAAAAGCCACCCCGAGGAAAACCCAAAAGCCGTCACCGCTGAAACAGGAGGCGAAAACCTTTCTCGCGACATTGCCAAGCAGGAGCGAACAGCCCGGAAACGGCCCGGAGTTTACGAGCTAGTCTCTGTCATTGAGCCATCAAGAAGGAAAAACCACTCAGACCGCGTTCTCTCCCTCTCACTCCCCAATACGGAGAGAAGAACGATCATCAATGGCTGACGGCAGTTGCAGCCAAGCAACGCCAGAAAGCCGGCTTCACGCTCAGGAGAAAACGCTACCTCTCTTCCTCGGGGTTTTCGGTGCTCTACACGTTCAGAGAAACTTCTCTAGTAACACACTATAGAAATGATCCCTGAAAGTATAGTCTTAATGGCCTCCTCGCACACCTCTGCTAGGTCTACATCTGCCGCAAACTTTTAACTGATGGCGAGAAACTTTCGCTAGTTCCGATGCCATTAGGAAACAAATAGGAAAATAGTTTGGCAATAACAGCTTGTCGAATATTATCACTTGACAAATTTTAACGTTTTAGGTGGAAAGGTAATTTTAAAAATTGTTTTAAGAGGTTTAAAACCGGGCATGCTTAATTAGCATAATACTGAATGACAGCCAATCACAAACTGAATTTTTAAAACCGGAAGTGTTTGCTCCTGGTGTGGTGCGCCCGCCTGTAATCCGGGAATCCCAGCGTTTTGCGAGCCCACGCCCAGGCCCAGGAGGGAGGATCCTTTGTTCTATGAGTTCGACACCAGCCCAGGCAATATAGCGGAATCCCGTCTCTACCAAGGGGGCGGGAATCAACAATGAGCTGGGCGTGATGGCACCGTCTGTAGTCCCAGCTACTCGGGAGGCTGAAGCGGGATGATCGTTTGAGTCAGGGAAGCTGGCTGAGTTCAAAGCTGCAGTGAGCTCTGATCAGTTACCCCACTGCACCCCAGCCTGGGAGACAGAGTGAGATCTTGACTCTTAAAAACAATTTTTTTTTTAGGGGGGATGGTATTAAATAGATACAAAATTTACCATTTTAACCATTTTTCACATATACAATTCAGTGGCATTAAGTACATTCGTGTAGCCATTGGCATGTAACCATCACCATTATTTATCTCCAGAACTTTTTCGACATCCCAAACTGAAACTCTACCCGTAAAACAAACTTCCCTTTCCTCCCTCCGCCCAGACCCCTTTAACCACTATTCTACTTTCCGTCTCTATGAATTTGATTCTTGTAGGTATCTCTATAAGTGGAAACATGCAATATTGTCCTTTTGTATCTGGCTTATTTCACTTAGAATGACGTTTTCAAGGTTCATTCACGTTGTAACATGTTGCAGAATTTCACTCCTTTTTCAGGCTGGAGTGCAATGATGCATGATGTGACAGCTCACTGCAGCCTTGACCCCCAGGGCTCGGGTGATCCTCCCACGTCAGCCTCCTGAGTAGCTGGGATCGTAGGCACATGCCATCACGCTCCGCTAATTTTTTGTATTTTTTGTAGGGAGGGGGTTTCACCACATTGCCCAGGATGGTCTTGAACTCCTGGGATCAAGGGATCCACCCGCCTCGGCCGCTCAAAGTGCTGGGACTACAGGCGTGAGCCACCATGCCCAGCGGTTTTCTTAATTACATTTTTGAATTGTTCCTTGCCAGTGCATAAAAACACAACTGGACCGGGCACGGTGGCTCACGCCTGTCATCCTAGCACTTTGGGAGGCCGAGGCGGGTGGATCACCAGGTCAGGAGATCAAGACCATCCTGGCCAACGTGGTGAAACCTCGTCTCTACTAAAAATACAAAAACTGGCCGGGCGTGGTGGCCTGCGCCTGTAATCCCAGCTACTGGGGAGGCTGAGGCAGGAGAATTGCTTGAACCCGGGAGGCAGAGGCTGCAGTGAGCCAAGATCACGCCATTGCACTCCGGCCTGGGCGATAAGAGCATAACTCCTCAAAAAAACAAACAGGAAACCACACAACTGGTTTTTGTGAGTTGATCTTGTGTCCTGAAACTTTGCTGCATTTGCTTATTAGCTCTAGTAATTATTGTGCGTGTATTCTTTGGGATTTTCCCTATTTAAAGCGATGGTTTTATTTCTTATTTCTCAATTTGGTGCCTTTTCTTACCTAAAGGCTCTGGCTACAACTTCTAGCAAAATGTTGACTAGGCCAGGCGCGGTGGCTCACATCTGTAATTCCAGCATTTTGGGAGGCCGAGGCAGGCAGATAACAAGGTCAGGAGCTCAAGAGCATCCTGGCCAACATGGTGAAACCCTGTCTCTACTAAGAATACAAAAATTAGCCAGGCGTGGCAGTGCGCACCTGTAGTCCCAGCTACTGGGGAGGCTGAGGCAGGAGAATTGCTTGAACCCCGGGGGCAGAGGCTGCAGTGAGCCGAGATCACGCCACTGCATTCCAGCCTGGGCGACAGAGCAAGACTCCTTCTCGAAAACACAACAAAACCAACAAAACAAAAAAAAAAAACATTGAGTAGCAGTGGTAAAGGTGAACCTCTGTGTCTTGTTCCTGAACTTAGGGGGAAAGCTTTTAGTCTTTCACCACTAAGTATGATGGTAACTGTGGTTTTTTCACAAATACCTTTTATAATGTTGAGGCAGATCCCCTCGTTTCATAGTTTTCTCTATGTTTTAATGATGAAATGTTAGAATTTCTTAGATGCTTTTTCTGTGTCAGCTGGAATGACTGTTTTTTTCCCTTTGTTCTACTAATGCGGTACATTACGTTAACGGATTTTCTTATGTTGAACCACCCCCTGCATTCCTGGGATGAAGCCCTCCCATCCCCTCAGCTGCAGCACCTGATTAAAGCCTTCTTCCTTGGCAAGAATCGTTGTCTCACTGATTGGCTTTCTGTGAGGTGAGTGGCAGGCCCTAGATGGAACCCCTGGTGTTTGAGTAACACCAGGATGGCCAGTAGCCTCCAGACGCCGGAGGAGTCAAGGAAGGATCCCCCTTCGAGGCTTCAACAGTTTGATTCCTGACTTTGAGCCTCCAGAACTGCGAGAGAATAATTTCTGTTTTGACAGAGTTTCACTTCATCACCCAGGCTGGAGTGCAGTGGCACGATCTGGGCTCACTGCAACCTCTGCCTCCTGGGTTCAAGTCATTCTCATGCCTCAGCCTCCTGAGTAGCTGGGATTACAGGCATGCGCCACCGCGCCTGGCTAATTTTTGTATTTTTAGTAGAGACAGGGTTTCACCATGTTGGCCAGACTGGTCTTGAACTCCTGAGCTCAAGTGATCTGCCTGCCTTGGCCTCCCAAAGTTCTGGGATTATAGGTGCAAGCCACCATGCCCGGCCTACATTTCTGTGTTTTTTTTTTTTTTTGAGACGGAATTTCACTCTTGTTGCCCAGGCTGGAATGCAGCTCTTGGTGTCTACCCAAATGAGTTGAAAATGTATGTCCGCACAAGCCTGGAAACATACGTTTATAGCGGCTTTATCCATAATTGCCAAAACTTGGAACTAAGATGTTCCTAAATAGAGCCGGGGGCGGTGGCTTGTGTCTGTAATCCCTGCTACCTGGGCAGCTGAGGCAGGCAGTAACTTGAGATCAGGGGTTTGAGACCAGTTTGGGCAACAGAGGGAGACCCCATCTCTATAAAAAAAATACTTTTAGGGTCGGGCGTGGTGGCTCATGCGTGTAATCTAACCTCTTTGGAAGGCTGAGGCGGGTGGATCACCTGAGGTCAGGAGTTCGTCACCAGCCTGGCCAACATGGTGAAACCCCATCTCTACTAAAAATACAAAAAATTATCTGGGCGTGGTGTCGGGCTCCCGTAATTCCAGCGATTCGGAAGGCTGAGGCAGGAGAATCACTTGAACCCAGGAGGCGGAGGTTGCAGCGAGCAGAGATCTTGCCATTGCACTCCAGCCTGGGCAACAAGAGCGAGATACCATCTCAAAAAAAAACACAAAAACCAAAAAACTTAAAAAAAAATAGACTGGGTGTGGTGACTCATGCCTGTAATCCCAGCACTTTGGGAGGCTGAGACAGGTGGATCACGAGGTCAGAAGATCAAGACCATCCTGGCCAACATGGTGAAACCCCATTTCTAATAAAAATACAAAAATTAGCCGGGCGTGGCAGTGCGTGTCTGTAGTCCCAGCTACTTGGGAGGCTAAAACAGGAGAATTGCTTGAACCGGGGAGGCAGAGAGTACAGTGAGTTGAGATCGCGTCACTGCACTCCAGCCTGGGAGACTCTGTCTCAAAAAAAAAAAAAGAAAGTAAAAGAAAATAAAAAAAAGAAAAACCCCAAAGGCAAAACACTACAAGAGGCAGAAAAAGAGTGGAAGACAAAAATAGAAACAAAGGCAACAAATAGAAAACAGTAAAAACAAAAAAAGGCAGCTATTAATCCAATTATATCAACATCCCTTTGCATATCAGTGGTCCAGATGAACCAATTAAAAGACAGAGATTGTCAGAGTGAGCAAAAAACAAGACGTAACTATATGTTGCTTACAAGAACTACACTTTAAAGACTTATGTATTAAAAGCGAATGGATAAAGAAAGATCTATGCCAACACTGATCAAAAGAAAGCAGGAGTCTCTATATTAATTTCAGACAGTACAGACTTCAGAGCAAGGAGAGTCATCAGGAATAGGCCAGGCACAGTGGCTCACACGTGTAATCCCAGCACTTTGGGAGGCCAAGGCGGGCAGATCGCCTGAGGCCAGGAGTTCGAGACCAGCCTGGCCAACACGATGAAACCCTGTCTTTACTAAAAATGCAGAAATTAGCAGGGCGTGGTGGTAATCCCAGCCTGTAATCCCAGCTACTCTGCAGGCTGAGGCACGGGAATCGCTTGAGCGTGGGAGGCAGAGGTTGCATTGAGCCGAGATCCCTGCACTCCAGCCTGGTTCGCAGAGACCTTGTCTGAAAAACAAAAAGAAAAGAAAAGAGAGTCATCCGGGATAAGGACAGGGCATTACATAATGATTAAGGAGTCAATGCTCAAAGAAGACATAACAGTCCTTAACATGTATGATCCTAACAAGAGAACATCAAAATATGTGAGGGAAAAAGCGACAGCACCGCAAGGAGAAACTATTATAGTTGGCGACTTCAATGTCCCTCTATCAGAAACGGACAGATCCAGCAGGCAGAAAATCCGTAACTCAGTAACACCCTCTATAACTGGATATAATGGAAACCTATGGACTATTTCATACAATGACAGCAGAAAAAAAAGAAAAGAAAAACGCTTTGGTTTTTCCCGTATCTTAGGCTGGAGAGCAGTGGCACGATCACAGCTCACTGCAGCCTTGAACTCCTGGGCTCAGGAGATCCTCCCGCCTCAGCATCCTGTCTAGTTGGGACTACAGGTGTGCACTAACACACGTGGCCAATTTTCTTTCTTTCTTTCTTTCTTTCTTTCTTTCTTTTTTTTTTTTTTGTGACGGAGTCTTGCTCTGTCGCCCAGGCTGGAGTACAATGGCACAATCTCGGCTCACTGCAAGCTCCGAGAATGGAGAATGGTTCACGCCATTCTCCTGCCTCAGCCTCCTGAGTAGCTGGGACTGCAGGCACCCACCAGCATGCCCAGCTAATTTTTTGTATTTTTAGTAGAGATGGGGTTTCACCGCGTTAGCCAGGATGGTCTTGATCTCCTGACCTCATGATCCGCCCACCTCGACCTCCCAAAGTGCTGGGATTACAGGCGTGAGCCACCGCGCCCGGCCCTTCTTTCTTTCTTTTTAAATTTTTTTCATCATGCAGCTCAAAATGTCATAATTTTTAAAAATTTACTTTTCTGTAGAGATGGGATCTTGCTATGTTGCCCAGGCTAGTCTTGAACTCCTGGCCTCAAGCAATCCTCCTACCTCGGCCTCCCAAAGTTCTAGGATTACAGGTGTAAGCCTGAGTCACCATGCCTAACCACAAATATATATTTTTATTTTTTGAGACGGAGTTTCACTCTTCTTGCTCAGGCTGGAGTGTAATGGCATGATCTCAGCTCACCGCAACCTCCACCTCCCGGGTTCAAGCAATTCTCCTGCCTCAGCCTCCCGAGTAGCTGGGATTACAGGCATGTGCCACCATGCCTGGCTAATTTTGTATTTTTAGTAGAGATGGGGTTTCTCCATGTTGGTGAGGCTGGTCTCCAACTCCCGACCTCAGGTGATCCGCCCGCCTTGGCCTCCCAAAGTGCTGGGATTACAGGCGTGAGCCACCAAGCCTGGCCCAAATAAAATGTGGTGTTTTGTTTGTTTTTTTAGATGGAGTCTTGCTACGTAGCCCAGGCTGGAGTGCAGTGGCACGATCTCGGTTCACTGCAACCTCCGCCTCCTGGGTTCAAGCGATTCTCCTGCCTCAGCCTCCCAAGTAGCTGGGACCACAGGTGCGTGCCAACATGCCCGGCTAACTTTTTGTATTTTTAGTAGAGACGGGGTTTTACCATGTTAGCCAGGATAGTCTCGATCTCCTGACCTCGTGATCTGCCCACCTTGGCCTCCCAAAGTGCGGGGATTACAGGCGTGAGCCACCATGCCCAGCCTATAGATACTTTAAAAAAACATTTTATTTGTCACGGGTGCCGGGTGAGCGACCACGCCCGGCAATGATGAGTTTTATCTGGGCTGTTATACATCTGAGAAACGTCCAGGGGATGGCGCCCAAGAGGCATTTGGAGCTCAGAGAAGAGGTCAAAGGTGGACTTGGTGGGGTTAGGGAGGCTCTTGGGGCTGTGGGAGTGGTTCCTGAACTGTGATCCGCACTGTCCCCCAACTTACATACCCAGAACAGCCAGGCTTGGGTAATAGTGGGATCTCTCACCCTCAAAGGGCCAAACTGGGTAGAACTCAGGGCTTCCTTTTTTTTTTTTTTTTTGAGATGGAGTCTTGCTCTGTCGCCCAGGCTGGAGTGCAGTGGCACAGTCTCGGCTCACCGCAACCTCCGCCTCCCGGGTTCAAGTGAGTCTCCCGCCTCAGCCTCCCAAGTAGCTGAGATTACAGGTTCATGCCACCATGCCTGGCTAATTTTTTGTATTTTTTTTTAGTAGAAATGGGATTTCATCATGTTAGCCAGGCTGGTCTCAAACTCCTGACCTCAGGTGATCCTCCTGCCTCGGCCTCCCAAAGTGCTGGGATTACAGGCGTGAGCCACCACGCCCAGCCAGGGCTTCCTTTTTAGGATCCAAAGTTAGGGAGAAGCTGAGGCCACCCTGGCTGGTCTCTTAGCCCTGGAAGGATCTGACTGACCGTGATTAATGAGTCTTTTCACTCTAGCGGCACCAAGATATTCCAGGTCCCAGCTTGGTAGTGCCGGGAGCCAGCAATGAGTCCGCTCCAATGGAGCTCAGGCACCAGCAAGGACAGGGGGGCAGACAGGGGCAGGGGTCATCAAGACAGCAGGCATGGCTTAATAGCCATCCTAGGGATGTGAAGGGTGTGTCATTGTGGGTTCGACTTGCATTTCCCTAATGACAAATGAGGTTGAGCATCTTTCAGGAGCTGTGAGCCATTTGTATACCTTATTTGAGGAAAAGTCTTTTAGGATCCTTTGCCCATTTTTAAATTGTGTTTTAAATTGTTGTTTGTGTTCTAGTATTGAATTCTATGAGTTCTTGTGTATTCTGGATATGAAACTTTCACCAGATTTGTTATTTACAAATATTTTCTTCCATTCTGTAGGTTATCTTTTCACTTTCTTGAAAGTGTCCTTTGATGAGCAAAAGTTTTAATTTTGATAAAATACAATTTATCATTTCATTGCTTGTATTTTGAGTATCATATCAAAGGTTCCATTGACAAATACAAGGCATGAAAACGTACCCCTGCGTTTTTTATTTTTATTTAATTATTGTTATTTGTTTGTTGGTTGTTTCTGGTTTTTATTCTTTGAGACAAGGTCTTGCTCTGTGGCCCAGCCTGGAGTGTAGTGATGCGATCTCTGCTCACTGCAGACTTGACTTCTTGGGCTCCAGTGATTCTCCTGCCTGGGCTTTCCAAAGTGCTGGGATTACAGGCGCGAGCCGCCACACTCAGCCATTTTTTTTTTTCTTTATCAAGATTTTTTTGGCCGTTGTAGATCATTTGCAATTCCATATGAATTTCAAAATTAGCTGGTGAATCCCTTTAATGAATGTTTTATTTCAGTTACTATACTTTTCTTTTCTTTCTTTTCTTTTTTTTTATTTTTTTGAGACAGAGTTTCACTCTTGTCGCCCAGGCTGGAGTGCAGTGGCGTGATCTTGGCTCACTGTAACCTCTGCCTCCCGGGTTCAAGCGATTCTCCTGCCTCAGCCTCCCGAGTAGCTGGGATTACAGGTGCCCGCCACCATGCCTGGCTAATTTTGTATTTTTAGTAGAGATGGGGTTTCACCATCTCTGGCCTCCAAAAGTGCTGGGATTACAGGGGTGAGCCACTGCACCCGGCTATTTTAGTTACTATACTTTTCAACTTCATAATTTCCATTTGTTTTTTTTTTTTATAATTTTCGATTTTTTTTTTTTTAATTCGGAGTCTTGCCCTGTCACCCAGGTTGGAGTGCAATGGTGCAATCTCAGCTCACCGCAACCTCTACCTCCCAGGTTCAAGGGATTCTCCTGTCTCAGCCTCCCGAGTAGCTGGGATTATAGGTATGCACCACCATACCCAGTTAATTTTTTTTTTTTTTAATCTTTAGTAGAGACAGGGTTTCACCATGTTGGCCAGGCTGGTCTCAAACTCCTGACCTCGTGATCCACCCGCCTCGGCCTCCCAAAGTGCTGGGATTACAGGCGTGAACCACCGTGCCTGGCAATTTCTATCTTTTTATCGGTATTCTCTATTTGATGAAACGCCATCATCATACATTCCTTTATTTATTTAGTCACAGTTTCCTTTGGTTTTATGAACGTGTGTATAATGGCTACTTTAAAGTCTTTTTCTGATAAATCAACATGTGCCCTCTCACAGGCAGTTTCCTTTGCCTGCATTTCCCCCTATCTATGGGTCATGCTTTCCTGTTTATTAAATTTTTTGCAGGCTTCATATTTTTTTTTTTTTTTTTTGGAAACAGGACATTTAAATAATACATTGTAGCAATTCTGGGTATGAGTCTCCCCTGACCTGGGCTTGTTATTATTTTCTTGTTTATTTGTTTAGTGACTGGCTGGATTGTTTTAGTGAAGTCTATTTCTTCCGTACGATGTTCAGCTTCTATGGTCGTTCTCAGGGGGCCCAGCTTTGAGTATGCCTGCAGTTACTCTGGGATGACAGTGGTTTTGGAAGGCTCTCTTCCTCTTTCCCTGACCATATCCAGCTGTTAAGCTATGCAAATTTTCTTTTCTTTTTTCTTTCTTTCTTTCTTCTCTTTTTTTTTTTTTTTTTGAGATGGAGTCTCGCTCTGTCGCCCAGGCTGGAGTGCAGTGGCACAATCTCGGCTCACTGCAACCTCCGCCTCCCGGGTTCAAGCAATCCTCTGACTCAGCCTCCCAAGTAGTTGGGATTACAGGCACCTGCCACCACGCCCGGCTAATTATTGTATTTTTTGTTTTTTAGTAGAGACGGGGTTTGACCGTCTTGGCCAGGCTGGTCTTGAACTCCTGACCTAGTGATCCACCCACCTCAGCCTCCCAAAGTGTTGGGATTTTAGGCATGAGCCACTGCACCCAGCCCTTCTTTTTCTAATCCTTGCTTGGTTGAAATAAGCTCTGCAAGTTGCCAATGGATTGCTTTATAATTTCCTATAATGCCCTGCACTACACACTGATCCTATCAAGTTTGGCTCCTTGGAAGAAATAGTGTGTGAGGTCAATGTCTGCTATTTGTTCTGACCTCAGGAGGGCTCCCTCTACTGGTGCTATTCCCTGTTCTCTCCTGTAAACGAGCAGCCTAGAGTTCAGCTTGTGTCTTGAATCTTCTCCTAATTATCTCTCACCATAATCTCTACTATTCTCAAAAGCACCTTTTGGGCCGGGTGCGGTGGCTCACGCCTGTAATCCCAGCACTTTGGGAGGCTGAGGTGGGCGGATCACCTGAGGTCGGGAGTTCGAGACCAGCCTGGTCAACATGGTGCAAACCCCGTCTCTACTTAAAAAAAAAAAATTAGCTGGGTGTGGTGGTAGGCACCTGTAATCCCAGCTACTCGGGAGGCCGAGGCAGGAGAATCGCTTGAACCCAGGAGGCGGAGGTTGCAGTGAGCGGAGATCGCATCACTGCACTCTCAAACAAACCTAACCAAAATCAAAACAAAAGCAACTTTTGCCTTGAATTCCTTCGTTCTCTGTAGCAAATGAGGTCAGTTGCTTTGGGAAGAGATTAGGAAGTCTCTTTTTTATGGCCTGTTTCTTCATTAGACAAAAATCTCTCTGAGCCAGGGCCCTGGAGCTGGGGGTGGAGACTTTGGAAAGCTTCTCTCTGAGTGACACCCTGCGCTAGGGGCTGAGGACTTGGTGGGAGTGGGGACAATGGCCGAGGTCCTCAAAGTTTGCCTCTCCTGTTGTCGAGCTACTTCCACATGAGCCAGGGCCGGAGTGATCAGGACCCCAGCACTCGCAGCACACTGCACCCAAGGCAGAGCCTCTGTTCCTTGAGTGGGGCTGGGTGCAAGAAGGGGGCCCCCAACTCTTGGCTACACTCATCCAGGACTTAGTCTCAGCAACAGGTGGCTGGGGGTAGAATAGGAAATGGATGTCCTGTTCTTCGTGGGAGGCAAGCCCTCCCACTGGGAGCTGGGGGCAGAGGGAGCCCTGTTTCCCTGGTCTGGAGGCAGCAGGGGACCCCATGTTCTTGGCTGCAGCTGTCCAGAGTGGAGTCTCAGCCTCACTGAGCTGAGAGGAAGGGCAAGAGGGGCCATGATCTCAGTGCAAACACCATGGCCTCACCTTTTTAAACCAAATATTCATAGATGTTCATGAATCCATGTTTCTTCATTTGCATTTTCTTTTTTTTTTTCCAGACAAAGTCTCGCTCTGTCCTCAGAGGCAGGAGTACAATGGTGTGATCATAGCTCACTATCACCTTGAAATCCAGGACCGAAACGATCCTCCCACCTCAGCCTCCTGAGTAGCTGGGATTACAGGTGAGAGCCACCATGCCTGGCCTATTTTTGTTGTTGTTTATTTTTGTAGAGATGGGTTCTCACTATGTTGTCCAGGCTGGTCTTGAACTCCTGGGTTCAAGCATTCCTCCTGCTCCAGCTTCCCAAAGTGCTGGGATTACAGGTGTGAGCCACCATGCCTGGCCTGTTTCTTCATTTTCTTTTCTTTCTTTCTTTCTTTTTTTTTTTTTTTTCTGAGACAGAGTCTCCCTCTGTCACCCAGGCTGGAGTGCAGTGGCACGATCTCTGCTCACTGCAATCTCCACCTCCCAGGTTCAAGTGATTCTATTTCCAAGTAGCTGGGACTACAGGCGTGCGCCACCATGCCTGGCCAATTTTTGTATTTCAAGTAGACACAGGGAGGCGGAGGTTGCAGTGAGCTGAGATCATGCCACTGCACTCTAGTTCAGGCAACAAAAGCAAAACTCTGTCTCAAAAAAATTTTTTTTCAGGGAGTTCTCTCAGGTGTTTCAGCCAATCTCTGATGATAAAAAGTTCCCCAATCAGCCTGTTTGGAGTGTTCCAGGGTCCAGTAGTCTAGCCCAGTCTACTAATTACAGAACTCAAACTGCATTGAAATTGCAGTTTCCATCCAATCTCACGACCCTTAACATAATCGCACCGGCAAAGTCCCTCTTGTCATATAAGGGAACGTTCCAAGTTCTTGAGATCAGGACCTGGATGTCTTCGGGGCTGTTACTCAGCTGATCACAGGGGGTTAGGGTTTCAGCACTGAGACAGTGGCTGGGTCTGCCCTGGCCTGGTGTGGCCTGTGGCCAGTGATGAGTTTTCCTCCTGTGAGCAGCTTTTGAGGGACCTCCATAAACCAAAACCAAAATCCTAAGCCCCTTAACCATCCAAATGGACTCCTTCTCTCGGCAAGGGCATTCCAAAGTTAACCTGAAAATGAGTTCAGGATATGATGGGAAGGGGGAGCTGGACATGCCTTGTTATAACCTCCTCGCTTTTGGAATTACTGTTAGAACGGACTCTTTCAGTCTGATAAGAAACATTTACACTATATTCTCTCTGAAGCCAGCTACCTGGAGGCTTCATCTGCATAATAAAACCTTGGTTTCCAAAACTCCTTATTTTGTTGTTTTTTTGTTTTTTTTTTTTTTTGAGATAGGGTTTCTCTTTTGTTGCCCAGGCTGGAGTATAATGGGGTGATCTCGGCTCACTGCAACCTCCGCCTCCTGGGTTCAAGCAATTCTCCTGCCTCAGCTTCCCAAGTAGCTGGGATTACAGGCGTGCGCCACCACTCCCGGCTAATTTTGTATATACATTTTTTGAGATGGAGTTTCACTCTTGTCGCCCAGGCTGGAGTGCAGTGGCATGATCTTGGCTCACTGCAACTTCCGTCTCCTGGGTTCAAGTGATTCTCCTGCCTCAGCCTCCCAAATAGCTGGGATTATAGGCACTCGCCACCACGCCTAGCTAATTTTTTATTTTTAGTAGAGACGGGGTTTCACTATGTTGGCCAGGCTGGTCTCAAACTCCTAACCTCAGGTGATCCACCTGCCTCGGCCTCCCAAAGTGCTGGGATTGCAGATGTGAGCCACCGTGCCCAGCCTAATTTTGTATTTTTGGTAGAGACAGGGTTTCACCATGTTGGTCAGGCTGGTCTCGAACTCCTGGCCTCAAGTGATCTGCCTGCCTTGACCTCCCAAAGTGCTGGGATTACAGGCATGAGCCACCGCGCCTGGCCCAAGCCTCCAGTTTCCGATGGCCCCTCGTTCCAGGCCCCAGCGTCTGCCTCATTTGGGGTGCTGCATTCTTCAAGGGTCCTCTCAGTCAAGTCCCATTTGTGGGGTCCTCTCTGGTCTCCCGGAATCAGGGCAGATTTACCCTCCAACAAAGCTTTGCTGCTTACCTCACTGCACTCCTTGAGCTCACTGTACAGTAGGCAGCCCAGGCTCCCAGCTCTGGCCCGAGCCACCTTGGGCAGGAATCCTTCGGGTTGAGGCCATGCGGCGAAGGAGTTGTAGGCATGGTTTGGCCCTCAGGCCTGCCTGGGTTTGAACCCCAGCCCTGCCACCTACCAACTATTGGTCACTTACCTCTTTGTAAAGGACTTGGCAGAGAATAAATACTTCTAAAACACATAAAAATAAACCCGGCATCTGTCCCACCGCCCCAGGGGACACCCATTCAGCTTCATAAGGGGAAGTCCTCCTCCCCTCATATGGCTAGAAGCACCTCAGAACTGAGGCGGGGGCCGATCCCAACCCCTCCATTGCATCATTCTGAGGCTTTGAAACCTCAGCTGCAACAGAGCCGGAAAGAGGGGCCTTATAACATCCTGTCACCCTTGGGGTCGGGGGCAGCCAGAAGGCAGGGGTCTTTGAGTAGAGGGCAGCGTGGAGAAGCCCTGGAATGGAGCTGGGTGAGGCCAGGGCCAGCTCCATCCTGCCTGGTTGGCTCAGGGACTCCAGAGTGGGCGGCGGGCAGCTGTCATCTTCTCTTCTTCCCTCTCAACTATTTTTTTTTTTTTTTTTGAGATGGAGTCTTGATGTGTCACCCAGGCTAGAGTGCAATGGTGCGATCTCGGCTCACTGCAACTTCCATCTCCCAGGTTCAAGCGATTCTTCTATTATTGGCCAGAAGGTCAGGGTGTGTTCATAGAATGATGGGTCCATGTCAAAAGGATAAGGAGACAGCTTGAAGGAGACCCCACTGGCCTAATCAGGGGCATTTTAAGCATCAAAATAAATGTAATAGTAATGGATTATAATCCACTGGCTAAAATATGAAACCATGAGCCTATATTAATATAAATGAAGGAAGAAAAACTTCTTTACAGAAAAAAAACAATGTGACTTCACACTGATTCATCCAGTGTCCATGCAACACCACAGGGCTCTGCCTGGTTTTCCTTCCACGTCTGTGTCTCCCTTCTTTCCCAGGGAGAACCCTGGTTCCAAACAATACAGCTGTGCTTGTCCATTTGTGCGCTATCCTGCAACACTTGCAAAACAGTTTCAGAATTGCTACACCGATAACACTGCTCATAACAAACCCACTAAGGAAAGGTAGAGATTTATTTACAATTCTCTTTTTTTTTTTTTTTTTTTTGAGAAGGAGACTCGCTCTGTCACCCAGGCTGGAGTGCAATGGCGCAATCTCAGGCAGGAGGATCGCTTGAGTCCAGGAATTCAAGACCAGCCTTGGTAACATGGTGAAAACCCATCTCTACTAAAAATACAAATAATTAGCCAGACATGGTGGTGGGCACCTGTAGTCCGAGCTACTCTGGAGGCTGAGGTGGGAGGATTGCTTGGAGCCTGGATGGATCCTTGGCTCACTGCAGCCTCTGCCTCCCGGGTTCAAGCGATTCTTGTGCCTCAGCCTTCCCAGTAGCTGGGATTACAGGCACATGCCACCATGCCAGGCTAATTTTTTGTATTTTTATTAGAGATGAGGCTTCACCATGTTGGCCAGGCTGATCTCGAACTCCTGACCTCCAGTGATCCGCCCATCTTGGCCTCTCAAAGTGCTGGGATTATAGGCATGAGCCATCGCGCCCGACCTACAAGTCTTGTTGACCTTAGGATTTAAGTCCCACCTAAGGTGCCCAGTGTCTAAACCAGAAGAGGTACCTTCTGAGCTGGTCTTTGATGGATGAATAGGAGTCTCCTGGGAGCAGAAAGAGGAGAACACCAGGCAGAGGAACCACGTGTGCAAAAGTCTGGGGTTGAAATGAGAGTTTGGTGTGGCCCCTTGCTGTGGCTGAAGCCCTGGGTTTGTTTAGAGTGAAGGGGATGACAAAGGATGAGAATGGGGGCTGTTTGTAGGGGCAGGTGGAGGTGGTGGATTGCAAGGGCCTTGAATGCCAGGTGAGGAGCTTGGGATTGAAGGAGCAGGAGGCAGGGCATCACAAGAGGCATCAGGGTTTAGGAAAAGATGGAGAGTCATTGGCAGATTGGTGAAGGGAGGCCAGCATCTGGTGCCATGAGACTCAGTGCCTGAGCCAGCAGGACAGCTTTGGCACTTCTCCTCCAGGCACCTCACTTTTACGGATGATAAAACATGGGCACAAGGGGGCCCCACTCCCAGAGCTTCAGGGAGACTCCCCAAGGGCCATTCCTGGCACCTGGGGTCTGAGGTAGGGACAGAGCTGGCTCACAAGCCCTCCCTGCTCTGTGACATGTCTGTTTCCTGTTTCTCCCCCATCAGGAGCAGTTTCAGTCTCAACTTCAAAAGAACAAACGCGCACTCAAAACAAAGGAAGACCGTCCTCGACTGCAGAGGAAGCAGGAAGCTGTCGGCCCAGCTCTGAGCCCAGCTGCTGGAGCCCCGAGCAGCGGCATGGAGTCCGTGGCCCTGTACAGCTTTCAGGCTACAGAGAGCGACGAGCTGGCCTTCAACAAGGGAGACACACTCAAGGTAGGGGGGCTGGAGCCTGCTGAGTTGGCCCCACACGGGGTGGGGGTGGATTTAGGAACCAGGGACCTGGGACTGTCCCAAGCAGACTGTGGCCCCTGGAAGACAGGCCCAGCCTCTCCAGTTATTGGCTGTGTGACTCTGGACAAGCCACCTTTTCCCTCGGAGCCTCAGATTCTCCATCTAGGAAATGGGGAGATAACTAATGACCCTCCTTTGGGGCTGTTGTGAGGATTCGATGAGATATTACCACAGTGTCTGGCAGGAGTTAGTTCAACCCCCAGTTTTCCAGGAAAAAGTTTGAAAAGAAAATTGTTGAGAGAGGGAGAGAATGAGAGCTAGAGAGAGAGACAGAGTATGGGAATGGAGAACAGAGCGAGAAAGAGGGAGAGAGAGAAGGTCTTAGGAAAGAAATAAGTACACATGCTAACCTAGTAGGGCTAAAATAGCTAAGATGAAAGTGTCAAGGATGAGCTTCCCAGTAGTGTGGAGAAAAGGGAAAATAGAGTCATACCACCGTTCATTTCTCCTTGTCTGGGCCGCTTTTGACAGATGTTGCAGCCTTCCAAGACGGTCTAGACAGTTGGGCCTGTGGAATGTGTCTCTGGAAATGTCCTTGCTTAAAAGTTTGCATATGAAAGCCATGCCCAGGATTCTGGGAGTGGCCATGCCAAGACGTGTGCACTGGAACTGCCAGTAAACCACACTAGGGAAGTGACTGCCCTTCCCTGGGCCTCAGTTTCCCCACTGGAGCAATGGGTGTTAGACTGGATGCTCCTCTGCGCTGAGCCCTGGGCGCTGCCCTTGGCCACAAGCTTCAAGCACAAGACGGGAGAGCTCCCTGTGCCATCACCCTGCTATAGCCAGGCCCCGAACTCAGCAGCACACCTCATGTACCATTTAAGCAATGGGGACTGGCACCCCCATTTCACAGGTGACTAAACTGAGGCACAGGGAGGCAACATGACCTGCTCGGTATGGAGTCAGTTTTGAACCCGTGTCCCTTTGGCTGTGGAACTTGCGCTTGGTCTGAACAGGCTGGGCTGGGGGTTGGGGTCCAGAGGAGGAGGAGCAATTCCTTCTTCTCTATGCTGGGGTGCTGGTGCTGGCACCTGGGGTCACTGCAGTGCTGGCTGTCGGCCTCGTGGACATGTGGCCAGATGGGGACAGGGCCAGGCTGAGCACTGGGGCTGTGAGCCCAAGGCATGACCCTCTGCGGGGATCCAAGTCTTGGTTTCTCATCTGAGAGCACTTCGAGGTCTCTAGACCCAAGTGTGGTGTTGGGAGGGAGTGGGGCAGTGATGAAATAGGAATGGGGTGCGCGGGAGGCGTTGAGCCAGGCTTGGAGGGATCAAGTGGCTGGGGTGGAAGCTGAGCTCCGCGACCATCCTGTCCTCTCGTCTAGCAAGTATTTTCCAGTGCTCCCTGTGGGCCAGCCCCTGCCATGGCACTGCCTGCCTACAGATTGAGTCCAGCCTGGGAGAGTGGGCGATGAAGCCCGTTCTTGAAATCTGAACTTTGGTCTTGGATGAAAACTCTGGCTCATGGACTCACCCTGGACAAATGGCCCCAAACATCACCTCCCTGGGACAAAGCCTCCCTCCCTGATAGGCCAGGCGTTTCTGGGTGCACGCACCCCCATGCTGTTGCCAGCTGGAGGGGCATGTGGTTAGTGGCTTCACTCCCATCTCTGCACGAGCAGCCTGGATGATGAGACCCAGACTCAGGAAGCCCATGTCACCTTGACATCTCCATGGGAAAGGGCGACGGTCCAGACCCAACACAGCCAGCCCTGGGCTCCCTGAACCTACTTTCTGCTGCCTGTCATTGTCTTGTCGGCAACTCTGGCAAAACCTACCCGAAGCCCCTCCTCCAGCCCAGGCCTCCATTGTCACTTACCTGGGCTTGCGTGGTGGCTCCCAAGGCCTCCCCGCAACAATCCCTGCTCCCCAGCCCAGTCTCCATGCAGTGGCCATGACTCAGAGCCTGGTCCTCCCCCGTACATCTTATGACATCTGCTCCTCCCTCCCTCAGCTCCAGACACCCTGGCCTCCTTTCTGTTTCAGGGACAGAGCTTGGCCCCACCTCAGAGCCTTGGCACTGGCTGTTCCGTCCGTCTTGGACACTGTTCCCCACATTTTCTTACCGCTGGTTCCTTCTTGTAATTCGGGTCTCAGCTTCCATGTCACTTCTTCAGAGAGGCCTTTCTGGACCACCCCACCTGTCCCGTGTTGACAATCTCCCTGCTCCCACCCAACCAGACATTCTCCATCTGTCACCTGATGTCCATTTTTCACAGCGCTTACTGCTCCATTAAACTACCTTGCTTATTTGTTTCTTCCCTTGTTTATGGTCTGTCTCTGCCTACTAGAATGTGAGCTTCTTGTTCCCTGCTCTGTCGTGGGGTGCCTGGCACACAGTAGGTGCTCAGTAAACAACTATCAAGCAGCAACTGCATCGGGCTGGGATGGTAAAGTGGGGCGGCAGCCTGGGTGGAGGGCACCATGTGGGCAAAGGCTCAGGGGCAGGCCAAGTTCTGCCTCTCACCTTGAGCAGTGATACTCCTCCAGGGAGGAGTTGGCCTCTCTCCCTTGTGAGAATTCCCGGGTCTCAGAGGGTCTGGGGCTTTCAAACAATGTTCACAGTAAGAAATCAGTTAACGTGAGGTCAAGAGATCGAGACCAGCCTGGCCAACATGGTGAAACCCCATCTCTACTAAAAATACAAAAATTTAGCTGGGCGTGGTGGCACACACCTGTAGTCCCAGCTACTCGGGAGGCTGAGGCAGGAGAATCGCTTGAACCCAGGAGGCAGAGGTTGCAGTGAGCTGAGATTGCGCCACTGCACTCCAGCCTGGTGACAGAGTGAGACTCCATCTCAAAAAGAAAAAAAAAAAGAAAAAAGAAAAAGAAATTAGCTAATGTAACCAATGGGACATTCCTGAGTCCTCTGAGTGCAGATGACAAGGAGACAAAACGAAGCAGGGACTGCATGAGACGTATTCCACCCAGTGTCCGCACTGCTGCATGCAGGGCAGGCCATAAATGCACCCATTGGACAGACGAGGGAGGACACTGAGGCCAAGGCCACAGAGAGAGTCAGAAGCAGACAGAATGTTCTGGAGCCCCAGGCTTCAGGGCATCCTCCTGGAATCCATGGCTGTGGTATGTGGCCTACAGGCCCTCATTTTCTCCTTAGGTTGGGGGAGTTGTTTTGTTTTTTTGAGACGGAGTCTCACTCTGTTGCCCAGGCTGGAGTGCAATGGCGCGATCTCGGCTCACTGCAGCCTCCAGCTCCCGGGTTCAAGTGATTCTCCTGCCTCAGCCTCCTGAGAAAGTTGGGGATTATGAGAGTGTGCCACCATACTTGGCTAATTTTTTTGTATTTTTAGTAGAGACGGGGTTTCGCCATGTTGGCCAGGCTAGTCTTGAACTCCTGACCTCAGGTGGTCCACCCTCTTCAGCCTCCCAAAGTGCTGGGATTACAGGCGTGAACCACTGCGCCCGGCCTGTTTTGTTTTGTGTTGAGCGAAAGTTTTCCTGAGTCAGCCACCTGCTTCCGTTCACCCCTGGGTCTGCTGACCTGGCCCAGGCTGCAGGGGCAGGAAGGAAGAGGCTCAGCCAGCCTGGCCTGGTGGACAAAGCGGGGGTGGAGATGGGGGTGCAGAGGCCACCTGTGAGGGTGGGGCCTCAGGCCTGGGCCCTAGGAGGCCAATCCCAGCTACTCTTGGCAAAATATCACTGCTGGAGTTGATGCCCCTGTATTGGCCCGCCCTGGGCCTTTGGTACCCCGTGCCCAATTTTTTCTCTCAAGTACCCCTGAAGGATTGAGCTGACATTGGAACCTGCTCCAGGACTGACAGGAGAGATGTCCCCTCACAGGAGAGATGTCCCCTCAAGCTGGAGTCCAGTGACAAAGAGGACTGGAGGCAAAAATTGGTGGGCCAGGACCCCCTTGACCAGTGAGCCAAAAACTCCAGGCCTCAGAGTCCTGACTGACCAAACAGGCTCTGCCTCTCCCCTGCTGCGTGGCCTTGGCCAAGTCACTTCCCCTGTGGGCCTCAGTTTTGTTATTTGTAAAATAGCATTTGGTGATGTTGACCTTGGGGGCTATATGAGAATCAGGGGGACAGACGGAAGGCGTGCCCAGGGAATGGAGGCAGGACCCCCGGCCTCATGCTGTGCCCCTCCCAGGCCCGGCCCCGCCCCCCGCCTTGGTCGCTTGGTTGCTCCCCCTCAGGGACTCCCACCCCGGCTCTGGCTATTTCAGTTCCTCCGGGCCCACCTGTGGTGTGATGGGGGCCTCACAGGCTCGGAAGAGGAGCCCGTGTGACCGAGCAGGCCATGCCAGGGCTGAGAACCAGTCTGTCTCAGACCAAAGGCCCCCTTATCTGCTCCCCAGAGCCTGACGTCCCCCCACTGAATTGTCACCCCTGAGCTGTCTAAATGCGAGGGACCCTAGGTGACCACTGGTGGCTGTGCTCAGGCCGGGTCCCCCGACCTTCACCCCAAGGCTCAGTGCGTGGCATGTAAGTGCTGTGGGCCCCCCAAACTCGGGGGCACAACCCAGGAAGGAACTCAGGTCCCCAGTTCTGCTCCTGCAAACCCCATGGTCCGCAGGGCTCCTGGTGTCGGAGCCTGAGAATCCAGCTCCAGCCACCCCAAGCCTCCTACGAGTCCCCGACTGTGCCTCCCTTGGAGTCTGTGAATCACCTGAGGATGGGCTGTCCTGGGGCCAGGGGATGGGCAGCACTGAGGAACGAGGGCTTCTAATTCAGCCCTTGGGACCGTGGGCAAGTCCTGTCCCAGGCCCCCAGCCCTGCTCTGTGAGTAGGCACAGAAGCTGGTGCAGGCGAGGCCCACCTGGGGCCTGGCGTGCAGTGGGGCCTCCGGGGGTGACAGTTGTTCCTTCTCGGTGACTGAGTGGCTTTGTGTCTCCTGCCCACAGATCCTGAACATGGAGGATGACCAGAACTGGTACAAGGCCGAGCTCCGGGGTGTCGAGGGATTTATTCCCAAGAACTACATCCGCGTCAAGCCCCATCCGTGAGTGGACAGCCCCATCCCATCCCCGTGGCTCTATCTCTCCTGGCCATGGGACCCCCTCACTCCTGGGCCTCTGTCCATCTGTCTGGGGCCCCCAGGCTCCACAGAGGCCACCAGCCTGGGCAGGCATAGGAGACTGAGTTCTGAGGACTTCCCCAGAGTGGGGACAGAGTCAGGGCAAGCCCAGGCTTCCACACTGAGGACGTGAGCCACTGGAGAATGTCCAGGAGGTCCCCGAGAGAGGACAAGGCCCTGGGCTTTCAGCTGGCTGCGCCACTGGCTGCTGTGTGGCCTCAGGCAGGTCCCTGCCCTCTGTTCCTCAGTTTTCCTATCTATAACTCAAGGAGGGCAGATGCTCCAATCTGTTCAGGGTGGAGGGTTCTAGAGCTCTTGCTGAGAGCTGGCCCGGCCCTGGGTGGTGGCTGGGAGAGGGCTGGGCGGGAAGCAGACCCTGTAGGCCCTGCCTTTGGAGTCTGGGGGGGAGTTGGACATTGGCAGAGCAGAGTCTGGTACCAGGGTGGAGCAAGAACTGGGCCTGGGGCCCAGCTATCCTGGGGCCTGGGACCTACCAGCCTAGGGATGTCCCAGGTTGGGCTCTGGGCAGGTGGCAGCCAACACTGCTGCCCTGAGAATGACTGGGGCAGGGCCCAGCCTCAGAACAGGCATGGGGCCCAAGAAATCTATGCAAACCAACTGGATATGCTTTAAATGGCAGCTGAGGCAGCCCCAAGATACAGCCACTTAGTCATTCACTAAACACTGGCCACAATTCCAGGGGGTCCAGCCCGGGTGATGCTGGAGACACAAGGGGTCAGAGCAGCTGTGTTCTGGGGGAGAAAGAGGACATGAAGGACATACTACATGGGAAGACAGTGAGCATTAAGGTGATTTCTCAGGGAAGGCTTCTCAGAAGAGGTGGCAATGAGTGAGATTTTGAAGGATGTGTAGGAGTTGGTTAAGTAGAAAAAGAGAAAGGCATCCCTGGGAGAGGGTCAGGATGAGCAAAGGGAGAGCAATGAGAGAGAACTTGTGGCATGTGGGACTGGCAGGAGGCCCCCAAATGCCAAGCCATGTGGGGAGCCATGGAGGTGTTATGGTAGGACTCAGTCAGATATGGAGACAGGTGACAGGGCCAAGCAGGCTGGCGGGACAGTTTGGGAGCTGAGATGTGTGTGTGGCTGTGCGGTGGGAAGGGAAGGAGGTGCAGGGCCAGGGTGGGGCATGAGAGGTATTTCCTCTTTATCTCTCTTTAAGTTAGTTCCAAAGCTGCCACCACCTCCAGCTTCCTGTGCTGGGCGAGGCCCCCTCCGACCCAGGTCCTCAGCCACCTGCCCGGGCTGCAGGCACTCCCAGCCTCCCCCACAGAGGCTGCAGCTTCCAGTCGGCATCTGGGGCGGCAGCCTGGGTTCCAGGCCCCACTATGTCCCGCGTGGTTGTGTGACATTGGGCAGGTTTCTGTGATCTTTCTGTCAATTAAGGGGGAGAGGGAGGGGGGTGTGCGAAGAGGGAGAGAGACGAGAGAATCCGACCCAGGGCCACAAGCTGGAGCCAGTGCCCCAGGCCCCTGTAAGCCAATGGGACCATCCAGACATGCCAGAGGGCATGAACGGGAGCAATCCCCCTGGGCCAAGCTGTCAGGGAGGGGCCTTCAGGTGGAGGAAATGGCCTGGCAATGGCTGGAAGGCTGGCTGGCCTACAGCTGCTGAGAGGGTCGCATTTGCTCAGGCAGGGGAGAAAAGATGACAAAAGACCGCAGTGCCGGGCCAGGCCTGTCGAGGGGATGCCAGTGGTCGAGGCAAGACTCTAGCAGGGCAGTTGGGAGCCATGGAGGGTTTCAGCCTCCCATGCCTCTGGGGTCATCTCTGGCCATTTGTGTCTGGGACACAGCAGGGATGGGGTCAAGCCCCCGAGTAACCTGCCTGAAGTGATGCCCAGGTGTGTCCTCGACTAACCTCAGCACCTGCCTTGCTCCCCAAAATAACTATGGGGAAACTCCAGCTCCATACCTGACTTAGCCCATAAAGGCCTCAGGTGTGGGGTCAGAGGGAGGGCTGGGGCCTCAGAAATTCAGAGGTAGGCCTCGTGCCTATGCCAGGCCCACTCCTTCCCTGGGCACCCCCTCTCACCCCTGCCAACCCCAGGAGCCCCCGGGGGAGGCACAATGTACGCCAAGTGCTCCAGAGCCAGCCCCATCAGCAGGGGCCACAGCGGCAAGTGACCCAGCCTCACGGCCCATGGGAGTCAGGGATGGCTTCCTAGAGGAAGGGTGTGGCCCGCTGGGCCTGGAAGTTCAAGTAGATGTCTGCCAGGGAAGGCAGAGACAAGCCTGGCAGGGGGATGTGTGGGGGGAGCAGCAAACACCCGCGTACGAGCAGCTCATGCATCCTCCCAAGGCCCTGAGAGCTGAGCACCACCATCGCCATCTTTGAGATTAGCAGACAGAGGCACAGAGAGGTTGAGTGCCCCCCCAGGATCTCACAGCTGGCACGAGGTGGAGCGGGACTGCAGCCGTGTGGCATGGCCCTGGGCTGGGACACCCTGGAGGACAGCGGGGAAGCTCATAAGAACAGCTGTGGGACTGGGAGAGTCCCAGGCCATGCACTTGCTATGCAATCTGGTGGGGTGTGGGGGCGTCTCTGCCCCTATCTGGGCCTCGGTTTCCACATCAGTAAAACAGGAATGATGCGAGATGGCCACAAATGGAGTGACACTGGTGTGGGGGAAGGAGCCGGGCCCTGGAGTTTCAGGAAGTGCTTTCTTCTTGCCTCCATCCGTCAAGCCATGGTGGGGGCAGGGCTGGCAGGGGACGTGGGAACTCCTGGGAGGGTGTGATTGCGATGCTCTCTGAGGGCAACAGCCACCCACACACTGATGCCGCCTGAGGAGTTTTGTGGGTTCTTCGAAGAAACCTGCCCCCTCAGGAAACTCCCGCCCTGGGCCACGCTGGGCACTGTTGCGGGACGGAGCTGGGGGCTTCCTGGTGGAGAAGCTCTCTGCAGCTCCCCTGCCTGGTAACCCCAACCCTGGGCCCCCTACGCTCCCCTCCTGCTGCAGCCTGTGGCATTCACCTCTGGCCTTGAGACACCCAGGCTGGCTGGGCACCTGCCTTCAGGTCTCCAAACCCCAGAAGACCCAGGCTGAGCTCTCCGGATGGTTGCCCTGAGCCCTATACCCAGCGGCTACCTTCCCCACGTCCCCTCCCAGAAGGAAACTCGCTGGGACAGGGGCCGAGGGGCCCCCATTCGTTTGGGGGCAGCAGTGGTCTAGAATCTCATGTCTAGGAGTTCGGGTTTCTCCGGAAGCCGTCCCTGAGACACGAGCCTGATAACAAGGAATTTATATAACAGTGGAGAAGAGGACAGGGAAGTGGGGGAGCCAGTGGGGCAAACTGTTGGCGTCATCGCTGCTGGGGGTAACCGGAGCTCCATCTGGCTGGGGACCAGGGCCAGCTGGAGACAGTACAGAATGCGCACCTAGGAGTCATGCCTCCGGAAGGCCAGGCGCTGGGGCGTCTACCCCTCTGCTCCATCAGTCACCACTGGGAGTCAGACTGTTCCTGGGAGCCTCAGCCTGCCCTGAACCCAGGCCAAATATGTCAATCACCAGAAAAAAGGCCCCGAGGTCTGTACTGAGCAGCCTTCATCCTGCCAAGGCCGGCGCCGGGACATGGCCAGGACACTAGCGGCATGTGCAGCACCGCACGCCTTCTGCACTCAGCCCCGAGGGCTCATCAACATCCGAAACAACAGGAAAAGCCCCGCCTGGCTTCCACCACCTGTGCCGAGCTCAGTCTGACTCAGGGAGAGGAGCATTTATGGAAGGAGTGAAGGGGAACATTCTGTCATGGTGCCACCACGAGACCTGTGGCTGCTCTGGGCCTCAGTTTCCCCATCCGAACAATAAAGGGGTCAGAGCCAAAGCTGGGCTAAAACACTGGAGTTAGGAAAGCCAGTCAGAGACCACACAGCCCCTCCGATGGTGGGTGTTCTAGTCCTGCAGGCTGCTGTCACGGAATGCCATCCACTGGGTAGCTTATGAACAACAGACATTTGTTGCTCACTGTTCTGGAGTCTGAAGTTCAAGATCAAGGTGCCGGCAAATTCACGTCTGATGAGGCTACTTCCTGGTTCACAGACGGCTGTGTCTTTTAGCTGTGTCCTCACATGGCAGAGAGACAAGTGAGCTCTCTGGGGTCTCTTTCATAAGGGCACCAATCCCATTCAGGGGGACTGCTAATCACCTCCCAATGACCCCACCTTTTACTGCTGTCACATGGGGGATTAGGTTTCAATATTTGAATTTTGGGGGACAGAAAGTCAGCCTATAGCAGTGGCAAATTCCTGAAGAGGCCGGGGGCTACCAGGAGCTACCAGGAGCCACACAGCAAGATAAGCAGGACTGGAAAAGGAGTTTCACTCCCAGACCCTGGGGATCTTGCAAGAGTCTAAGCATTTACCAGGCAACTTCTGCATACCCAGTTCTGTTTGGTCAGCAGCAAAAGGAACTTGTGCCTGTGAAAAAAATTCAGGTGGCCTGAGACTGTGGAATGGATATTTCCTCACCATATCAAAGCTACTATTATTTTTGTCATGTTTTTATATTTTCGACTTAAGAAGTTTTTTTTTTTTTGCCGGGTGCGGTGGCTCACGCCTGTAATCCCAGTACTTTGGGAGGCTGCGGTGGGCGGATCACGAGGTCAGGAGATCAAAACCATCCTGGCTAACATGGTGAAACCCTGTCTCTACTAAAAATACAAAAAAATATGTATATATGTATATTAGCCGGGGCGGTGGCACACACCTGTAGTCCCAGCTACTCGGGAGGCTGAGACAGGAGAATCACTTGAACCCAGGAGGCGGAGGTTGCAGTGAGCTGAGATCATGCCACCGCACTCCAACCTGGACGGCAGAACAAGACTCTATTTTTTAAAAAAAGTGTTTGTTTGTTTGTTTTTGAGACGGAGTCTTGCTCTGTCACCCAGGCTGGAGGACAGTGGTGCGATCTCGGCTCACTGCAAGCACCGCCTCCTGGGTTCATGCCATTCTCCTGCCTCAGCCTCCCCAGCAGCTGGGACTACAGGTGCATGCCGCCACGCTCGGCTAATTTTTTTGTATTTTTAGTAGAGATGGGGTTTCACCGTGTTAGCCAGGATGGTCTTGATCTTCTGACCTCGTGATCCTCCCGCCTCGGCCTCCTAAAGTGCTGGGATTACAGGCGGGAGCCACCGCACCCGGCCAGAAGTATTTTTTTAAGGAATGGGGGTGGGAGGTTCTCTATTCCCCAGGCTGGTCTCAAAGTCTTGGCCTCAAGTGATCCTCCCATCTCAGCCTCCCGAGTAGCTGAACTACGGTCACGCACCACCGAGCCTGATTTATTTTTTGACTTTAAAGAATCTACCATCTCAAAGGGAAAGTTAGACTGAGGTTGGCTGGGGTGTGGCTCACTGGAGTGTGACTTTTCTGTTTCCATAAGGGTATGTGTTTGCTGGCATGGTAGGAGAGGCTGGCCTCAGGAGCTAAAATGCTGGGATTGTGTTCCAGCTCCTGCCTGCCTCTGCTGTGTGATTGTGGGTGTATTGCTTCACCTCTCTGTGCCTCAGTTTTCCCATCTGTAAAATGGGTGCAATCACATCTCCCTTGTCTCAGACCTTGAACACCTGGCACGGGGTGGGAGGCTGGCTGAGAGCCTGGTCTCACACTGCCTTCACCGGCTCCCTCTCTCCGCAGGTGGTACTCGGGCAGGATTTCCCGGCAGCTGGCCGAAGAGATTCTGATGAAGCGGAACCATCTGGGAGCCTTCCTGATCCGGGAGAGTGAGAGCTCCCCAGGGGAGTTCTCTGTGTCTGTGAAGTGAGCTCTGGCCCTTGGGGGTGTGTGCAGAGGAGGGTGGGCGGGGTTGGGCAGCATTTGAGCTGAGCCTTGGGGCCCGGGACGGGCTCACGGAGTGAGGGTGGAGGAATGGCATCCCTGCAGAGGGAGCAGTCCGGGCAGAGGCCTTCCGGACACAGGCGGTGGTCTGGGCACCCCAGGGTGCAGCCCAGAGCAGTGGGGTGTGTTGGGAAAGCAGGATCAGGCCAGCTGTGCAAGGCCTCAATGCCAGGCTGAAGGTCCAGGCTTCTACGAGTATAGGAGCCATCATAGGTTCTTCATCAGGAGAGGGCGATGTCCAGGGTGGTGATGTGGCAAGAGATTGAGGGCAGGAGAGTGCTGAAACGCCCAGGGCGGGTGTCCAGGATGTGCTCCGCACAGGGTCCCACTCTATGTGATATAGTTGGGAAGATGCACCCTGAGGCCAGGCTGCCTGGGCTCAAATGCTAGTTCTGCCACTTCCTGGCTGTGTGAGCTTGGGCAAGTCACTTACCTTCTCTGTGCCTGTTTCTTCACATGTAAAATAGGCTATTGCACGGAAGAAACAAGTTGGTATATTTAAAGCAATTAGAATAGTCCCTGGCATGGAGGCAGGGTGGCCGTGCTGGGGAACATCTGGCATTGTATTAGGGCGGCCCTCAGCTGTGGTGTGGCAGCCTCTGGGCAGCACAGAATCCAATCCTAAAGGGCCACCCTGGAGTGATTGAGGAATCCAGGCTGGAAAGTAGCAGCAGGAATGGGGGTGGGGGTAGACAGGGTCAGGCTCCTAGTTAGTCTCTGTCCTTCCTACTCTTAGGCCTTGGTAGAATCTAGATGCATTAATTCAAGGAATATTTATTGATTAGGTGCCATGTGCCAGGATGCTCTAGGGGCTGGGGAAACCAAATGGGAAAAAAAACAAAGTTGCTGCTGTCGTGGGTTTCAGTCTTTGTGAGTGAACAAGAAAACATGTTAATACAGAATGAACCAAGGTGGTCAGGAAAGGGCTCTCTGAGGAGGTGGCCTTGCAGCAAAGATCTGAACTAGGAGGTGGAGGCTTCCCAGGTGCCCAGGAATGAGGAGGACCTGGGAAGAGAGGCTTCTAGGCAGAGGGAATAGCATTTGCAAAGACCCTGAGGTGGGAATGTGATTGGGGCATGTAGGAGCCCGGAGGAGGTGACGTGGCTGGAGCAGAGTGAGCGAAGGGCAGGGGCTGGAGTTCCACCCACATCCAGTGATCACAGAGGGCCTGAAAGGAGGTCGGGTTTTCTCTCAGAGCAATAGGGAGCCATGGAGGGTCTTGAGCAGGGGAGAGATGTAATTGGACTCCATTTTTAGCAGATGACTCTGAGTGCTGTGAGGAGAAAGAACTGTTGGGGGAGAGCGTGGTGGCAGGGAGGCCCGTGGGGAGTCAGGAGGGAGATGATGGCCTCTGGGACTGTACGGGTAGGGGCTGATGAGGGGACACAGAGAAATGGTTGGGCCCAGGCATGGAGGTGTGCGGGGGGACCACCAGCAGTACCAGCTCTCAGGGCTGCTGTGGGCACAGAGCCCGGAATGGAGGAGGCGCTTACCATGCCAGCTCTTACTGCCACCAGCGGAGCTAGCACTGGGGTGGTAAAGAGTCCAGCCGGGAGGAAGGGATGAAGGAAGGGGTGGCCCCAGAGGAGGGCAGAGTGGCCTCTCATGATCTCCTAAAGGATGAAGGCCAGGTGTGGTGGCTCACGCCTGTAATCCCAGCAGTTCGGGAGGCCAAGGCGGGTGGATCACTTGAGGTCAGGAGTTTGAGACCAGCCTGGCCAACATGCTGAAACCCCGTCTCTACTAAAAATACAAAAATCAGCCAGGCATGGTGGCGCACGCCTGTAATCTCAGCTACTCGGGAGGTTGAGACATGAGAATCATTTGAACCCGGGAGGCAGAGGCTGCAGTGAGCCGAGATTGTGCCACTGCACTCCAGCCTGGGTGATGGAGTAAGACTCTGTCTCAAAAAATAAAAATAAAAATAAAAATAAAGGACAAAGAAATACAGGCCTGGGTCGATAGCTAACACTGGGGCTGGGTGTGGAGATGCAAGCTTGATGGGGCTTGGAGTCAGGGGGTCCCAAAGAAGCAGACAAAGGCAGACTCAGA
This sequence comes from Homo sapiens, assembly GCF_000001405.40. Classification (NCBI taxonomy): domain Eukaryota; kingdom Metazoa; phylum Chordata; class Mammalia; order Primates; family Hominidae; genus Homo; species Homo sapiens. Next base: position 19,033,827 of record NC_000017.11, on the reverse strand, counting down.
CAGGCTGGGCCAGGAGCCCATGAGGGCTCCTGCTGGGGGAAAAGCATTCCCACCCACCTGATGCCTTCCAGGCTCTGCCGGGTCCCTGTGACTCCCATGTGTTCAGCCGGCCTGTTTTGAAACAAGCTCAAGCTGTTCACTGTGTGGGATCAGCACGTCTGCTGCTAGCCCTGCAGGGTGGCGAGCTCCCCTGAGCCTGGAGGCACCCGCAAGGAATAGGAGCCTATGGTCAGGAAGGCGGCTCTAGGGGTGTGTTCGTCCATTTAGTGTTGTGATAAAGGAACACGTGAGGCTGGGTAATTTATAAAGAAAAGGCGTTTATTTGACTTGGTGTTCTACAGGCTGTGTAGGAAGCATGGCACCGGCATGTGCCTCTGGTGAGGCCTCAGGAAGCTTTTACGCATGGTAAACGGGGAAGGGGATCCGGCGCATCACATGGCGAGACGGGGGCAAGTCGGGGAGGGAGGTGCCAGGCTCTTTTCAACAACCAGACCTCAGTCATTACTGCAAAGAGCCACTGATGAGGGTCTGTCCCATGACCCAAACACCCCCCACCAGGCCCCACTTCTAACACTGGGAGTCACGTTTCAGTGAGAGATTCGGAGAGGACAAACATCCAAACCATACCAGGGAGGCAGATCCAACGTCTCAGGGGTCACAGCCCCCCACATTCACCCTGAGCCCGGGCGCCCAGTTGGTGGAACCAGCCATCAGCCTTGTTCCCTTCCCTTTTCTCCTGGGGGCAGGCTGGTGATCCTGAGGGGCAGGAACGCGCATGCCCCCTCTGAGCCTCTATTTCCCCATCTTAAAAATGCGAGTGCTGTCAGCATGTGCGTGTGTGCGCTTGTGTGTACTGGGGGTTTACTGTGCGTTCTTGGCCCTGACTGCCCACCCCCGGGATGGTGTGGGCACCTGGAGCCTGGAGTCCCCGCGGGCTCACCCCCCACCCCCCCAGCCCAGCCACCACTTCCCTGCAGCCCCGGGGAGCTGCGGCTCCTGCGGAGGCAGGACGTGGCAGTCTTCCAAGTGTCGGCTGTCCAGGGCCTGGTCATCTCCTGGGAATGGCGTCCGCCAGGCGGGCTGGCCTGGCTGAGTGGCTCCTGGAACCAACCCCAAAGCCCAAGGTCACCCAGCAAAGTGGGGGCACAGGGGACTCAAACTACGTCTGGAGCCCGAGTTGAGGGGGAGGGGCTGGCCCTCCCTCCGCCCTCCGGCTTCCTCCTCTAACAAATCACGCGGCCTCACTCTCCAAGTTAGCGCCCCAGTGTGCTGCCCTCTTCAGGCGTCTCTCTGTAAGTGCAGCCACCTGCGCACACGCACATGATCAGACCTGAACACCCCAGCCTTGTGAGTTTGCTCAGCACGCATTTATTGAGCATCAGCTGTGTGAAAACCACAAGGCAGGACTGAAACAGGAGACAAACCAGAGGCATGTGAAGGGGAAATGGTCACAGCCTGGCCCAGGGGTCTCTATGATGAGCAAATGAATAAATGAAATTCAATGACAGTGGATACATTCCACATAGTGAAGGCACCAGGGAGGAAGTGACATCTGAGTTGGGCTCTAAAGCATGAGTAGGATTTTGGCGCACAAGGAGAGTAGATGATATGCCAGGCACAGGAAACAGCATGAGTAGAGATCTAGAGGTGGGGAAGCGAGGGGTGTGTTTGGATAACAACGTGTTTTCTGACCAGGAGGGAAGATGGACAGTCTTAGGGAGCAGTTCTTGAGCAGGCGAGCCAGCACCGGTGTTTCCTGGGAAGGGATCTGGAAGCGACCCTCAGAGAAATCCTGGCCTGTGCCCCCGAACCTTTTGTCCAAGGCATACTGGCCAAGTGTGCCCAGGTCAAAACTGTCAGGAGCTTCCTGGGCTTGGCTGGCTGTGGGTTGTACACAGCACCAGCAGGTGGAGCCCTTGACCCTTGGCTTCTTCCTGCCTGGGCCCAGGCTCCTGGGTCCTGCTCCCATTCTGTCCATCATCTGTCATGGGGCCTCTCAGTGGTCCTTGGACAACCACCAAGCAGGGGTCAGAGTTGGAAGCTGAGACTCAAATGGGGCATGTGGCTAAGAGCATGGTATTTTGAGCAACAGTCAGCTCTGACACCTGCTAGCTGCTCGCTGTATAATCCTGGGCAAGTTACCCCTCTGAGCCTCAGTTTCCTCATTTATAAAATGGACAGCTATGTAACGTGTTTTTTATGATGACTGGCACATGATAAGTGCCAGTTATCATAATTATATTAAGGCTCCAAGGACTGCACACCAAGCTGGGGAGGAATTAGGGAGCCCCTCCTGGCCTGGAAGGCTGCCCCCCACCCCCGGCCCATGAATCCAACACTCTTAGAGAAGAGGCAGCAGCACAGGGAGTCAGGGAACCCAGATGCTGGGAAGCCGGGTGACCTGATGGCCACCTCGGAAAATGACAGCCTGGCAGATTTGTGTGTAAGAGCTCTTCCACCCTTGCTGGTTGGTACTTGGGAACTCTGATGGCACTATGCATGGCATCTCTGGCATACTCACACCAAGCCCTGTAAAGCTGTCAGAGGTGGGGTTTATGGGCCTCATGCTGCCTCCTAGAGCAACTGTGGCCATAGCTAGCTGCCCTTTATGAGTTTACAAAGGGCTGTCCCCCTCCTCCTCCAGGGAGCATGTCTGAGCTGGCGGGCAGCGGGCCAGGGGCCAAGGCTGGCGTGCAATGTCTGGGCTGCCTAACTTTTGCCCCACACTCCTATCCAAGCTACTGTGGACTCTTCTGCCATAAATGACAGTTTGTCTCCAAGTGACATATTTGCCTCCTTTCTAGCCAGAGGTACCCTGGAGTCAATGCACATGTGTTTGCCCTGCCCATCTGGTCACTGAACCCCTGCTGTGTGCCAGCCCTGTCCCAGGGCCTGGGGATTCAGCCAGCAACAAAATAGGGCAAAGCTCTCTGTCCCTCAAGTGCCCATGTGCTACTGGGTGACAGACAATAAGTGATTAGGAAATTGTATAAAATCTTACACAATGACCAAGGCTTTGGAGAAAATGAAGCAGGGAAGTGGTGGAGGGGGGGTGCAATTTTAGGAGGAAGGGACTGGCTGCAGGCAAGGACAGGGAGGAAGTGAGGAGACCTGCCTGATCCCCAGAAGCCCAGCTTGCAGGTAAGGAAACTGAAGCCTGGAGAGGTGCAGCAACTTCCCCAAGGTCACACAGCGAGGAACTTAGAGCTGGTGCCCACCGACCTCTGTGCCCTGACAGACCTGGTCTGTCCTCCACCCACCCTCCCTGAGCTCCAAAGACCCAGCAGGAGTCTGTCTGCACCAGTGTCCTGCCCCTCCCAAGCTCAGCTTGACTCTGGTTCCTGTCTGCTGCCGAACAGGTTGTTCCACCCCTCCTTTTCACAGATGGGCAAACTGAGGCCAGAGAGGGGCCATGCCTGATGGAGATCGCCCAGCGGGCAGTTAGCACCCAGGTGGGTCCACACGTCCACAAGCCCTGGTTGGGGTGGTGGAGGGGGTGTCCTAGGGCTCCTGCCCCCACCCCAGCCTTGTTTTTCCTCTCTGGGCTGACACTGTTACCTTTGCTGCTGCTGCTGCTGCTGCTGCTGCTGCTGCTGCCGCCACCAGGCCAGAAAAACTCGCTGGGCAGGACTGGCTGCTGCCAGCATTAGGCCTGACTTGGTCCTTGGGGCTTTTCTGACAGCCCAGGGGTCAGCCTAGCCCCTTGTTCCCCTGGGTAGGTGGATGTAGGGGTCACACAGAGAGACAAAGATACTCATGATTGCTCAGTGAGAGACTCACACATAACAGTCACTCCACACAGTGGGAGACACACACAGACACACACACACAAGCATCCCAGGAATGCACACTCAGACACAATGGAGACGCTCTCACACCCCCGGCACTGCCCACTGAAGTGAATGGCTCCAGCAGCCTCTCCTCTCACCAACTCAGGCCCACAATCCCAGTGCCCCCTCCCTCCTCTGGCTCTGGGAGGCTCATGCAGCAGAGCCGGCTGCACTGGATCCAGCCCTCCCGGTTCCGGGGCCATCTGGACTCAGATTCAGTTCCTCCTGCAAGCCCTGAAGTTCCCACAGGCCTTGGGAAGGGGAGTGGAGATGAGGTCTGGAGAGGCCCCAGAGGGTAGCCCCAGTCTGGGGGATTCTCAAATGCTTTGAGGCTCCACCTGGGCCTTGAAGGATGGCTAAGGTCAAGACTAGACAGAGAAAAGGGAAAAGGCATTATTTCTGGTGAGGGCCATGAGCAAGAGCCCAGCCAGGCTAGGGAAAAGGGCCAGGCTGGGAGAGGGAGTGACAGCTGGGATGCTGGGCTGTGAGATGACAGAGACAGCACCGCTTGGCCTCAGGCAGGGGCTGGCTCAGCAGGAGGGGCTGCACCCAAGCCTCACTGTCCTCTGCTGTAAAGCAGGACATTTGGACCAGGTGGGAGAAGGGGCAAGATTTGCCATTTACTGAGCACCTAGTATGTGCCACACACAGACTAGGTAGGGGCTGGCACATGCACGTTTCCCAGATTTGAGAATTCTCCAGTTCCCAGGTTGGAAAGCCCTAGAATCCCTGGGTCCCTGGCTCCCTTTCCCTTATCTCCTGTTCTCCACTCCCTGACTCTACTATATGATCAAAGAACTGCTCCAGATAACGTTCTATCTGCTCTAGATAACTTTCCAAGTATCTAAAGATGAACTTCAAATACCATAAAATTCAAAGTTGTGGTCGTTTGGGTTTGAAATCATTTTCAAACCCACCACACCCTTTCTGTCCCCTCACCCAGAGGAGTGGGGCCACCTGTATGCAGGCCCCTCCTCGGGGCCAACAGGGAGTCAGGGCCTTCTGCCTGGGTACCCGGTGCCCCAGAGGTGGAGCCACTGGGATCCCTGTCTCCAGGCTTCTCGCCTGCCCAGCTGTGGGTCACCGTCACTCCACTGCTTGAAGCAGTGCTCCTCCCCAGGCACCACGGCCAAAGTTCAGTAAACCCTGGGCTGGTTAGCACGTGGCACTAGGGAGTCATGGGGCTCAGAGGCTGCCTCTCGGAAGCCTCTGGGAGGCTTCGGAAGGCCAGACAGGGCAGGAGACACACATCTGCCTGCACACCCACCTCCGCGTCACGAGCACATGAACTAGCTCTCTTTCTGGCTGTGTGACCCTGAGGGCTGGATGCATCTTAGAGCAATGGGTTGGCCACCGGAGCCTGGGTTCAGGGTCAGAACACCTGGTGGGCTGCAATCCCAGTTCAGAACCAACAGAAGTGGGTTTCAAGAACAAAGCATCGCAATGAGGACCTAAGACCTGGAAAGTGATGCTCTGTTTGCTGAGTCCCAGCTAGACTGGACCTTCAGGGCCCACTCCTGCCTCCCTGCCTTTTTAGTGTCTCATATGCAAGTCATTTTGAGTAGCAAGTTACAAGAAGGCTATGAGAGGGGCTGAGGGATCCAAGAAGGCCCTGACTGCGTGATGGGGTCTGATGCAGCTCTCACAGGATGCGCCATTTTACCTGGGCCTTGAGGCATGAGTAGGAGTTCAAGAAAAATTCCTTCCAGTTGGAGGAAATACTGTGTGCAAATGCCTGGAGGTGTATTTAGAAGTGGTTTGGGGCTGGGCGCCGTTGCTCACACCTGTAATCCCAGCACTTTGGGAGGCCGAGGTGGGCAGATCACCCAAGGTCAGGAGTTTGAGACCAGCCAGGCCAACATGGTGAAACCCTGTCTCTACTAAAAATACAAAAATTAGCTAGGCGTTGTGGCAGGTGCCTGTAATCCCAGCTACTAAAAATACAAAAATTAGCTAGGCGTTGTGGCAGGTGCCTGTAATCCCAGCTACTCGGAAGGCTTAGATGAGATAATCGCTTGAACCCAGGAGGCGGAGGCTGCAGTGAACCGAGATCGCACCATTGCACTCCAGCCTGGGTGACAGGGCGAGACTCCGTCTCAAAAAAAAAAAAAAGGGAGAAGTGGTTTGGACCCCTTGACTGTAATGGAGTAGGGGGAATCCCATTTTGCCCTACGCCTCATACAGACCAGAGGGTGGGAAACTTGAACACATCTTTATCTTAAATCTTTCATCTTAAAACATCAATAAGGAAGGAAGCCACCCCAGGGATGACTGGTGGAGAAACTCAACCACAGGCAGGGATAGGACAGATGGAGCAGCAGATCTGGGCAGCTGGGGTGACAGACACCACCCTCTTGTTCAGGAGAACCATAGACCTGAAGGAACTCAGGCTGTGGGTGAACCCAAGCTTGCAAATGTATTGCGACCAAATTGTTTAACCAGATTTCAATTTACAACCCAGGAGAGGTAGGGGTGTGTGTGTGTGTGTGTGTGTGTGTGTGTGTGTGTGTGTGCGCGCGCGCGCGCGCATGTGTCCCATCAAGGCATCAAGTGCTTTGGACTGGTGGTTGGATCTCATTTAGCCCAAATGTGAACAAAAAGATCCCTAGCCTGTGGCTCAGGAGGCTGAGGGGCTATCTACCTCCCAGTGGCCATCCTGTGCCCCTACCCTGCCTCACCCGGCTCACAGGGCCCCAGGCTTTCCCAGCTATTAGCTCCGCCAGCCACCTGAACAGGTGCCCTCCCTCGGGGTCCTAAACTGTCTTCTTTCTGGTTGGGAGCTGGGACTGTTCTGTGTTCTCCCCACAGCCCCTAGCCCAGCCAGGTGGGCCTAGGGTGGCTCTGTTGGCAGCACCCACACAGCCCCCAGGGTCCCAGGCCTCTCAGCTCCCTTGCAAGGAGTGCACTATCGCCCACATTTGGCAGGCCAGGACGCAGAGGCCCAGAGAGGTGGGCTGGGGTCTAAGTCCAGGCAGGCTGGCTATAGAGCTGGGAAGGGTAGCTAAGGTTTGGCCAGGCAGAGAGGATGAGGCAGGGAGGGAGGGCCTCCTGGGGGGCACAGCCCAGGTAGCAACATGGCAAAGTAGAAATGGACTTGGAATGATGAGCTCTGGAACAATAGTAATAGCATAATTGGAATAATTATTATTGCTATTGTTATGTGATAATAACCAATCAGGAGGGCATTAGGCAACGTTTTACATGTATGAGCTCAAATGTGGCCCCAGCTCTGACCTTTCTTGCTGTTGTGGCTCTGGGCAGGTCGCGGCTGCACTCGGGGCCTCAGTTTCCCCACTGGGGCATGAGGATTTCAAGAAAAATTCCCTCTAGCTGGAGGACACTCTGTGTGCAAATGCCTGGAGGTGTGTTTAGAAGTGGTTTGGACCCCTTGACTGGAATGGAGTAGGGGGAATCCTGTTTTGCCCTATGCCTCATACAGATCAGAGGGTGGGAACCTTGAACACATCTTTTTTTTTTTTTTAGAGACAGAGTCTTGCTCTGTCGCCCAGGCTGGAGTGCAGTGGCGCGATTTTGGCTCACTGCAACCTCCACCTCCTGGGTTCATGCCATTCTCCCGCCTCAGCCTCTGGAGTAGCTGGGACTACAGGCACCCGCCACCACGTCTGGCTAATTTTTTTTTGTTTTTTAGTAGAGATGGGGTTTAGCCAGGATGGTCTCGATCTCCTGACCTCTTGATCCGCCCGCCTCGGCCTCCCAAAGTGCTGGAATTACAGGCATGAGCCACCGCGCCCGGCCTTGAACACATCTTTATCTGAAATCTTTCATCTTAAAACATCAATAAAGCAGCAAGCTGCCCCAGGGATGACTGGTGGAGAAACTGAAACATAGGGCCCAATTTGCTCCTCCTGGGCCGTGAGGCAGGCCAGCCACCCCCGAAGCACAGCGGGGCAGCGCTGCAGTCATGTCTGCCATGATCTTGACCCACAGCTGCACCGCCTCCAGTCCCAGCCCCACAAGGCCTGTCCTGGGTGGACACGCCGAGTGTGAGAGGTTCCAGTTAGTTCCTCTGCCCAGTCCCAGCCAGGACAGGCTCTGCCTCTGGCCAGTTTGAAAGAGCAGGCTCGGCTGGGTGCGGTGGCTCACGCCTGTAATCCCAGCACTTTGGGAGGCTGAGGCGGGTGGATCACGAGGTCAGGAGTTCGAGACCATCCTGGCTAACACGGTGAAACCCCGTCTCTACTAAAAATACAAAAAAAATTAGCCGGGCGCGGTGGTGGGCGCCTGTAGTCCCAGCTACTCGGGAGGCTGAGGCAGGAGAATGGCGTGAACCTGGGAGGCGGAGCTTGCAGTGAGCCGAGATAGCGCCATTGCACTCTAGCCTGGGTGACAGAGCGAGACTACGCCTCAAAAAAAAAAAAAAAAGAAAAGAAAAAAGAAAGAGCAGGCTCTCTCCTCCGCTGGGCTAGAAGGTACTTGGGGCGATTTGGCGATAGTGGGCTGGCTGGAAGGCTGGGCACAGACGGGAAATGAGAGAGAAAAATCCGTGGCTGGGCGCAGTGGCTCACGCCTATAATCCCAGCACTTTGGGAGGCCGAGGAGGGTGGATCACAAGGTCAGGAGTTTGAGACCATCCTGGCCAAGATGGTGAAACCCCGTCTCTACTAAAAATACCAAAAAATTAGCCGGGCGTGGTGGCGGGCACCTGTAATCCCAGCTACTCAGGAGGCTGAGGCAGGAGAATGGCATGAACCTGGGAGGCGGAGCTTGCAGTGAGCCGAGATAGCGCCATTGCACTCTAGCCTGGGTGACAGAGCGAGACTCCGCCTCAAAAAAAAAAAAAAAGAAAAGAAAAGAAAAAAGAAAGAGCAGGCTCTCTCCTCCGCTGGGCTAGAAGGTACTCGGGGCGATTTGGCGGTAGTGGGCTGGCTGGAAGGCAGGGCACAGACGGGAAATGAGAGAAAGGGGCCTGCTTGCTTCATCGGAGAGGATATAAAGTAAATGAAGCTGGACATGTAAGTGGAGCCAGATCTTGAGTCTGAAGTGTTAAGAGTTTACCCTGAGGCCAAGGGAGAAGCCACGGAAGGTTCATGGGAGGGGGAGGACGTGAGACATTCAACAGGTCTGAGCTCCTCTCATAGCAGTAGGCTTTGGTCTGAGTCAGGATGAGTCTAGGACTTGCTCCCCAAGGGACTCTGGGGCATGGGAGGAGCAGGGGAGCAGGGAGTAGGTCCAAGCTGAGGGGAACAACAAAGAGATGTGAAGGAGATGCTCTCTGATCACGACACACTCAGAGGTACCCATTTCACGTTGCCAATATGCCAGTCACTGTGCACTTATCCATAACGGAGATGTTATCATTATGAGAAAACTGAGGTTCAGAGAAGTTGAGAGACTTGCATGAGGTCACACAGTGAGAAAGTGGCCTGGTTCAGAGCCCACACCCTTAAATTAACCCCATATTCCACTGCCAGATGGGACTCCCCAGACCCCATGTGGAGCTGGGTCAGTGGGGCCTCTCCCACTTGCACCTTATCTGACTCCAGGTCCCACCGTGAGACAGGCTGGTTCCAGGTGGTAGTGAGACGGGAGCCCCTGGGACCATGCCAGGCTGGGACGGCCACCACCTGAGGTGGCCCCGGGTCCTTTCCCCTAGCTATGGAGACCAGGTGCAGCACTTCAAGGTGCTGCGTGAGGCCTCGGGGAAGTACTTCCTGTGGGAGGAGAAGTTCAACTCCCTCAACGAGCTGGTCGACTTCTACCGCACCACCACCATCGCCAAGAAGCGGCAGATCTTCCTGCGCGACGAGGAGCCCTTGCTCAAGGTAGGGGCGGGTGGGGGCTGGCCTGTGGGAGCCTCTCTGCACCTCCTGCCATCTGCAGCAGGGGAGATGCTGACACTGAGGCCAAGCACGGGCCTGGTCTCACTTCCCCAGCAGCCTGGTATTGCAAGAGGCGTCCAGCCCAGGCTTCGAAGTTATATCCTGGTGGCGGCTATGGTGAGACTTGCAAGGGTGGGAAAGGAGAAGAGGGAAAGAAAAGCAAAGGACAGAAGGAAAATCCCATGGGGACAAACTGTCTAGCTTGTTCTCAGCTCCTAGAATAGCATGTGGCACACAGTAGGTGCTCAATAAATGTTCATTGAGTGAAGGAAGGTACAGACCCCCACTGAGCATACTGGGTACCATGCACTGAACTGGTCTCTGTACTCTGGGAGCCTCATCATGCCCATTATACAGATGAGGAAACCGAGGCTCAGAGAGTGCAGTGACTCATCCAAGGACACTTACCTGGTAGGCTCAGTCCTGGTTTCTGCTCGCGGAAGAGTTGACCTTGGGTGTGGGGCAGCATGAGTGCTGGTGGGCGAGATCCTGGCAAGCCGCGGGGTGGGGGGTGGGGGGTGGGGGGTCGGGGTCATCCACCCCTTGACCTTGCAATAACAGCAATTTGCCAGCCAGCCCTTTCATCAAGGAGCCCCAAGGGCCAGCTCTGAAGCTGATTGGGATGCCAACAATAGCCACTGGGGTTATTAGCCCCAACAGGCTGTTTTCTTCAGGAGCGGGGATGCTGGCAAGGCCTGGGGCTGGAGGTCAAGACCCTGGGACACTTGAGCTTGGGCTCTGCAGAGGAGATGGGGAGTGTGGCCAAGGCCTGGGGAGAGGCTGATAACCGCTGAAGAGAAGCTCCAGCCAAATCTTGTTCCTAGCACCTCCCCACCACCTTTCCATGTGATCAGAGGCCAGTTCATCCCCTCAGTGTTCCCTCTGTTCAGTAGGATGAGCCCTGGGGTCTGATATGCCAGGGGAGTCAAACAGTGCCTTGAGAGACCCCCACTAGTTTCTCCTCTGTTGGCCTTCCCTGCCTGACCCTGAGTGCCCAGGTCACTGTGAGCTCCCAGCCTCAGGGCACTTTTCTCTCCAGCTGGGCTCCTGTCTGCCAGATCTCCATCCTCCTCCCTGTTCACCACCTGGGCCAGCTCTGCCTTGGAAGAGTGTGAGGAAGCCAGGATGGAGCTAGGGCAGGGGCAACTGAGAGCTCCCCTACACCCAACACCTCGCTCTGGCCCGGGCCGTGGGGTCACCCACCCTGTGGCTCGACTCCAGAGCTGCCTCAGTCCCCTGGGACCTATGACGCCTCCTCCTTCCTGGGCAGAGAGCTGCTAATTACAGCTTCTCTGCTGATCCTATCACCCATCCTGGATGAGATTCTGCAGATTCAGAGCTGAGATCTTGGTGGGCAGGCAGGGCCAGGGTGCTGGGTGCAATAGTCACGGTGCCAGGCAGATGTGCTGCAGAGAGCTCCTGTCCTGCTGCCATTCACAGGTGGGGAAACTGAGTTCCACAAAGGGCAGGGACCTACCCAACATCACACATGGGGCATAGATAGGAGTGGAGCCCAGGCCTGAGAGCTCAAAGTGACAATTCTCTCCCTCAACGGCTGACCAAGGGCAAGAGCAATAAACACGACTCTTAGCTGCACGTCACTTTACAGTTTATAAGGCCCATTCTCATGGCTTTGTGGCCTGGAGTCAAAAGCTACCATGGCTGCTGCAGAGTCGGGTAAATAAGATCCCAAGAGAAGCAGGGACCTAACCAAAATCCCACCCTAAGGACCAGGACTCAGGTCCCCTGACCCACCAGCCCTATTGTCCCAGCTGGGCGGCTGGGAAAGCCGTGTTCTATGTAGATGCAGCATCTGCACAGCAGACAGGCAGGGGTGTGGGCAGCAGGAGGCCCAGTGGTGGCACTACCATTGATCTGGACTTAAAGTTCAACTCCGGTGCTGCCCGAGACCCCTCCTCACCTGTGGCAAATCACTTCTCTTGGGTGCCTCTGAGGGAGGGTGGGTTGCAGGGCTTCTGAAGGCACCCTACTAACCACCTCCTCTTCTTGCAGTCACCTGGGGCCTGCTTTGCCCAGGCCCAGTTTGACTTCTCAGCCCAGGACCCCTCGCAGCTCAGCTTCCGCCGTGGCGACATCATTGAGGTCCTGGAGCGCCCAGACCCCCACTGGTGGCGGGGCCGGTCCTGCGGGCGCGTTGGCTTCTTCCCACGGAGTTACGTGCAGCCCGTGCACCTGTGAGCAGCCCGGCGGCCGATCTGGCCAACGGGCCTTTTTACAGGAACTGAGGTCCAGAGAGGACATGGACACCCCCAGCTCTGTCAGAGTCACACGGGGCTCAGTGGACGGCCTTGGACTGAACGTGGGCTCCTAACTGCCTCCGGCCGCTCTGCACAAACTGGGATGGCCCAGGTCCCCCAGCAAGGGTACCCAGCAAGGGTAGCTCCGGGGCTTCCTGGCTGGTTGCTTTCCATTGGCTGCCAGCTGTGTGACACCACAGGGCGGAGTCTGTGGAGGCCCCGCCCACCTCCTCTTGTCAATGGCCCCATCTGCCAGGAAGGTTGAGGACTCCCAGGTTTCACCCACTGGAGGCTCAACCTAAGGAACCCTGGCCATGGTGGGTGGGTTCACCTTGGGCTGACCACCCACTGGGCCTGCCTGCCCCTCCCTCAAAAGGCCCCTGGAGTTGTTCAGGCTGTTGGGAGGTGGCTCAGCCTCGAAGGACAGACTGCACACCTGTTGACCTAAACTCACTGGACAGACTCCAGGTGGACACCAACTCCTCAACAGCCCCATGACTTCAGCTCCACCTGGGGCACCCAGCACCCCACCACAGGGCTAGAGGCCCTAAGACCCTGAAAAAGGGGCGGGCAGTAGGGAAGGTGGAGGCACACTCCTCTTCTGTTGGACAGGTGAGCTCTGAGGGCAAGCCCTGGGCCCAGCCACGCAGAGACCCTGGCTGCCCTGGCTCTTGTTTGTTTAGGCCCAGGTTCTGCCCAGACCGGGGCCCAGCAGAGCTCTCAGGAGGCTGAGAAACCTCCAGGGCAGACAGAAAGTTGGGGCCAGAGCTAGGTTTTAGAGATCCTACAGGATCCCACATGGGACGGCTACCTAGGTGGGGCACGGCCCCTACCCGAGAACAGGAGGGTCCTCCAGAGAATGTGCCATGATCAGGGATATGAGCAGGGCCTGCCCAGAGCCTGGGCACCTTTGGGAGAGGGAAAAGTGAGGTGGGACTTGGAAAGGCTTTGAACGCCAGGCTGATGGTTGAGGGATGGTGGGCAGGGAGGGAGGGCGAAGAGGCTCCCTCTGGCATTTGGGAGCCGGTGGGTGGAGGGAGGAGCCCTTGGAGGTGGCTGCAGTCCCTTAATGGGGGGCCTTGCTCTGGGCATGTGGGGCTCTTCCTCCATCCAGAGCTGGCCCAAGACCCTTAGAACCCTGAGTGCTGGCAAATCTCACTGCTCCTGACCCAGCCTGTGTATTCAAAACGAAAACAGTAAAACCAACATCAGGATGTCCGTCAGAAATCTAATTTTCCTTCCAATGCTGACTGCTTTGGTGCTGTTTTTGAAATGTCACATTATTTTCTCCCATTTCCCCCCTAATTTTTCAGGGCTCCCGCTTTGCTGGCTTGGCCAGTTCTTGGGCACCGAGCTGCTGTGCAGCTGTGAGGGGAATCTGCCCCTCTTGGGGCCTCGGGATCCCCATGAGGGAAATGGGTGGACCTGAGGACTCAGAGCTCCTGCCTTTCTGTCCAGGATGGCAGTGTCAGGCGAAGTAGGCATAAAAGAATATGTTGACACACATGAGGAGGATGGCATTGAAGCCACAGACACGGGCCCAGAAGGCGTGTTTCTGGGGTGTTTGGCCATCACCTGGAGGGGGTTGCAGAAGGAGAGGGACAGATGAAGGACACAAGGTTACACCTGGTGCCCTTGCCTCCAGGCCAGGGTCAAGGTGGAGGAGTGCCTAGGGTCATCCACTTACCTGCTTTAGTTCCCAAGGGCACATCCTGAGCCAGGGTCCACCAGGTAAGGTTCTCAATCTGTAAGAAATGAGTGAGGATAGGGTTGGGGGTGGGGGATGGCAGGGTGGGGGTGACCCAGACAGGATCAAAGGTTGGGGATGGCAAGATGGCAGCTGAGTTCAAAAAGGGACGGGGCTAGGTAGTCCAGGGCTAGAAAATTCTGAGTCAGAGTGGGTCGGGGATGAGAATGGGACCAGAGTAAGAAATTGTTAGGGGTCAGGGTCAGGGGTCAGGGCTGGCTCACCTGGACACTCTGTGGGGGTGGGGTCAGCAGGCTTCCAGCCACCACAACAGCACCACTGAGTGCAAAGAGGGCGACAGCGAAGTGCAGGTAGTGGATGCTCCCCAGGACGGCTGGCCGCGTGTCTGGCTCTCCGCACGGTGGGGCTGGGTTCAGGAATTCCAGGACCAGCCTCGTGGCCCCCACCACCAGCCCTGCTATCAGGCCCCAGAAGGCCCCCTGGGGAGGAGGGAGGCAGGGCATGTGGGGCTACGGGAGGAGGACCAAGGCTCCCCCCACAGGCAGCAGGGAAGAGCAAATTGTGGCACGTCCCCAGGGAGAGCAGACCGCCGACGCCCACCTGCTCGTTGGCACGTCGCCAGAAGACGCCCAGGACAAAGACTGCAGTCACTGGTGGGGCCAGGGAGCTGGTCACTGACTGCATGTAGATGAAGAGTTGCCCGCTGTTGGAGTCCTGCAGGACGGGGATCCAGGCCACACTCACGCCGATGAGTGCCACTATGACCAGCCTGCAGGCGAGTGGAAGGCAGGCAGCGGTCGTCGTGGGAGGCTCTTCAGCTCTCTCCCACCTCCCCTGGTCACTAAGACTTGCTCTCTAATCTTTCCCCTGCTACCCCAGCTCCAGCCTCCTCCCTGGACTCTGGTCCACACCACCAGTGACCTGGCCAGTCCTGCCCTGCTCCAAACCCTTTGGTGGCTCCCTGGATCCTGCAGGTGCAGCTCCTGACTCTAAGTGCTGTCTGCTCCTTCCCTGCCCTGGGGTCTCTGCGGAGCCAGCCCTTGGAGCTCCGCCATGGAGCTCCCTCTTGTCTCTCCTTCAAAGCACCTGTCCCAGTCACTACATGCACATTTACCTGGGTGTCTACTTGTTTACTGCCTGTCTTCCCCTCCCAATGGAAGCACCAGGAGAGCAGGAGCCTCATCTCTTTAGTTCATTGCTGTGTCTCCCAGCATATAGTAGGTGCTTACTAAGCATTTGGTGAGTGCATGAATGACCACTGCCCCCCGATCTGGGCCAGACTGACTTCCTGGTGGTTATTTGAAGACACTAGGATTTTTCACACTGGCCGGCATTTGTGGGAGCTGGGACCTCTGGCTGGCACATCCCCACCCCGACAGCCCTGTGCTGCACATCCTTCACAGGGCAACCTGCTTACTAAGGATGCAAAGTTTGGAGCCAGAGGTGTGGGTTGGGGTTAGAGCCCATACTCCCCAGCTGTGAAGCCGGAGCCCTGCTGGGCCAGCATGAGCCCGTCCCCTCCTGTCCCCTGCGTGTCAGCTCCTGCCTGCCTCTCCCTTAGGCCAAGAGCCCCTCTACAACAGGCACATGCTACACTTGTTCATCCAACAAACCACTGGTGAGGTGCTCACCTGCGTAGGACACTACCCTAGGATCCCCAACTCGGCGATGAGTGGGACCTGGTGCCTGCCCAGCACTCAGAGTCCAGCAAAGAAAACAGATGAGCCTCTTACCTACACTCGGACTGGGCTGGAGCAGCTCAGAGGAAACATCAATCTAGGAGGGCTTTCAGGAGGAGGCACCCCCTCCCCGAGCCTTGAGGGGCATGGGACCCAGCTAAGGGGATGAAGCTGGGGCATGGCATCCATCCGCTCCTCCCTGGCTGAGCACCTCACCCCTGTGTCCTGGGTCAGTTGGCATTCCTCACCCCCAAGGTGGGTGGTGGGTGACCCGCTGGAACCCTGGCTGTGGTGGCAGGGGTGACAGAGGCTATGTGTTCAGCTAGGGTGGGTCCTCTCAGCGCCTGTCCGCCTTCCTCCCTCCCTTTCTTCCCTTCTAGGCCTGAGGGAGAGGGTGGAGGAAGGAGGTGCCACCTTGATTAAGGCTAATTAACCCCTAGCCAGGCAGGCAGGCGGGCGCTGCCCTCATCAAAGGCCCAGGCGGGCCTCCATTAACGCCTGCCCACCCCGCCCTCTGCACACAGCTCTCCCGCCCAACACCAGACTCTGCATCTCTGTGCCAGGGCTGGGGCCACTCCAGCCAGGCCCTCGCTTTCTTACCCAGCCTTCTTACCTGGCTGCCAGAGGACCCCCAAACCCAGAGGCTGCTCCTTCTGCCTGGAATGCCACTCCCTCCCATGCCACCATCAGGGTGGATAGTGCCCTCCAGCATCTCCCTGGGCTGCAGCCACAGTTACTGTGGAACATCTCAAGGAGGGGTGTCTGAGATCTCTCCGAGTCCTGCACAGGGTTTCCAGGAGGCTGTGGGCCCCATTTACGGACTGAACAGCCGGGAACACAGACAGGGGAGAGTGGGGCAGGGGGGCAGTGGCGGAACAGTGGACTGAGGTGTGGGGGCTTGGGGCAGGCATACGGGAGTGGGGGCGGGTCATCG
The DNA here is from genome assembly GCF_000001405.40 of Homo sapiens. Classification (NCBI taxonomy): domain Eukaryota; kingdom Metazoa; phylum Chordata; class Mammalia; order Primates; family Hominidae; genus Homo; species Homo sapiens. The sequence goes on along the minus strand of NC_000017.11, from coordinate 19,017,578 downwards.
CTCTCCCCCAGCCTGTGACGGCTCCTCCAGCCTCTGCTCAGCTGGACAGAGCCATCAGGGTCACCGGCATGGTACTGCACCCGGCCCTGCGATGGCCTCCTCTCCAGGCCTCTGGGCTGTTGGTCTTCTCTCTGTAAGCCTCGCCTCTCCCTGACAGAGACTGTTGTCAGGCCATTCACCCTACCAGAGATCCATGACCACGAGGCCTAGGAGATACCGCTCCAATGGTGGTGTTTCGGGCAGGAGGAAGCTGAGACGGCTTTGAGGGGCTGGGGGTGTTGAGGGTATCCCAGTGCTGTAAGAGGGACGGGAAGTTGAGCTGGCCAGCCTGACACCTGGCACGGGGCCCTTTCTGCTCTATCCAGCTGGCAGCTGAGAGAACTGGGGCCCAGAGAGGGTGAGCAACCTGCCCTGCACCACGCAGCCTTGTGCCTTGCTCCTCAGGGAGGCCGACTGCCAGGCTTGCAGGGCTAGGGGCGGGGGTTGACTTGGCAGAAGAGGTGGGAAGGAGGGTCAAGGGCACGGGCAGCTGGGTGAGCTGGCGCAGCAGGAGGCCAGGTCAAGACTTTTGGTTGCAGGTGGGAGTCTGGGTGAGGAGGCCAGGAAGTAGTGGGCAGGGGACATGAGGGCCACTGGGCAGGTACAGGGGCTACCAGTGTCACACACTGGGTGGCAGGAGGGCATCCAGTTCCCAGGGCCCAGGATGCTGGAGCATGGAGGGGCTTAGAGCAAGGTCTGGCCTCAGAGGAGACACATGGTCAGAGAGGGGCAGGGTCTTCCCCAGGCCACACAGCTTCTGAGGAGAGGCAGGGGAGCCAGAGGGGGAGAAGTGGTCAAGGGGCCAAGTGCCCAGGACACAGGGACATGGAAGTGTCCTGCCCAGTGAGAGGTGGGAGGCTCCTTGTTTTGGAGAATCCTGTGAGCCCGTGGATGAGCTCACTCGCACCCGCCTCTGGCGTGTCCCAACAGGGCCCTTCCAACAGAAGCCTGACTATTTTGCATCCCTGGGACAGCTGCCTGGAGCTCTGGAGGAGACCCCACCCCCAGGATGGGTGCCCTGGGCTCCTGGCCAGGGGGTGCTCTGTTGTGCCAGAAGGCTGGACCCCCGAGCAGCAGAGTGTGAGCCACACTGCTCAGAGGACAACAAGAGGGTGGGACTGGAGGGCCAGGGAGGGCGCAAATAGACACGTGCACATGGGAGCTAACCTCTGAGGATGTAAAGGCATAAGAGTGATAGGATGGGCTGGGCACACTGGCTCATACCTGTAATCCCAGCCCGCTGAGGTGGATGAATAACCTGAGGTCAGGAGTTCGAGACCAGCCTGGCCAACATGGTGAGACCCTGTCTCTACTAAAAATACAAAAAGTAGCCAGGCGTGGTGGTGCGCTCCTGCAATCCCAGCTACTCAAGAGGCTGAGACACGAGAATCTCTTGAACCCGGGAGGTGGAGGTCGCAGGGAGCCAAGATCATACCACTGCACTCCAGCCTGGGTGACAAAACGAGACTGTCTCAAAAAAAAAAAAAAGAATGATACAATGGACTTTGAGGACTCAGGGGAAACGCTGGGAGGGTGTGAGGGATAAAAGACTACACATTGGGTACAGTGTATACCACTCGGGTGATGGATACACCAAAATCTGAGAAATCGCCACTAAAGAACTTATTCATGTAACCAAACACCACCTGTTCTCCAGACACAGCCCCGGTCCTCATGAAGCGCCCAGATATTTGGAGAAGGGTGTCGGGGAGGTCTCTTGGCCTGTAATGGCCACATGTGCTGTGGGAAGAATCTGGCAAGCGTCCCTGGGGTATGAAGGGGAGAGAGGCTCATTCCTTGGTTGAGGGTCTCAGGGAGGACTGCACGGAGGAGGGGACACAGGCAGAGTCCAGAAAGATCAGCATGAGTCATCGAGGTGAAAAAGGAGGGGACAAGCTGGGCTGGGAGGAAACAAGCTGGAGCTCAGTAGGGCCAGGGCCATGGAGGCTGAGGGACGTGGCAGCCCAAGTGTGGCCAGTCCTGAGTGCTGGCCCGGGGGCCCTCTGTGGCGCAGCTGGGAACCATCAGGAGGAATGGGGGCCCAGGTTTTCGGGGAGATAGAGAGATCTGTGGCATGGTTGGGGAGGGAGGGCTGGCCCCTGCAGAAGGAATCCAGCTCAAGGGTGGAGATGCATCCCAGATGAGGGCTGTGATCACACAGAGGTGGACAGGAGAGCAATGTGAGAGGTGGTATGGATGGGGTACACTGGCCCTTCTCTTCCCTCCTTCCTGGCATCCACCTTTCTCTAAGTGGCAAACTCCGGCTCATCCCTCAAAGTCAGTGCGGGCGCCCACCCTTGTAGTGTTCCCCCACCCCCGTACTGGCCCCCACCCCCGTACCGTCCCACCAGCAGGAGCTCCCGCTCGCCGGAGCGGGGACGCAGCCGCCTCCAGATGTCCATAGTGAAGAGGGTGCTGCTGCTGTTGAAGATGGAGGTCAGCGACGACATGAGCGCCGCCAGCATCACTGCGATCATCAGCCCCCGCAGACCTGGGGTGGGACGGGGGATGTGTGACCCTGTCCGGCCTTGAGACAGCCCCGGGAACCCCTCCCGCCTGGGCTCTAATGCCTGAGGCCCGCCCGCCATTTGCATGCTCCTCCAAGGCAGAGGGCGGGGAGGGAGAGAAGCTGAGGAGGTTTGAGGTGAGCAAGACCCAGAATGAGGAGACTGGGGAGGCCAAGGACAAACCGTGGGGACTTCGGAGCTGGCTGCTTGAGCCCTAGGCTTGCTGGCAACCCTAGGCCCGACCATAATTACTCATAATGCTGAGGCTGCGATCAGGCCTGTCCTTTCTGCAGAGCCTGGCGTTGACAAAGCACTTTCACACCCATGCCTTCGTCCGAGGAAAGCATGATTAACCCGCTTGACAGATGAGGAAATGGAAGCTCAGAGAAGTGAAGAGATTGCCCAGGGATTCACAGCAGGCCAGCGGCAGGACTTTGGGGTGCGGTGGGGTTGGTGAGGAAGGCTTGGGCGGGGCCTCTGCTTGAAGGCCACACCCTGGGCAAGATGCACACCTCACCCCAGCATGCAGTGCCCCAGTCTCTGGAATTTTCCGCCACTTCCTGTGCATGGCAGGACCCAGCAGGCATAGTGGATCCCCTCTCTCCTTGGCTCTGTGGTTTTCCAGAGTGGGAGTGAGGGCTCCCCTAGGAGGTGCGGGTAGCATTGCTGTGAAAGGCCTTCTGGGAGTTGTGGGCTCAAGAGGGCCTGAGGGTGAGGAGCCCTAAGGAAGGTGGAAGGATGCTCAACTGCCCACTCTGTGCTGTGTGGCTTCAGGCTGGTCGCCTCCCCTCTCTGGGGATGAGTTCAAGTCTGTCTACAAGAACTCCTGCAATTTTAAGCACCTCCTTTACCTCTACAAACTCTTGCCCGTCTGTCCTAGGATAAGCCTGACATAGGCCCCCCTGCCCGGAAGGCACAGCCATTTATTGCCTGGCTGGGTTGTCTGGCCTCGGTTCTGTGTCTGATTGGCTGTGTGACTTCCAGGTGTCTCTGGGCTCTCTGTTCACTTGTCAGAAGCTGGTTGGGATGGAGCCCAAAGGAAAGTGAGTCAAATCACAGTTTTCCCCAAAACATTTCTCCACCCACTCCCTTGTCTTGCTCATGGAGATGGATGAACTTGGAGCTTATTCCATCCATTTCTTAGAGAGGGAACTCAAGACCTAGAGAGGGACTGTGGCCCAACAATGGCTCGGTGTCAGCCCTGGAGGGCTTAGCGAGTCCCCTTGCCCAGAACAGAAGAGAAAAGCGAAGGCCCAAGGTGGGAACTACAGCATGGCCAAGCCTGCACCCAGCATTTTCCCTGTGTCATTATGTTTAATCCCAGCAACAACGCTGAGGGGTGGGTAGATGCCATTATCTCCAATTTACAAATGAGGACACCCAGGCTCCAAGCAGGGAAGTGACATGCCCCAAATTTCTTGGCCAGTGAGTGGCAGCCTCCACAGTCCCCATACTCATTGGGCCCCAAGTCCAACCCCACGCCCTCCACCCAGACCCCCACCCACACAGCCTCACCGATGGGCATCAGTTCCATGACCAGCTTGGGGTAGGCGATGTTGGAGCAGCCGACCTCGGCCCCGCAGGCCCGCAGGCACTCGGACGGCACCACGCAGCCCACATCATCTGTTCGAGAGACGGACACTTGGTGTCTCTCCTCATAGACATGAGCACCTGGGGTGGGCAAGATAGGGCTGGGGGCAGGAGCCTGGCCCAGACCTGCTCCATCAATGCCTCTGACCTGTTACCATTTGGCCTTGGGCCTCAGTTTCACAATCTGAGCCACAGGGAGGGCATGGCCTCTGAAAATCCTTTTCCCTGCTGTTCTCCATCATAACTCTTCTTCCTGATCCTACTTCTTGGCCAGGGGGCTCACCTGCCGTTGGCTCTGCTGTGTGAGGTCCGCCATTAGAGTCTACCTGGGGCCTGAGCCTCCCTTGCCCCCCTCGTCCCCAGCCATTCTCCCCAAAGGGGGAAATGGAGGCTAGAGAAGAGAGAGGCCTGCAGGATGGGCCCTGCCCCAGGCCCTCAACCTGTTCCCTGGGCTTTGTGTTCACTCAGCGACAAGTCAACAAGTCGCGTCTGTCCATGGGCAGCCGGCTTGAGTGTGCTGTCACACAGCTGCAGCTCATGCAGCAGGGCTGTGGTGAAAGCTCAGGGGCTGGCGAGGCCTGCCTGCTCCAACTTCCTGGCTTAGGACGTGGGGTCAGAGCCCATCCACACCCCTGTCTCCAACCCTGGGGTCCAAGCTTTACGCCAGGCTATTTCCTGCTGCAGAGAGCTGAGCTGATGCCCAGGACTCTCCAGCCACTCAGCCTCTCAACAGTCTACAAGACCCTGGGTGATCCAGACCCTTGGCCCCTCCCCACAAGTCCCTCCTCGCTCCCACCTGAGGCCTGCCCCAGGCCTCGCCTGAGGACTGCCTCCTTCCCGAATTCCGGTCTGTCCTTCCCACCCCATTCTCCGTCTGTCCCCTTGCCCCACATCGCTTTCCCTCATCCCTTGTCATCCCTGGGAGGACTTGGACATGTTTATTTGGTTCTTGCCACTTCCCTGTGGCAGGTGAGTCCTGAGAGGACGGGGTTTGCCTCGTGCTATCTCCCCCATGGCTGGGGTGGTACACACGGCTCATCTGTTGAATGAAAGGACTCACGAATTTCCCAGGCTCAGGCCAGATCCCGACTGAACCCTAAATCCAGGCATCCCTCGGCCTCCTGCCCTGTGTGGGGGCAGAACCCCGGCCTACCTCCATAGCCCTGAGGTGTGGGGCTCTCCTCACTGCTCTGCTCAGTGAGATTTGCTGGTGTTAGCAGTCGTGGGGCTGACTTTGGCCTAGTGATACGTAGGGATGAAGAGAGTTGACCCACATTCTCTTTTTCCTCCCATAAAAGACTTTCTAGAAAGCTTTGGCCCCTGCTTCTGGGGTTTTCAGGAGGGCCCAGAGTGCAGAGCTAACCAGAAGATGATGATTACGGGGGAGTTCAGAAACAAGCTGACTGACAGCACTGCAGTGGCTGGTTAGGGGCAGGCAGAGTTGCAACACAGCAGCAGCAGGGGCGGCTGGCATTGACACTTCTGTGACTTGGTGCTCCCTCTGTAGACTGCCCCCTCCAAAGCCCCCTTCTGATACGTCCCTTCTTAGATGCCCAGCCCATGGGGAAGGGCGGGTCTCACACCCCTTCCCCCAGGCCAGCTGGCCTGGGGCAGTGTCCCCTACCCTGGCAGTCCCCCCTACCCTGGCAGTGTCCCCTACCCTGGCACCCTTGAACATGTCCCAGTCTCCAGCCCAGCCTGTTTGAGCTCCAGGCTTCCCGGACGCCAGGTTCCTGTCATCCCCCAGGCACCTCCCTGGCTCCTCCCATTAGCCCCCCAGGCTCATAGCTTCTTCCCCCTCCCGTCTGGGGCCCACCCTGCCCAATCCCATGCTCCTCCCCAGCCTCCTGTCCATCCTCTCCACACTTTGGAGTCACAGCTCTCAGCCTATTACTTATTTCTCAGGACCCTCCTCCCTACCCCCACCTCTCAGCCCATGGCATCCTGGGGGAAAAAAGTATCCTTTCTATGGCATTCGAGGCCCTTGACAGTTGGTCCCAGAACCTCCCATCCCAGCACCGTGCACGAGCCACCCTGACCTGCTTGTATTTTCTCACACACACCCAGCACTTGGACGCCTCCATGCCTTTGCAGACGTAGTCCCTCCTCCCAGGGCACCACTGTCCGTCTAACACCCACCCACACCCTTGTTTACCTCCTGCTTCAAGGCCCATTGCAAAGGGCTTGTGCTCTGAGGCCTTCCCTGACTCTCCCAACCCCCAAGGCAGTAGCAGCTTCCTCCCAAGGGCTCCTAAGGCCAAAGATTGAATCACAGTTGTTTGTTTACATAGTCTACCTTCCCCACCAGGACGGAGGCTCCCCAAGGGCAGACACTGGGTTTGAATCATCTCCAAGTCCCAGGTATCGCCTGGTCCAGGGCCGGGCCCAGAAGAGACTTTCTGGGAACACTGATTGAATGAATGAATAAGTGACTGCATGGTGGGGAGGAGGGAGGAAAGGCACAGGAGGAGAGGAGGAGTGGGAGAAGGGATCCCAGAAAGAGCCATGAGGAGTTCAGGCACTGTTTGATCCAGCTGCCCTACCCTACCACCTCTACCCCCATTAGTTTTTCAGGACCAGAAAGGACATAACTTGCCTGGGGGACACAGTCGGATCCAAGACAGAGCCGGGGGCCCCATGGCAGAACTCTGAGGACACTGGGGTCCAGGATTCAGAGGACAGGTGATGAGCCACTGCTGATGGGCTCTGAACCTAGGCAGGCTGACTGGCACTCGGAGGACCCAGCCCTCCTGGGAGGGACAGGTGAGGCGTTGCAGCCATATATGTTTCAGAAAGCCCGAGTCAGGAGATTCTTTGTGAGTTTCTTCAGCCCATTCCAGGCTCTCGGCATGGGAAACCGCCCCGAGTCCCACTGGTTTGACCAAGTGTTTGTGCTGAGCAGCAAGAAAGAACTTCTTTATGAGAACCGTGGCAGTGGTGTCACCATTGAAACACAGTCCCCCAGGACTCCAGAGTAAGCAGCCCCGGGGAGGCAGAGCTGGGGGCAGTGAGAACTGGGGAGCTGGCAGGGGTCTATGGGTTTGCCAGGGTACTGGCTTCTGCAGGCCTAGGAGCTCCCCACTGGGCCCCACTTTTGCATCAGCTCCCCGTCCAGCCAAGGCCCACACCAGAAGCCAGGGGTTGCCCCTCCTCGTCCCCTTGTCTTCCCTCCCCATGGCCAATGCCCAGTCCTGTTTGATTATTAGGCGAACTGCACTACCTCCTTGCTGTGCCTCCTAATCCACTCCCCCTGCAAGCAAGCAAAGGGAACTTCGAAACCCACCAATCCGCCCACGCTCTTCCCTGCTCAAACCCGCTCCGTGCCTCTCCAGCCGCTGCCGGGGTATCACAGGCTCCAATTAAGGCCCTCCCACACCCCTTGCTATGGCCACCTCGCTCGGCCACCCTCTCCTTGACTAATTTCACCCAGACTTCTGGCACCCCAGGCTCTCCTGGACACCTCTAGGTCTCTGTGTTTGCTGTTCCTTCTCCCTGGAACACCCTTCCCACCTTCTGCCCTTCCCTGGATTTATCCCAGGGAACTTATACTCATTCCTCTCAATTCATTATGGACATCTGAGCCCTTCAGGCTTTGGGGCTATATCCTCCACAGCACCAATAACTCTATGACCTCTGACTGTCCTGTCTCCCACCCAGACTATGACTATGGGGCCTCAGGGAAAAGTCTGGGTCTCAACAGTGCTTAGCACAAGCAACCATATGGTAGCTTCTGCCAGTGTCTGTTGACTGAGTGAATGATTCCCTCCCAAGGAGGTCACTGGACACAGTCCCTTGAGGAGTAATCAAGGTGCTCTCTACTCCCTAACCAGGCCCGGCACATTCTCGGGAGCCAGTCCAGACACTGCCATTGCAGGAGGGAGCAGGAGAAAGGCTCCCAGACCTGAGTACAAATCCAGTTCTCAGTCAGGCAGAGTGGCTTACATCTGTAATCCCAACACTTTGGGAGGCCGAGGCAGGAGGATTGTTTGAGGCCAGGAGTTCAAGACCAACCTGACCAATATAGGGAGACCCCATCTCAATTAAACAACAAAGCCTGGCGAAAGCATGTCTCTACCAAAAACATTAAAATTAGCGTGGTGGTTCGTGCCTGTAGTCTCAGCTATTCGGGAGGCTGAGGTGGGAGGATTGTTTGAGTATGGGAGGTGCAGGCTGCAGTGAACCGTGATTGCACCGCTGCACTCCAGCCTTGAGGTGACAGAGCAAGACCCTGTCTCAAACAAACAAACAAACAACAACAACAACAAAACAAACTCAGCTCTCCCAATCCCTTGCTGTAAGATCTTGAGTGATTATTAAGATCTCTGAGACTGGCCAGGAACGGTGGCTCATGCCTGTAATCCTAGCACTTTGGGAGGCTGAGGTGGATGAATCACTTGAGGCCAGGAGTTTGAGACCAGCCTGGGCAAGATGGTGAAGCCCTGTCTCTACCAAAAAATACAAATATTAGCAAGGTGCAGTGGCACGCACCTGTAGTCCCAGCTACTTGGGAGGCTACGGCACGAGAATCGCTGAACCTGGGAGATGGAGGTTGCAGTGAGCCGAGATCAGGCCATTGCACTCCAGCCTGGGAGACACAGCAAGACGCTATCTCAAAAAAAAAAAAAAAAATAATAATAATAATAATGCCAGGCACGGTGGCTCACGCCTGTAATCCCAGCACTTTGGGAGGCTGAGGCGGGCAGATCACGAGGTCAGGAGATCGATACCATCCTGGCTAACACGGTGAAACCCCGTCTCTATTAAAACTACAAAAAATTAGCAGGGCGTGGTGGCAGGCGCCTGTAGTCCCAGCTACTCCGGAGGCTGAGGCAGGAGAATGGTGTGAACCCAGGAGGCGGAGCTTGCAGTGAGCTGAGATCGTGACACTGCACGCCAGCCTGGGCAACAGTGCAAGACCCCGTATCAAAAAAAAAAAAAAAATCTGTGAGGCTGTCTCCTCCTCTGTAAAAACTCAGAATTCTGAGAACATCTATAGGCCAAAAACCTACCCTCAATCTAAACTTCACACCTTATACAAAAATTAACTCAAAATAGATCACAGATTTAAATGTAAAATGTTAAAAAAAACTATCAAACTTTTGGGGAAAATAATAGGAGAAAATCTTTAGGACCTAAGGCTAGGCTGTAAAAGTTGATCATACACATTGGATCATTCTTGTCTACAAAACTAAAATAGAGTTAAGAGGACAGTGGGGGAAAGCACCCAGGGTACATAACATTATTCCAAAAATGCAATTCCCTATGAGCCTGGCTGGTGAAAGAAACTCCCTTTTACAACCTGCAACCAGTTTTATCTATAGCTGCTGAGATAACTTGCTACAGATCTAGGACTAATTTTGCTTACCACCATCACTTACCAGTCAGAACTCTTCAGCTCCCCAAACCCTTACCAGTGCCAAGGAACTTTCTCAAAGAGCACTAAGTAACATTTCTGCTTTCAAGAAAACCTCTAACCTTCTTTGTGTTCTCCAGACACATCAAAGACCACCCAGTCTTTGTGCATGCCCTGAATTGCAATTTTTCTTCCCAAATAAAACGTTAAATATAGAGATTCATCTCTACATTTTCATTTTGACTTCAACAAAGTGAATAGTTCTTAGACTTGATGCCAAAAGCATGATGCATAAAAGGAAAAATTGATAAACTGGACCTCATCAACATTTAAAACTTTAGCTCTGTGTAAGACACCTCGAAGAGGATGAAAAAGCAAGCTACTGACTGGGAGAAAATATTTGCAGAGCACACACCCAACAAAGGTCCTGTAGCTAGAATATATAAAGAACTTTTGAAATTCAACAGTATAAGCCTGGGCAACATAGCAAGACCATGATTCTACTAAAAATAAAAAACAATTAGCCAGGCATGGTGGTGCACATCTGTAGTCCCAGCTACTCAGGAGGCTGAAGTGGGAGGACGGCTTGAGTCCAGGAATTTGAGGTTGCAGTGAGCTATCATTAAGCCACTGCACTTCAGCCTGGATAACAGAGCAAGAGCCTATCTCTAATAAAACAAAAAAGTAAAAAAGTTAAAACTCAAGAGTTAAAAAATAGACAATCCATTTAGAAAATGGGCAAAAGACATGAACAAATGTTTCAAAGGAAAAGACAAACAGATGGCATATAAGCCCATGAAAAGAGATTCAATGACATTAGCCATCAGGAAAGCACAAATTTAAGCCACAATAAGATATGATCTACCTATCAGAATGGCCAAAAAAAAAAAAAAAAATAGCGGTAACACCACATGTTGGCAAGGATGTGGAGAAACTGGATCACTCATACATTGTTGGTGAGAATGTGAAATGGTACAGCCACTCTGGAAAAAGTTTGGCAGTGTTTGAACATGCAACTACCAGGACCCAGGAATAACACTCTTGGGCACTTATGCCAGAGAAATGAAACCTGATGTTTATATACATATGTGTATGAATGCTCATAACAAGGTTATTTGTAATAATCAAAAGCTGGAAACCCCACATATCCTTCAATCACTGAAATGGTTAAGCAAACTGTGGTATATCCATACCATGGAATACTAGTCAGCAATGAAAAGCACAAACCATTGATCCATGAAACAACCTGGATGACTTGCTGGAGAATTATGCTAAGTGGGAAAAAAGGCCAATCCCAAAAGTTTATATACTATATCTTCCATTTATATAGCATTCTTGAAACAGCAAAATTGTTGAATTGTAGAATAGATTAGTGGTTGCCAGAAGTTAGGAATGGTGGTCGGGGGAGGTGTGGGGATGGCTACAGAGAAGGAGATCTTTGTAGTGACAGAACAGTTCTGTATCTTGACTGTAATGGTGGTTACACAAATCTATACACATAATAAGGTTGTATAACACACATAAATGAGTGCATGTAAAACTGGTGAAATCTGGCCAGTGCAGTGGCTCACGCCTATAATCCCAGAACTTCGGGAGGCCAAGGTGGGAGAATCACTTGAGGCCAGGAGTTTGAGACCAGTCTGAGCAACATAGTGAGGCCTTGTCTCTACAAAAAAAAAAAAAAAAGAAAAAAGAAAAAAGAAAAAAAATTAGCTGGGCATGGTGTCTCTGGTCCCAGCTACTCAGGAGGCTGAGGCTTGAGCCCAGGAGTTCAAGGCTGCATTGAGCAATGATTGTACATACCACTGCACTCCAGCCTAGGTGACAGAGCAAGACCCTGTCCCAAAACAAACAAAAAACTGGTGAAATCTAAATAAGCTTTGTGGATTGCACCAGTGTCAATTTTCTGGCTGTGATATTATTGTATTATAGTTATGCAAAACGTCGCTACTGGGGAAAACTGGGTGCATACAACCTTCCTGCTCATCAACTGCAGAAGTGTTGGGGTGGTGGAGGTGGGAGTGAGGCCTTGGACTCCCTTCCTGAACTCTCCAGCCTCTGTGCATTGGTAAGAACACAGGGAGAAGCTGAGGCGGCTCAGAGAAGGTCTTACAGGGGATCCACAGTAGCAGAGGGGCTATAAATGGGTCTTCAGGACCCTCAAGGCAGGGCTCCCCCGCTGGGATCACCTCCCCTCTCTGGCCCTGGGGCAGGAGGAGGATGCAAATATGTGTGCCTGTTCCCCAGGGGCCACTATGTTCAGTAGCATAAAGCCCTTGGGGGGCTATATGGCAGAGTGTAGGACTTCATGCTTGAGGGGTCAGTGATGGGGACCACAAGGATGCTGGGCCTAGGAGGCTAGTCATTGCCCAGGGCAGTGGACTCAGAGGCAAGGAGTCCTGATGGGCCATGAATGGTGGAGAAGGCCTTGGAGGGGGGGGGTTTGAGGGCACAAGGCCTAGAGATGTCACCAGCCTACGGAAGCAGCATCCTTACGGGACCCAAACCAGCCCCATCCAGATCCAGAGCAAGTATGGGGGATGGGAGGAAGGGCTGGGCCTGGTGCCGGGCAGACTGGCTGCGGCACGCGATGGGGTGGGGGCTGTTTGTTGGGCCAGATTTAATGGGCTTTGCTGTCCCACCCTCAAAGCCTGCCTTCAGATGTGGTCTCCACGCTCCCCATAACCAGGGTCCCAACCCCAGGGGACGCTCAGCAGAGAGCTGGGCCTGACCCCAGCCCACAGCGGCCCTCTTGGCCCCTCCCTGCCCTAGGGTTCAGGTCGGGTGCTGCCCGCCACGCAGAAGCAGTCCGGGGACCCCTCCCAGAGGGGATCAGGGCTTAGGACTGAGAACTGGGTATCTGCTCAGGAAAGCCCTGAGTTTGGGTCAGTCAGTGCCCTATCCCTGCCTGGGGGCTCCCAGCCCAGTACCCTAGACCTGTTTCCACAACTGGACAGCTGGGTATCTATACAGCCGCACGGACTTCCCGCCACGCCGGCGAAACTGGGCACAGCCAGGGTTGATCCAGGATCACCAACAGACCCTGGGGGCACAGGGGGGTGCCAAGGCTGTTGACCCGCTGTGTGACCTCAGGGAGAACACTGTCCCTCTCTGGGATGGGTGTTCCAGGAGCTCTTGGGCTTAGGCCTCTGATATTTTCGGAATTCGGGCACCAGGGGACCGTGGGCAGTGCGTCCGCCCCAGGTCTGTCTGTCTGTCGAGGGGTGAATCAGCTTCCGGCCCCGCCCCGGGCGGCACGTGACCGCAGGTGGCGGCGGCGGGGTAAGCGGGGCGGCCCTGAGTCACCGGCGCGCCCCCGCCCAGCCTCGCGCCGCCGCCGCAGCCGCCGCGTGTGCGCCCCGCTCCGCCAGCGCCCGCTCGGTAAGCAAGTCCCGGCCGCGCCCCCCGGATCCCGGGTCTCGCGGGGCGTCGCCGCCCCGCAACCGCGTTTCTGGGTCTCCTGGACCCCTCCCAGAGCCCCAGCCTCCTCCGGGCAGGCCTCCTGGGTTGCCGGCACCCGGAAATTTTAAGACCCCTCCCTTACCCGGAAGCCCTCGGTTTGCGGGGCGCCTCTGTGCCGGGGCCGCCTCCCACTCTAAGAAGCTACTGGGAAGTTCCCCGGCTGCCCTAGTTTCCCTCAGAAGTTGCGAGGACTTCAGGCAGCTCCGGAAATCTGGGATATGGGTTCCCTGCACGTAGAGGCACGCTGAGCCCTGGGACGTGGCCCACCGCTCCCTCACCGCTGTTCCGATCCCTTACTTTCTTCCCATCCCAGTCCAGTGCCCCCACCTCATCTTCCCAGCCCCAGCCCCAGCCCCGTCCTTCCCACGCCCACCTGAGTTCCCGGCCCCGCCCCCGCCGCCCCTCCCCGCGCGGCCCGCCCTCCCCGCCGAGCCGGGCTCATCAGGTCTTTCCCGCAGATTGCTCATGGGCAGAGAAGCAGAGGCCGCGGAGAGGCCCCCGAGCGCGCGGTGCCCCAGCTGGGCCGGAGCTAGGAGCTGGACCTTGCCCACCCACCCCCGGCAGCAGTGCCCGGGCAGGCGGCGCCATGGCCTTCTCTCAGGTGCAGTGTCTGGACGACAACCATGTGAACTGGCGCTCCAGCGAGTCCAAGCCTGAGTTCTTCTACAGCGAGGAGCAGCGGCTGGCGCTGGAGGCCCTGGTGGCCCGCGGCCGGGACGCCTTCTACGAGGTGCTCAAGCGGGAGAACATCCGAGACTTCCTCTCGGAGCTGGAGCTCAAGCGCATCCTGGAGACCATCGAGGTGTACGACCCGGGCTCTGAGGACCCTCGGGGCACGGGCCCCTCTCAGGGGCCCGAGGACAATGGGGTCGGCGACGGCGAGGAAGCCAGCGGGGCGGATGGGGTCCCCATCGAGGCCGAGCCGCTGCCCTCCCTGGAGTACTGGCCCCAGAAGTCGGACCGCTCCATCCCGCAGCTGGACCTGGGCTGGCCCGACACCATCGCCTACCGCGGCGTGACCCGGGCTAGCGTCTACATGCAGCCCCCCATAGACGGGCAGGCCCACATCAAAGAGGTGGTGCGGAAGATGATCAGCCAGGCACAGAAGGTGAGGCAGCGCGGGGACTCCTGGAGCCATGGCCCAACCAGCCACCGGACCCCTCTCAATACAGGCTCACTCAGAGCCCAAAACGGGAGCCCAACATGGGCTTCTAGGGATCTCTGCTGTTTTCCCTGGCTGCCTCTTGGGTGGAGGTTTCCTCCCCACCTTCGTGGGGATCCGCAGTTTCTTTGCAGGGTAGGGTTCCCAGGTCCTAGCAGGTGACAGTGGGCTGCCCCGTCTCAAAGGGCCTCTTTATTGTTGGAGGGTGTTTCTGGTTCCCCAGAAGAAGGCACCGAGATAGGGTGGAGTGGGGAGGGGAGGAACCCCAGGGCTTCCTCTCACTCTCCCTTAGAGTGGCTCTGATTCACTGTAAAGGCGCGCACACACCATGAGCTCTCTGGTGGGGAGAGCTTTTGTTGTGGGGTGAGGGAATAGGCATGGTCCAAGTCCATCTGAGACTGGCCTGGAGGTCCTTGTTCAACACTGCCTGTTTCCTAGCTGTGCTGAGCAACTGGGAGCAGATTGCACACCCTCTCTGAGCCTCTTTGTGAGCTTTGCAATGGTGGAAACTTTCCAGGCCAGGATGCTTGGGTGAGGGAGGTGTGGTCCTCATCTGTGGAAGTGGAGTGAGTCCACCTGAGCATTGTCCACCTGAATTTTGCCACCGGAAGGGACCTCAAGCCTTCTCTGGCCCTCCCCTTCTCCACCCCTGTTGGGCTATGCAGTGCCCTAGCTGTGGGGGGCCATTCTTGGCTGACACACCGTCACACATTCTGAGAAGGGGTGCTTGCCATTTGCAGAGACAGCTAGGCCACTGCTGGACAGTTGTGACCATGAGCAGGTGCTAATGCCTGCTGCACGTAAGTACCTTCTCATCGTTTCCAAGCACATCTTAATTTGATAGATAAAGCTTACCTAGTGAGCTGTGTTGAGAAGGATTCTGAAGCCAGGTCTGGGCCTCAGGTTGTGGGATGAGGTGTTCCTAGCTGGGTCTAATCCCTTTATACTTCCAGTCCCAGAGCAGGGCAGCCAATTGCAGAAGACCAGAATGCTGGCTTCGGGGACCATCCTGGCTAACTGACAGGGCCTTGGGGAAGTTCGTGGGCAGAGAAACCAGACGTGGGTCAAGAACTGGTGAGGTGGCCCCTGGCCCTGGCCCCAGTTTCCAGGAAGGTGGAGTCCCTGCCCAACAAGGGGACCAGTTGGGTCAGCTAGCTGGGTGGGGGCGCCTGGCCCCTGGCCTGGCTGCTCTCAATTCACTGACTGACCCTGGGCAGCTTTGAGGCTTCGGGTTTCTGATCTATAAGATGGAGGTGGTGTGGATAAAAGCTGCATCTTTGGCTATTGTGAAGATGGAATATCGGGTGACAAAAGTAAGGAAGGAGTTAGAGGAAGAGGAGGAGGAGGGGGAGGAGGAAGGGACCTTCATAGTTTGCAGACTGAGAGACCCGCCCCACACCTGCTGTGGTGTGGAGGAAGTGCTGCTGATGTCTGTGCCTGATGGGGATGACTGGCTGGAGGCTAGAGAACCCAGTCCCCACAGAGAGCCTGCTGGGATCCCATTACCCAGCCTCCACTTCCATCTTGAAAATAGGGAAACTGAGGCCATGGGTAGGGGGACCTGCTGTGCCAAGGTTCCCACTCCTCTGTGCCTCCCCTCCTTGTCAGCGACAGGAAGGAGGCAGATGGGAACAGCCAGAGGGTCTGCAGACAGACAGATCCCCCGCCCAGCGATGGGCCAGATAGGGGCTCCCAGGGCCAGGACTTCACCTGCTGACCCCAGGTTCCTCCCTGAGTCTCTGGCTACAGCTGTGACCCAGCCACTCCGTACAGTCCCATGAGCCACCTGGAGCTTCCTTTGCTTCCCACAAAAGTCCCACAAGGTTATTAGTGTCACCTAAGGTGACATTGCCTTCCTTTGCTTCCCACAAGGTGATTGCTGTCACCTGTCTAAGGTGACATAGCCAGGAAGAAGCTGGTCTCCAGTTTGGGTGCCAGTCTGTCTACATGGCCCCATAGTGAGTGATGTCCTCCAGCCTCGGACAGGTGGGCCCTGCTTTCTGCTTTTCCAGCCCTCAGGATGGGGCACTCACTGCTGAAACTGCTCCCTACTCTCAGACCTCAGGGAGTCCTCAAGGGTCCCACAGTGGGGGCCTCAGAGGCAGTAGAGACTAAGCTCCTCATCTGACAGACAAGGATACTGAGGCACAGAGAAGGACAGGGATTTGTTCATGACTCCACAGCATTGTGGTGAGCCAAGCCCCTGCTTTCTGCCCTGGGCACTTCCTTCCCTGCCACATCTGTCCTGGGACCTGTGGCCCAGGCTTGTGTGGCATGTGTGGGCAGGGATAATAACAATAGCAAGTGTTGACTGAGTGCGAGGCGCTTTATAATCTCAGCTAGTGTTATCTGTCTCATTTTTCAGATGTAGAAACTGGTTAGTCGCTGCCCAAGGTCACCTAGCTAGTTCTCGGGTAGAGGGGTGGGGACCAGGCCTGTGTTTCCCTCAAACTCTAGGCTATCCCTTGTGCCCTGGCCCTGGCAGGACAGAGTGACAGGCAGGGGCTGGGAGGGGCAGCTCATCCAGGCCACTGCAGTCCTCCAGCTGTCCTGCCCCAGCTGCTTCCCAGGCTCACAGGGGCAGGGCCCGGACACTGACGGATGCTGACGGGGCGCTTTGTCTGCCTGCTTCCTGGGAGCGCTCCCTGCCTTATCTCTCCCCATGAATCACCTCTCGTGCCCATGCTTCCACCTCCCCTTCTCACTCTGGTATTGTGTAGGGAGAACTCTGCCTGCCCCCTGCCTAGGATGGGGATCCCTCTGCCTGGGCCGCCTTGCCGCACACTGGCCCCTTCCCACCGGGGGCTTTAGGCTGGGGCTGCTGGGGCTGAGTCAGGACAGCCCAGCCTTCCGCCTCCTCACTCACCTTACCTGTCGTCAGCACAACAGGCAGACCCTGGGGCAGGGAAGTGACGCAGCACTTAGGGGAGCGGCTGTGTTCCTGTCAGGACTGCTGTCAGTCCCCCCTGTTCCCAAATGACTAGAATGGAACTAGTGGACAGCAGGACCAGGAGCCAAGAGTCCGTGCTCTGCCTCTGCCTGACTGTGGGACCTGGAACAAGCCCCAGCTCCTCTCCAAGCCCCGGTCATCCCATCTGTAAAATGGGAACAGGTATTGAAGACTGTTAGGGGCCCCTTCAGCCCTGACACCTTGCTGCCCTGTGATCCTAGACTCCCCTGGGACAAGAGGCGGGTGGGTCCCAGGTCTCACTCTCAGCAGCTTGTGCCCTCCAGCCTCCCTCCAGCCCTAGTGGGCTCCTACTCCAAGATGGAAGGTCAACTGCCTGCCCCTCCCCTAGCCCCAGGAGCCATGATTTATCTGGGAAAAAACCTGCTGTGGGGTTCCAACTACATACCAGAGGACGGGCTTGTAAGATCACGCCTGGGAGGGGCGAGCCCCGGCCTCACTTGGCTGCAGCCTGAGAAGGCGTGAGGCTGGGCTGGGTTGGGGCTTCCTCAGCCAGAGCTGGATGTAGATGTTCTAGCTGGTTGCTCCTCCAGCAGATGCTGAGCCCCCCTCAACAGGACACAGCAGGGGGGCCTTAGCAGGATCCCTCACCAGCCCCAGGGTGAGGCCCCAGGGCAGGGACAGATCACACCTTCCTTATTTCACAGTTGAGGAAACTGAGGGCAGGTGAGGCGCCGGTGGCCAGGGCCAGAACACTGATCTCTGCATGCCAGGCCAGGGCTTGGGAACAGACCCAGAGAAATAAAGTCGAACCCAGGTTTCACGAAGCCTGATTCACCCCACATTTTTTCTGTCAGGCCCCCGCCTTCACACACTGAAGTCCTGGCCCACAGCTTGGCTCTGAGAGAATAGAAGCAGCTTAATGAGGTGCTTACTAAATGCCAGCCCCGCGCCAGGTGCTGAGCGGGCACTTTACCATGCTGTGTAATCCTCCCCACAACTCTGGAAAGTAGGTGTTGTCTCCATTGTGCAGATGAGGAAACTGAGGCTTGGTGGGGCTCGGAGATGGCAAATAACTGGCCTGAGGTCACAGAACTGATATCTGGAGGGACTGGGCCGAGACCCCCAGTCTGCAGGCCCTGAGCACCCTCCCATTCCCTGGAGAAGCAGTGGCACTGTTCCTTCTGAGCCCTACCCCTGCATGGGAGCACCAGAGCCTCACTGCTGGATCCTGTTGACTCAGGACAGTAAAAGCATTTTCTTTTTTTTTTTTTCTTCTTGAGACAAAGTCTTGCTCTGTCGCCCAGGCTGGAGTGCAGTGGCACGATCTCTGCTCACCGCAACCTCCGCCTCCAGGGTTCAAGCGATTCTCCTGCCTCAGCCTCCTGAGTAGCTGGAATTACAGGTGTGCGCCACCACGCCCAGCTAATTTTTGTATTTTTAATAGAAACGGGGTTTCACCGTATTGGTCAGGTGGGTCTCGAACTCCTGACCTTGTGATCCACCCGCCTCTGCCTCCCAAAGTGCTGGGATTACAGGCATGAGCCACCGTGCCTGGCAGTAAAAGCGTTTTCATGAGGCTCCTTGGCAGCTAAATACTGGGCTCTCTGGAGGAGGGCTGGGACGGGGACTCACAAGAACAGGGTGAGCTCTGTGGCCTGGGGACCAGGAGGAAGGCCACTCATTGCATCCTTTAGCTGGGCAGTGCCAGGACAGCTCCCCACACTGCCAGAGGCCACAGGTGGCCCAGTTGACACCTTGTGGGGCGCACAGCTGGCCCAGGCTCCCACCACAGGTCAGAGAGTGGGTGGGGAACCATCTGATAAAGTAATCCCAGGTGTTAACTCCTGTGCGCTCCAAAGGCTCCCTTCCCTTAATTAAGAGTTTCGAGGAGAGCCGGGAGCAGCCCTTCGAGGAAGGAGCTCTAAGGAGAGAGTGCCTGCCCGTCTGGGCACTCCAGTGGGACAGGCAGCTGCTCAGCCACTGGGCTGGCCTCCTTCCCACAACCCCAAGAGCCAGGGCCTGCCGTCATGTTCATATCACAGCTGGGGAAACTGAGGCTCAGAGTCGGCTGGGGCCTTCATAAGGTTACACCAAGGGTCTTAGGTGTGGCTGGACCTGGATTGGGTCTCCCTGGCTGGAGAGGGTCTCCCTGCAGCTGAGGGTCCTGGCCCCTGGGCCAGCAGAGAGTGCTGGTCCCACTTAGCCACTTGCATGCTGCAGGACCCTCGGCCTCAGTTTCTTCACTTGTAAAATGGGGATCAGGCCTTGTCTTGACGCAGTGATAGACAGGAGCATCCAAAAGCACTGAGCTACCCTCTGCCTTGAGAGCAGCTGGGGAGGAAGATGGGGTCCCACCCTGTGCCCTGGCCCACGTTGGCCCCAGCCTGGCAGGCCCTGGCCTGGTTGGGCTGTCCTAGTCCCCTTTAAGGGTCTGAATGACCCCTGGGCTCGAGTACCTTGCCAGGTTAAATGCCATGTGGGGTGGTGGGAAGACAGGCTTCCGTATCACTGGGACCCAGGCATGAGCCCCAGCTCTGGTGTTATCTTTAGTGGCTGCTTGGAGATAGTTGCTTGGCCTCTCTGACCTTCTGTTCCTTCCTCCTCAGTGTCATGGTAGTGCTAACAGCTAACACCTGCCTCATAAAGTCAGTGAGATTTAAATGGGAAAAAGTGTGGTGTGTAAAACACTCTGTGTCTGGCATGGAGCTGGCATCGGTAGATGCCAGATCTCTCCCCTCGCCTCCTCCACCTTCACTCCTCACTCCTGTCCTGAGAGCTTCTCTCTGTGAGTAGTCTGGGGTGGAAGTGGTGAGCTCCCTGTCCTGGGAGAAGTTCAAGCAGGGGCTCACTGGAACGCAGCAGAGAGCATGTGGGCACCAGGTGGCCTAGAAGCCTCAGCCCTGCCCTGGTGTGCTTTGTGACCTTGGGCAAGTCCTTTCCAAGCCAGGCTTTCTGGGGCATTAGGATGCTTGATGGCCCCAATGTCTGTCGCTCTTGGACCCTGGAGAAGCTGAGGTTTTAAAGGCTTTTGAATCTATAGTTTTGAGATTTTCCTGTTTGAAAATTCTCAGCTGGTGCCGTTTGCTGCCCACATGGGATGGTCTGGTTGGCTGGATCCTGCGCCTGCAAGCCTGGAAGCTCTGAGGATTCTGAAGCTCCTTGCGGCCAGCGGGAAAGGATCTTGCCCTCTTGCCTCATCCACAGGGAACAGCCTTGGTCACCTCATGGCCTTTCCCCAAGCTCTGCCAGCCCCTTGTCTTTGCAGTATTCCTGAGCCATGACCAGGAAGCTGATGTCCGTCTGGGGGAGGTAGGAGACTCAGGGTAGTGCCTTCATGCCACTGGGCTAGGCTGAGCCTCCTGGTCAGAGCGCTCTGGGCATGATTAGCCTGGGCTTCTTGACCCCAACCCACTGCAGCCATTTGGTGCTCAGAAGGCCTGATCTTCCTTTAATTGGCCTTAATGAGGCTTCAGCCTTAATAGTCAGAGGGTGGGGAAGGTGTTCACAGAGCTGATGAATGTCAAGGGGAACGGGACCTCAGAGTTCATCCAGTTTCACTCCCCATGTTACCAAGAAGAGAAGCTGAGGCTTAGAGTGGGAAGTGACCCGCCATGGGCCACCCAGGGAAGGCATGGCAGAGCCAGGGAGGCCCAGGCATTAACCTTCCAGACAGTGCTGATGGTCAGGTATTTCTTTCAAGAGCTGAGGTGGCCTCTGGGAGGCTGTGGGTGGGTTCAGAGGTTGGAATGGACACAGGGTCCCCCATTAGGAGAAAAGCCTAGGAACAGGAGACCTCTGCCACTAGTTGACAGGGTGGCCCTGGGACAGTGACACCCCCTCTGGAAAATGGGAGTGGCCATCACCACCCCTCCCTGTCTCCAGAAAAGGGACACCTGTATGCGTGCCAGCTGGTTGGCCTAATTATCCTTGCTCTGGCTGGGGTCAGCATTTGTTACCAAGTACACAGACTCCCTTTACCCTGGGAGGCAAGATGAGACTGTTAGCTAAACTAGTCCTCTCGGTGACAGACTTTCAGAGACATTATATGGGCAAACTGGTTTGGAGATTGCCAGGAGGTGGCAGGGAGCACCACCCAGGGATCCTAGGAGAACTTCCTAACCCAGAGAACCTTCTTGGGCCTCTTCAGATGGCATGTCACTAATTCTGCCAGCCCCCTGGAGGGGAGGAGGAGGGGAGGGGGAGTGGGACCATGTCATGATAGAAAAACTGAGGTGCTGCAGCCACGTCTGTCCCAACCGTGCTGCTGGAGGAGGGGGTTGCAGCTGGAGGAGGGAGTGCGGGTCTGCTGGTAATGAATTCTCTCAGCTTTTTTATATTTGAAAAAGTCTTTAGTTTGCCTTTTGTTTTGAAATGTATTTTTACTGGGTATAAAATTCTAAGTTGATTTTTTTTTTTTTCCATTTAGTACTTTAAAGATATTGCCTGTTGTCTTGTGGCTTGCAGTGATTCTGATGAGAAGTCCACTTACTTTGTTCCTTGACATGCAGTTGTCTTTTCTCTTCTGGTTGTTTTTAACGCTCTCTTTGTTACTGACTTTAAGTGATTTGTTTATGATGTGCGTTGGTATAGTTTTTTCATGTCTCTTCTGAGACCTGTGGATTTAGTCTTTTTTTTTTTTTTTTAATTGAGACAGAGTCTTACTCTGTTGCCCAGGCTGGAGTGCAGTGGCGCAATCTTGGCTCACTGCAAACTCCACCTCCTGGGTTCAAGCAATTCTCCTGCCTCAGCCTCCCAAGTAGCTGGGATTATAGGCACATGCCACTATGCCCTGCTAATTTTTGTATTTTTAGTAGAGACAGGGTTTTGCCATGTTGGCCAGGCTGGTCTCCAACTTCTGACCTCAAGTGATCCACCCGCCTCTGCCTCCCAAAGTGCTGGGATTATAGGCATGAGCCACTGCACCTTGCCTTGGATTTAGTCTTTAATCAAATGGTAGAAGTGTTTTGGCCATTTTTTTCTTATTTATTTATTTTTTTAGTCTCTCGCTCACTCCCAACCCTTCCACCTTCTGAGACTGCAATTACACATATATTGGATGGCTTGAAGTTGACCCACAGTTTGCTGATGCTGTGTTCATGTTCTTTCAGTCTTTCTGTGTGTCATTTTGGACAGTTTCTACTTACATGTCTTCAAGTTCACTAATTTTCTCTTCTATAGTGTTTAATCTGTTAATTCCACCTAGTATATTTTTCGTCTTAAATGTTGCATTTTCACCTCTTGAATTTCGATTTGTTGGCTAAAAAAAAGCTTCCACATCTCTACCTAACTTTTTGAACACATGGAACACAGTTATAACTGTTTTTATGTCTTTATCTGCCAGTTCTAACATCTGTGTCGGTTTTTGGTTGATTTTGATGGATTTTTTTTTCTCATGTGCATCATGTTTTCTTGTTTCTTTGTGTGTCTGGTAATTTTTAATTGGATACCGGGCATGTTGGATTTTAGTTTGTAGTTTTTGTTTGTTTTGTTTTCTCCTTTAAATATTTTGGAGCCTTGTTCTGGGATGCAGTTAGGTTACTTGGAAACGATTTAATGCTTTTGTGGCTTCCTGTCAAGCTTTATTAGGCAGGACCAGAGCAGACTTCACTCCAGGGTAGGAGTTGCAAATTATGGACCCCAGGCCAAAGGAAGCCTCTTGCCAGCTTTTATAAACAATAGAACATAGATATTTATTTATATACTTTGTTTGGCTGCTTTTGTGTTACACCAGCAGATTTGAGTAGTTGTGACAGAGAACATATGGCCCTTAAAGCCTCACATGTCTACACTCTGGTTCTTCAGGAAGTTTGCTTATGCCTGGTCTAGGACTTATTTGTCAACTGCTGAGGCAGTATCCTTCTGAGGACACCCCCTGCAGGACCTGTGTGTTAGGAGGGGTTTCTGTTCTGGCTGGGGGCACATACACTATTCCCGGTCCTGCGTGAGCACCAGCAATTGTTCCAGCCACCCCTTTCCGGTGGTTCTCTGCTCAGCCTCCCCTTTCCAGTGGTTCCCTGCTCAGCCTCAGTAGTTTCCTCACGTTCGTGTGCTGCTCGGCTATCAGCTGAAGACTCCAGGGGACCCTCTGCAGGTCTCTGGAGTTCACTCTGTGCAGCTCTCTCCCCTGCGGCACTCCGTCCTGCAAATCCTAGCTGCTACACTCAGAGTGAACCCTGTCTCCTCAACTCAGGGAGACCACAAGACTCCACGGGGGCGCCCCTCCCTGTGCTGCAGCCTGGAAATAGTGGGGTGATCCTAGGGCTCAGCTGGTTTGTTCCTCTTCTCTCAGGAATCGCTGTGCTGATTGAAGCCTGTTGTCCATGGCTTCATAGATTTTATCCGGGTTTTTTATTGCTAAGGCAGGGGGTGAATTCCGTCTCTGTTATTCCATCATGGCTGTAAGTGGAAGTTGAATCCAAGGTCATGATGGCCACTGCCTCAACCTTTAAGACAGTCTGCAGCATTCCTGTGAGCAGCCCTGATGCGTCACTTACAGCCTTCCAGCTGGCCCGGAGGGTAGTGAGACGCTGCTGGCCTGTTCACCCCAGAGGGAGCTGTGGGTCTGGTGGGATGGGACTTGGGTTGGTGGGAGGACGAGGAGGGTCCGTGCAGCTGCCGTTTGTGGATCCCCTGCTAGGGCTTCACCTGCATGAATTCATTTTAATTTCCAACAACCTTGTGGGTGGGGATTGTTATTATCCCCATGAGGAAATGAAGGTACTTGCCCAAGGTCATGCAGCTTCCCAGGAGGAGCTGAGATCGGAGCCAGCGGGTGCAGAGCCCACACTGCCACTGTCTGGGCATCTGCCATCAGACCTGGAGAATAACGAACCCCAAGATGAGAGACTCTGTCCACCCCCGGCACTTCTCAGGTGGGAAAGTGAGGCCCAGAGAGGCCTAGGGACTTGTCTGCAGTGTGTGCAGTGTCTGTGGCTGCTTCAGGGCTCCAGGTTCTGGGGCAGGCTTGAGGGTATCTGTCCTCCACCTGCCTGGAGCATAGTGAGGAGAGAGAATATGGCCGCCTCTCTCCTCTCTCTGAGCCGCCTCTAGGGATCTCTGAGGCCTAGGAGGGTGAGGTGAGTGTAAGGCTTGTCACGTGCAGGTTGGAAACTGTCCCCTCTTACCCGAGTCTTGCGACTCAGTCCTTGGGAGACTCCATTGCTGTGCCTGAGAAGAAATACGCAAGTGATACACGCTCAACCCAGACAGGCCAGAGTGACGACAGGGGAGGCTGGGGCTGCACTGGAGTTGGGATTTGAAAAAAGGTAGTTGTCCGAGCAGATGCAAAATGGGCAGGTGGCAAGGAGAACAACATGTAGGAGACACAGTGGCTTGAGGCAGGACGCGTCGGGGAGAGGGATCAGGAAGCGTCGGGGAGAGGGGTCAGGATGCGTTGGTTTAGGGCCCCCCTGAAGAGGTGCTGCTGCAGAGGCTGGGCCTGTGCACCCGTGGTTTCCCACCATGCTCGGAACCAGGCCAGCCCGTCTCGCCCCACCCCTCCTCCCCAGGCACCTCTGTGGAGACCTGTTCTACCTACTCGTCCTGCGAGGGCACTTCTGCTTCAAGAGTGGTTCTGTGGTCACAGGAAGGCTAGGAAACAGCTGTTGTGGGTGTCAGGAGCCACAGGCTGTTGTTGGCACCTGTGAGGCAGGAGCTGTGTGGGGAGGCAGGGAGAGGGCGGCCACCAGCACTTCCTCTCCCAGACCTGTGGGCGCAATGAGATGTGTTAGCCGCCCAGACAGGCCCTGCCCGGCACCAGGCAGGGAACAGGAGTTGGGGTCCCTCGGCAGGGACATCAGAGACGAAGGGCCTTGGACATCTTGTCCACCTTCTCCTTTGACAGGTGAAGAAACTGAGACCTGGAACGCAGGTGTGGCTCACCCAAAGCCCAGCCTAGAGCTTGGGCGCCGGTGCTGGACCGACTCCGCCCGCTCCACCCTTGCTCAGGGGGCTCTGGCTGGGGCTGAGGGAGATTGAGGAGGCCCACGCCTGTGCTCCCTGCCTCTGTGACCTAAAGCCCTGTCCCACCCCCAACGCCAGCAGCCAGTGTTACGTGGCTTCAGGCCGTGTCTGCTGGGGGGCAGTGGCCACAGGTGGGGTTCTCCTTTGTGTGAGATGCTGTCACCCCTGCATCCCAGCTCAAGCTGCTCCGGTCACTGCCCAGGTGTTGGAGGTGCTCCTGGCAGGGCACTGGGGATCCCCATGCAGCACCACCTTGGACCAGTGCCCTCCCCTCTCCCAGCTGCAGTTTCTGCATCTCTCACATGGAGGCGGATGTCCCCCTGTCCCAAGGACACAGAGGGAGGTGGGGGATTCGAGACACAGGCAGAAGGCAGGGTGGAGAAGGCCGGCGGATCCACTGGGCAGGGAGGGTACAGCATGGGAGGAGGTGCTCATCGGGCGGGGCGCTGGAGGGCTTGTGCATATGGACACCCCTGGACAGACATGCCGGAGGTGTTTGGGCACCAGGAGCCCCCAGGGAGAGGCCTGGGCTGGGGCAGGCGCAGGCTCGCTGTTGGCTCACTGGAGGAGTGCCCACATCCCTGCTGGTGTTTCCCTCCAGTGCAGCCTGCCTGCCTCTGCCCCCCAGGCATGGCCATCCTCCCACACCCTGCCATCTTGGGCCATCCTCCCACACCCTGGCAGGAGTCAGATGGTTGTCTTGGGCATTGGGCCTCCTGGGTTCTGCAGCTGCATCTTCGAGGCCTCAAGGCCGCCCAGCAGAGGCCTGTCCATCAGTAAGATGCACAGGGACCACTGGGCTCCCTCCTTCACTTGGGAGCTGGGCTGTGTGGCCTGCGCAGATTCCAGGCTGCTGGGCTGGGAGCTGCCCGTCGGCTTTGACAACGGTACCTGGGGTGCAGGACACACACGTGCCCGCCTGCCATGCCTGCCCCTGTGCCAGCTGCTCACATGGACATGGCTGGTTCCTGCCTCAGGAGCGGAACAAGCTCAGTGATGGGACCCAGGCCACCCGCCTCCTGCCCAGTGTGGCCCCTGACATAACAGCAGGTAGAGCTGGTCTTTGGAGTCAGCCTCCCCTCTCATTTCCACAGCCCTTGCCCTGCCCAGGACCTCTGAGAGGACGTGTGGGCTTGGGGCTACGTGAAGCATCTGGTACTTTTCTTGACTTGGGCCAGCTCTGACAATGTGTGAACTGGATAGAACCACAGGGGCAAGCCAGGCCCACACCCCCATTTGACAGATGGGGAAGCCAAGGGCCCAGGAGGGGCTGTGGTCCCAGATGCCCTGATTCCTGCAGTCATTCCCAGACCAAGCCAGTTGGTCTTGTTCTCAGTTGATAAAAGCTCCCCAGGACCTTCCTTAAACCAGGCCCCGTCCTGGGCTCAGACAAGGGCTCTGCTCTTGCTGAGCTCATGGTGTCACAAGTGAGCTGGGCCTCCCAACAGAATTAGGCAAGGTGGCGAATGCCTCTGTGCTTCAGTTTCTTTATCTGCAAAATGGGAAAAAGAACCACTGCCTCCCGGTGTGCTTGTGAGGCCTGAACAAGGTAACAGCTGTAAAGGCTCCTTATAAACCATCAAGCAGCTCAAGGGCCCAGGACTGATGCCCAGTCTCTTGTGCAGAAGGTGCTCTGGGTGGGACAGGGCCCTGGGTTCTAGCCTCAGTCATGGACTGTGATCCCAGCTTTCCTGTCTATAAAATGGGAAAGGGCATGACAGGACTCAAGGGCCCCCAAGAAACCTTTGTGGCTCCATGGACAGGCCAGGCTGTTGGGGGTTGCCTGGGGGAGCACCAGGCTCCCCCTCCCCATCCCCAGCATAAGCTCGTGCCTGTTACAAACCCATCTCTGACCACCCTAGGCACTGAACCCAATGCCTGGGGAGAGCCAGGACTGTGGGGGGATCCATTTTGGAGTGCAGGCTCCAACATATCCAACCTGACAGCAGATGGTCCCTGGATCAGGCACCCTGCCTGGCTGAGGGCAATGTGGGGAGTGGCGCACATGGTGCGGGTCCTGCTGGGGCACGTCCCCCAGCCCAAGCCCAGGGCAAGTCCCCATCTGCCACGGTAGGCAGGGCCTGGTGCCCTCCAGGGAGAAGCATGCCTACTGCGCCCTCATTAGGCTCCTTTCCAGGGTGGCACGTGAGGCTGTTTGCCTGCTCAGAAGTGGCTTAACTAAGGAGATTCTGGGGCTGGAGAGGCTTTGGGTCTGGGAGATCCCAGGCAGGGAGGACCCTGCTACCACCACACACCCCTGCCCAGTGTCTCAACACCACTGCCTCCAGGGTCATGGTGACCTGCCTGCATCGTGTCTTCTCTGCCCTATCATCTACCCCCGCTCCAAGCAGTCTCTGGCCTTCCTTGAACATCTCCTAGGTCAGGGAGTGAGCTCCCTCTTAAGATCCCTGTTTAACCTTGGGCAGCCCTGGGGGCAGCAAGTGCTTCCCCATCTGGTGCCAACATCTGCCTCCCCTGCGAGTCGTAGACCCTGCATCAACCAGCTACTCCCTCTGCCCCAAAACAGCCCTTCAGAAACAGAGAGATAGGGAGCAGTCATCTCCCCAGAGAACAGAGAGAACCCTAGGCCTTGGAGTTCTGGGAGTCCCAGCTGGTCCCACACCTCCGCTGTCCGCTCTGGGGGGACCACTCTCTCCCAGGCTCTCCGAGACTAAACGTCCAAGAGAAGGTACTGGAGACCAACCCTGACCTGACTCGGAGGTAGGTCCAGGCCCTGGCCCAACTTGCTTTGCGACATCCAACAAGCCTTACAACCTCATTGAGCCTCAGTTTACCTGGCTGCATGCTGGGCTGTCACCACCATGGTGCCTGTGAGAGGCTGCAGGAGTCAGGCTGACAAGACCCCCTGTAAATGGGAACGTGCGGGGTGACTGTGGGAGAAAGGCAGCAAACGGGCATCACCGAGCCCCCGCCCCAGCCCCCCGTCGGGCTCTTTGCAGGTGCTGCGGTATTCAGGTGTGCTCCATTCTCCTGAGAGATGGAGCATGCTATACTGATGAGAAAACTGGGTCCAGAGAAGCCAGGTGTTTTGCTCAGGGTCACACAGTGAGTTTGAGGCAGGGCAGGTATGGAGCCCTCCCCTCTGCTGGAGTTTGGGCTTTGGTGCCAGGTGAACGATGGGGGCCTGAGGCCCAGGAGGAGCCCAGATGGGCCTGCAGGGGCCAGCCTGGTGAGCTCACTTTGGGGCGTGCAGACACATCCCCAGCAGGCTCCAGGCCGCCTCCACCACCCTGAATCTCCGCATCCCAGCAAGGCTGGGGTGCTCTCTGACAAGTCAGGGTAGTCTGTAGCCTGACTCTGTCCCCAGCTTGCTGTGTGGCCTAGGGCAGGTCCCTGGCCTCTTCTCCAGGTGGTCCTCAGACCTGGGACAGGGATGGTGGTGCCAGGCTCGGAGGGTGGGAGGGGTGGGGCTGCCCAAAAGTGGGACATGTGTCTGCATCAGCAGTGTAGGCGGCTGTGCCCAGGCACAGGCCCTGTCCTGACTCCCTCCCCTTGCTGCCAAGGGACAGGGAGGGGACTAGGTGTGAGAGAAGCCTGACAGTCACTGAGCCCCACTGGGGCCGGGCCCATACCACCTCATCCTGTCCTTCTGCATGTTCCACCTTGCACCTTCACTCAGCCAGGCCCCCTGCCCTGTTGGTGGTGCTTGGCTGGGCTGGGGGAAGGCCCTGACCACTGGGGCCCCACCCTGAGCCAGGTCCAGCAGGAGGTCACCTGCTATGGGGACAGATGTTGTCAGCTGACAGGAAGAGATCTGGGTTTAGACACTGGCCAAAGTCCACACCAGCCCAGGAATGTAGGGGATGCCCCAGCGAGCCGCCACGCCAGCTGCTGCCCTTCCGGTCATTGACACATCAGGTTCATCTCAGCATTCCCAGGTGTTACAAGGAGGGCAGAGCGTAGCCGGCCCTGGCCTGGGAATGCACCAACACAGGGCCCCTGGGCTGAGCCCAGAGCTGGGACTGCAACTAGAACTTCAGGGCAAGAGAGGCCCCTGGCCCCTCACTTCCTGGTCCCGGGCCTGAGGCTCCAGGAGTAGGGCCAGAGTGGGCACCTGTGAGAGGCTGGTGGCATGGGAGGGCTGTGCGCTCTGCCAGGGCACCCTGTCCCCACTGCTGCACTGTCTGACAGGCCCTAGTCTCTCTTCTTGCTCCCAGGTGATAGCTGTGGTCATGGACATGTTCACCGACGTGGACATCTTCAAGGACCTGCTGGACGCCGGCTTCAAGAGGAAAGTGGCCGTGTACATCATCGTGGATGAGAGTAACGTCAAGTACTTCCTGCACATGTGTGAGCGGGCCTGCATGCACCTGGGGCACCTCAAGGTGAGCAGGCTCCTCACTTGCCTGGGTGGCTGGAGGGCAGGGGTCATTCAGTCTGTCAACAAACACTTCGAGTACCTGCCTGCTCTGGACGGAGTCCTGTGCCAGGCACTCAGAGTCCAGTAATCCTAGAGCCTCCTGCCAAGCAGTCACATAGCCACTGCTTGAATTCCCTGAGGGGCAGGATACTCACTACCTCCAACGTGGCAGAGATAAAATAAACACTGATTAGGTGCTTGCTGACCAGGTGCTGGAGCTCATGCCAAGTGCTGCATCATGTTATTTCAGAGCAGCCCATGCCACATCGGTTATCTGTTTGCTTGCATACCTCTGGTGATAGTGTGCTCACTGCCTCCTCAGGTAGCTCGTGGCCTTTCTGGAGAGCTTCAACTCCCAGGAAGTCCTTTCTTGGGTTAAGCCCAAATCTGTCTCCTTAGAATTCCATTTACTGGTTTTAGATTCTGGCTCAGACAGAGGAAGCTCCCTCAGGCTGGGGCCAGGGAAGGCTTCTGCGATGGCTGCACAGTTGAAGTGAATTTAAGGCACAAGAGCAGAGGAGAAAGAACCTTTGGGGTGGGGGAAACCATGGAACAGAAGTGGATCAGAGAAGGCTGCCGATGGGGTCAGGGTGGGCTGTGGTTCTCAGCACTGTTTTGCTGTGTGTCCTTGGGCATGTCACCTCCCTTCTCTGGGCTACAGGATCTCATTGGTCCAACGCTCTTCTGCCCAGACACCCTGGCATTTGGTGTCTGGAGCCCTCCTTCTGCCAGCCATCGCTTGGCACCTGCTGCGTGCAGAGCATTTCCCTGAGAGCAGATGAGCGTGCGTGATGACGGCGAATACTTCTCTTGCATTGGCCGTGCGCCAGGCCCTGTCACAGGCACTTTGCATTGGTTAATTTAATCCTCACAACAGCCTAGTGGGATAGGGAGTTGTTCCCATTTTGCAGATGAGGGAATGGAGCCACATACCCCATGTCACTGCTAGCAAGTTAAAGATAGTGGGGTAGAGGCCTGCTCCAGACCCTTGGGCTCAGCACCAGTGTCTGACAGGTCAAAATTCTGCAGGTTTCAGGCTTGTGGTCCTAGGAGAAGGGGCACCGCCAGTCTGGTTAACAAGGGGCCGGGCTCCACGCCTGTAATTTGTCAGCATTTGTCAGGCGCGCCCACCCCCTCCAACCCCAACGCCTCCGGTTGAGTCCTTTCAAGTGGTTGTGAGCACTCCGTGGTGAGTCTCTAGCTCTTGGGACATTTTTAATGTGGTCTCCCTGGTGGGTTGGCCCCAAGCCCCACACCCACCTCACTCCCCGCCGCGTAATTAGTGCTGGGAATCGATTCCAGTGGCAGATAGCTCATGCCTGAGAGAGCCAGTGTGGAAAGGCCACTTTGGAAACCTGACTGCAGAAGGCCTGGCCCTGCCCGATGCCCAGGAAGAGACCCCAGTGGGGCCCCACCAGCACCGTACCCCTGCCCCAGGCCCAGCGAGTGCTTTGCACTTCCCCCAGCGTGCAGACGCAAGCAGGGAGCAAGCCTGTCGGTTTGGAGCAGGGACCCTAACCTGGGGCCAGCCACTCCAGAGGCCTCGCCTTCCACCCAGGCCCCTTCTCAGCAGAGAAGCCCTGGCTGCTCCGCTGCTTGCAGAGTTCTGAGTTTCCAGGAAGCCGGAGGCAATGGGGCAGGTGGGGGGCCTGGAGTGCCTGGGCCTGAAGGGGCCTTGAGGTCATTCAGATGAGGCTCCCACAAGACAGATGGAGAAACTGAGATCCGAGGGAGGCCATGCCTTGCCCAAAGCAATTCCGACCAATTTAGGGGTGGCGCCTAAAAGCCAATAGTGACAAATCAGCTCTGACAAGGAGGCTGCAGATCCCTGGTACTCAAGCAGCAAATAATAAACAACTACAAATAATAACACAGAGCATCAAAGGATGAACTTGATCCCTTATATTAATTTCTCTTATCCTTTTTATTGGCTCAACCAATCTTCTAGCACTCCCACCCTACTCATTCACACCAACTACTCAACTATCAATAAACCTAGGAATGGCCATCCCACTATGGGCAGGGGAAGTAGTCACTGGCTTCCATTATAAAACCAAAACCAAAGCCAACCTGCCAGCACAGGCTGCCCTGGTGCTGCCCACACGGCTCACTGGCCGCTGACCTGCTGTGGGTCCTGGGTGTGTGGTTCCACCTCTCTGGGCCTCGAGTGCCCCATGGCCATAGTGATGCCTCACGGGGTTGTGTGAAGGTGAAATTAAAGGAGACGGTGGTTGTAAAGTGCTGTGTGTGCTGAGGAAAGTTATACAGCTACTGGCAAGAACCACACATTCTAAATCCCAGGCCCTGGGCTGGGGTAGGGGCTTGGGTATGAGGCCTGCCCTGTTCCACCCCCAGCCCTTCCACTGGCTGTGACCAGCTGGAAGGCAGCTGGCACTGCAGGTCCCTGGCCCCGCCTGCCCTGCTCAGCCGCCTCGCTTCCCCAGGGAAGGTGGCAGAGTCTGTAGGGTGACATATCCAGGAGCTAGACGCCTCCATGGGAAAGTGTGACCTGGCTTCCTCATTCTCGCCTCTGAGCTTGCCCTTCTACAGCCCTGGGCGGGTGGCCAGAGGCCCTGAGAGCCCAGCCCCAGCCAAGTGTCACCCCCTGTCGAGGGCCTGCCTTCCCTGCCTACCTCCCTCACCTTGAGCTAGCTGGGCCCAGACCTGTCCCGGGAGCACTTCCTTTGCCGATAATCCCTGGGCCTGCCCTCAGCCACTGCCACCCCTGCCCAGCTCTGCACCAACCTGCCCCAGCTCCTTTGGGCCCAGGCAGGGTACAGGTTTTCTGGTAGGGTCATCCTTTTGACCTTGGGGTGTCAGGTGCCAGTTTGGGGGTGATACCAGGAGCCAGTCCTGAGCCCCAGCTGTGCCACCTGCATGGTAACCTTGGGCAGAGTCACTGAATCCTTCTAGGCCTCCATTGTCTTGTCTACAAAATGGGGACATGGTCATTTATCTGTCAGGGGTGCTGTGAAGAGTGAAGGAGGCCGTTTGTGCGGTGGGCCTTCGGTCACGAGCTCCCTTCCCATCCTGGCTTTGGCTAGGGACAGGCACAGCCCCGCCATGAGACGCAGCTCTGGTCTGAGTGCTGAGCGGCTTTCTTTCCCTCTGCGCCAGGGTCTGGCTGTGGTTCACCCTCACTCGGCTCCTTCCTCCTGAGCTTGGAGCCCACACCAACACACTCTCGAAACGCTGCCCTGTTGCTTGGGCCAAGCCCACTCCTGGTCCCCAGGTGAGGTGGGAGCAGCGTGCACCAGTGTCTCCCCAAATGTGGGGCTCCCAGCCATTCCTAAGCACCTCAGCCGGTTGCCCTGGCCGGCCCCAGTGGCCCTCCATGTGGGAGTATGGGAATGACCACCCCAAATGACAAATAGGGAGCAGGCCTTGGGAAGAGGGCCAGAACTTTCACTGACACCCTCTAGGGTCACAGGGCCAGGCCGCATGACTTGGCTGCTTTTGGGGGTGATACTGGGTGTGGAGGGATGCTCCCAGGCCAACCAGAGACAGGCTGGGCCTGAGGCTTCCAGCTTAGGACAGACAAGAGCCATGAGATGCCTGGGCCATCTGAAAAGCCAGTTGACTTCGTGCAGCCAAACTGGAAATACCAGCAGCCCCTGGGCAAAGGCCAGACCCGTTTCCCGTTTCTGATGAACAAAGAAGCATCAGCTGGGATGGCCATGGGAAGGCACACGGTGAGGAAGTGAGGATCGCTGCCGCTCAGGCCTCACGCTGGACAGGCACGACCCAGCCCTTCCGCTGCCCAGGTTCCCCCGTTCCCCGGGGATGCCTGGGTGTTGCTTGCTGTCTCTACCTGGGCCTGGGTCTGTGGTGGATTCAGGGTATAAGGCAGGGTTCTCTTTTTTTTTTTTTTTTTTTTTTGAGAGGGAGTCTTGCTCTGTCGCCCAGGCTGGACTGCAGTGGCGTGAACTGCAAGCTCTGCCTCCCGGGTTCGTGCCATTATCCTGCTTCAGCCTCCCCAGTAGCTGGGACTACAGGGGCCCGCCACCACGCCCGGCTAATTTTTTGTATTTTTAGTAGAGATGGGGTTTCACCGTGTTAGCCAGGATGGTCTCGATCTGCTGACCTCGTGATCCGCCCGCCTCGGCCTCCCAAAGTGCGGGGATTACAGGCGTGAGCCACCGCGCCCGGCCAAGGCAGGGGTTCTCAAACGGGGGGGATTCACTCTGCTGAGGGACATTTGGCATTGT
This sequence comes from Homo sapiens, assembly GCF_000001405.40. Lineage (NCBI taxonomy): Eukaryota > Metazoa > Chordata > Mammalia > Primates > Hominidae > Homo > Homo sapiens. The sequence continues at coordinate 18,984,003 of NC_000017.11, read as the reverse complement.
TAACTGTCCACCTTGGGGGTACTACCAGCATTGAGTGGCCAAGGATGTTGTTAAACATCCTACACTGCCGGGGACAGGTCCCACACAAAAGGGGACATGTATCAGTTGTGCAGAGGCTGAGCAGCCTTGGCCTAGGGGAGAGAGGAGCCCCTCAGACCAGGGCCTTGGAGCTAGGCTGGCCCTGCCCCTACATGCCGTCACATACTTTGGGCCAAATGTGGTTCACAAAGGGCCCACCACCCCAACTTCACAACAGCCTGGAGAAGTCCAGGGTGAGTGTTGACCACCCCTCTCCACCCTCCACAGAGAGCGAGACAGGCCCTGTAGAGGAGAGTAGAGGCTGCTGGAGGCCTGCACCTCAGGCAGCCAGGCTCCTGCTGCTATGTTGGGCTCTGTTCCTTGCATTCCTCACACTAGGCCTGGCCTCACTGTTCCCAGCTCAGACCTGGTCAAGGATGCATCTCTGGACCTCCCCACTGCTCTACCGGGCCTCTACTCATTCACACTAACTACTCAACTATCAATAAACCTAGGAATGGCCATCCCACTATGGGCAGGGGAAGTAATCACTGGCTTCCATTATAAAACCAAAACCAAAGCTAACCTGCCAGCACAGGCTGTCCTGGTGCTGCCTACATGGCTCACTGGCTGTTGACCTGCTGTGGGACCTGGGCGTGTGGTTCCACCTCTCTGGGCCTCGAGCGCCCCATGGCCATAGTGATGCCTCACGGGGTTGTGTGAGGGTGAAATTAAAGGAGACGGTGTTTGGCCAGCAGGGCCCTGAGGAGGTGGGTGATGAAAGAGCCCTGTCCTCAGTCCCGGCCCAGCCCAGGGCTACTGGGAGACAGTGGGCAGGTCACTTTCCCTACCTGAGCCCACCAACCACCCACCCAGTACGGCTGACAGTCCTGGCCTCCCTGGGCAGTCCATCCCTCCTGGATGTTTTGTGGTCCTCTGTGTTGGTCCCCCACAGCCCACTGCGCCACTTCCAGTTCATGGGGCACCCACTGGGAGCTGGACACCTTCCCTGGGAGGGCCCCACCTGTACTGTGGCTCTATTCAGTCCTCACAGCAGCCTTGCAGCACAAGGATGAGTAGACCCTTTCATAGATGAGAAAACTGAGGCGTGGAAAGAAAGGCCTTGGTTGGCGTCCATTTGGTGCTAGGATTGGAGCCTGTTTGACTGGAGCTCAGGAATGCCTAGACCCTAGACCCACTCCAGGGGCTCCTGGGCTCAGCCCCCTCTGCCTCGCACCAGCGGGCTTGGCACAGTTGGATCACATGTCCTTTAAGCACATGTGGCCTGGAGGCCTGGGGGGATTGGGGGCAGGTTGCTGTAGTTTGCCCCAGCCCTGGAGCCCCCACCTTGCCTTGCCACCCGCTGAGAGCAGATGAAGCACCACCCGGCCGTCCTCCCCTGCCCTGACTCGCCCTTGACGTCCTCTCTTACTTATGAGGAAACTGAGGTCCCAGAGGGTCCAAAGACTTTTCCAGGGCACCCCTCTTGGGCCAGCCCCGGCATCCCTCCACCCATCTGCTGTCCTGTGCCGGGGGTGTCCCAGGAGCTCAGAGACAATGCAGCTTTGTGGGATCCTCCACCTCTGCGCACACGAGCCCAGAGTCTTGAGACGTTACCTCATCCAGGCCAGGCCCCGTGGGGTGGGGCCCATCCAGGCACAAGCTGGGGAGCAGGCCATGAGGCAAGAGGTGGGGGGCCCTGCTGCAGGCCCCCACCTGCTGCTGAGCCCCAGGTAGAACAGGCCTAAGAGTTGGAGGCCCGCCCTGCTGTGTGCTAAGGGAGACTAAGGCCCAGCAAGGGCCCGGGACTTGCTTCGAGTCACAGCGAGTCAGCGGCCCAGCCGAGGCCTGCGGCTCACACGGAGGCTGAGTCACTCTGAGATGGAAGTGGTGACTTTCCGAGCCCTCATCAGGACAAGGTTTGGGATGGGTGGGGACAGACACTGTCCAGAAGGGTCCTGATGCTGGCGGCCGATTTTCCAGGCTAAGGAGGGGTCTGTGGCCGGGCCAGGAGCCTGCAGGAGGCGGTGGAGCTGGGCTCGGTTGGGCTCAGTGACAGGGAAGGCCTCGTACCACCTCCAGGATCTTTGTCCGACTTCTCAACCCCGAGCGTGCTCCATGTTGGGTACAAAGTCACGAGCGCTAATTGTCCTGGGCCGTGGCCAGCTTCCTGCTGAGCTGGCTGTGTGCAAACCTGCAGCCTGCGGGGTGGGGGGCCGGCGAGGGCGGCCCTGGGAGCAGAGGCTTATCTGCCTTCTGCACTGGGCCCTATGAAAAGGCTATGGTTTATCCCACAGGTGGGCATCAGATGGGGACTCACCCACGGCCCACACCTGCCTGCCTCTGTGGTTGCTTGCCTGGGGCCACCCCAGCCACAGGGGTCTGGGACACGGAAAGGACTGGCAGGGCAGGAGGCTGGATGGCATGGCGGGCAGCTCTGCTCTCTCAGGCTCCCCTCCTCTCCCATAGCATTCACCTCACACACCCACTGCCTGATGCCAGCACTGCTCCTGAGATACACACCCAACCCCATCGCTCTTGCTGTAAATCCTCCCATGGCTCCCTACTGGCCCCAGGGCCAAGCTCAGGCTCTTAAGCCGGTGCAGGGTCTTTTACCAGGAGCCCGCCCCTGCTCGCTCTGCAGGCTCCATCACCCACCCCTCCTCCCCTGAGGTGCTCTTGTACAAAGGCCTCTCATGCCTGGTCTTTGAGTCCCTTCCCTGGAATGCTTCCCCACCTCCCCCTGTGACCTATGTCATCCTCTCCCGGGAGCCTCCCGGCCAGCCCTTCACACTTCAGGCTACTCCTCTGCGATCCTGGGCATTCAGCTTGTTTTCGTTTACCCCCTCAGCCTCCCCTTCACCTCCCAGGTGGGATCCTCATCACAGGCATCTCTGCAGCTGGAGGCCTCGGCAGGGGTTGATGACTATGTGAATGAGTGGGGTGAATAAGCTGGGGCCAGTGAGTGGGTGAGGGGACAGACCAGTACGTCACAGCTCAGCCTGACTAAGAACACGTCATAGCCGAGAGCCAGAAGCCGGCACAGAGCCCCTCGGGAGGGAGTGAGACTCCCATCACAGGAGGCATGCAGGCAGACCAGTCAGGAATCCCTGGAGTGGGTGTTAAAACTGAGATTCCCTGCCTGACCTCAGGCCTCCTGAGTCAGACCCTCAGGGCACCCAGGAGCATTTCTTACACACTGCCCTAGACAGGGGCCAGATGAGCCCCAGGTCCCCTTTACACCTGTGATTCTACTTCGGGATGCCCTTGGCCATCCTCGACACTTGGGTTCCAGCCAGGCTCGCCCTGTCCTTCCTGGGGTCTGCCGTGCCCAGCACCAGCCTTTACCATCTGCTCCTCCCTCACAGCAGGTCCTGCTACCTGGGGGAGGGAAGTCAGCACCTGGAGCTCATAACACACAGGCCCTTGGCAGCTCCAGAGACTCCACACTGGGACAGAGGGCCCTTATGTGTTCAGGGTCCAGGAAAAGGCCGGTGACGACCTGGCCTTGGAGCTGAGGCAGTTGAGGGGCCCGCTGTGCTCCTCATGCCCAAGGAGCCCTCTTCTCCTTGGGTCTCAGCTCCCTTGGCCACAGTCTCTGAGGGCCTTCCTGGCCTGCTCCTGGGCCAAACAGTGTAAGCCGGCACAGAATTGAATCTCTGACCATTTACAGGACCTGGCCTGGGTGCTGGGTGGTGTCCTGGCCATGGGGAAGGAGAAAGGTTTGCTGTGAGTCCTGTCCTCGGAGCAGAGCCCAGCAGAGACAGGGGTGTTGAGAAGCACAGGGGAGAGGCCGGGTAGGGCCACGCACCCTGGAGGGCCACAGACTTATCGGAGTATAAGGCACAGATTCTGCAGGGCAGGCCCCCTTCCTGCCCTCCTCTGGCTGCATCACCCCCTAGCCATCCACGAGACACTTCTAAAACGTGTGCACATCACCCTCCCGCTCAGGACCCCACCATAGCATCCACCACCCACGGCAGCATTTCCCAAGCTGGCTGGCTGTGTAAGCCTTTTCCTGCCTGATGCTGCTCTTCAGACACCTTTAGGGCCAAAGCCCAGACCATCTTATGCCAACCCCTTTGTACCAGTGCCTGCCCGCTCTGTAGCTTCACGGCTCAGCAGCTCCCTCCTTACCCTGAGCCCTGCAGTCCCAGACACACCAGCCCCTTTCTCCAGGCCTTACAGCCTCTTTCTTCCCCTCCTGACTACTCCAGAGTCCCCTCTGAGCCCTGGGCAGCTGCCGTCCTCCCCTCGCCCTGTGTGGTCAGGGTTGCAGTCGTGTAATTCTGTCTCTTGGTTCCCAAAACAGAATCTCAGAGTGCGGAGCAGCGGGGGAACTGAGTTCTTCACGCGGTCGGCAACCAAGTTCAAGGGTGCCCTGGCCCAGAAGTTCATGTTTGTGGATGGAGACCGGGCTGTGTGCGGCTCCTACAGGTGACTCTCCAGCTTTCAGGGAAGTTGTGCGAGAGGTACCTCTGGCTCCCAACTGGCTTCTGCCCTTAATCCTAACCCTGGTTATTCCGGTTCATTGGTCCCAAGGCTGCTGAGGTGTGCGCAGGGCTGGAGCACATCTGCCCGCCTGTCTGTCTCTGGAGGCAGGCAGAGAAGGGCTTTGTCTGAGGACGCTGTTGTTCCAGCTTGGAGATGTCACCGGCCTGGAGGTGGGGTGTGGCCAGGCCGTGCCTTCGCAAGCCTATGGGGGTCACTCTGAGAGCCGTCCTTAGGGATGGGGCCAGCTCTGTGGGCACCACCACATGGGGCATGGGGTGGGCGCTGCCCATGGTTACATGGGGGTTGGTGGCAGCATAGACGCATGGCAGCAGCGGCCACCACATGCAGAACCCCCCACAGTGTCCAGGGCCTTCCTGAGCTGCTTAGTGAATCCTGTACCAGCCTGAGAGGAGCACAGTGCCCTGTCATTTGCAGAGGTGGGAATGGGCTTGGTGCAACCAACTTGCTTGACATCCGACTCAGTCTGACCCCACAGTATGCACCTGCTCTCTGCCCCCATTCACTTCTTGATCCCAGGGCCCTGTGGCCACAGTCTGAGGCCCAGCGGCTATGGGTGCACGGGGGCTGGGCGGAGGAAGCAGGGTCATGTGCCTGACCAGCGCCCCCTCCCTCTGTTGCAGCTTCACGTGGTCGGCCGCGCGGACGGACCGGAATGTGATCTCTGTGCTGTCTGGCCAGGTGGTGGAGATGTTTGACCGGCAGTTCCAGGAGCTGTACCTCATGTCACACAGTGTGAGCCTCAAGGGCATCCCTATGGAGAAGGAACCGGAGCCGGAGCCTATTGTGCTGCCCTCTGTGGTCCCCCTGGTGCCCGCGGGCACTGTGGCCAAGAAGCTCGTCAACCCCAAGTACGCACTTGTCAAGGCCAAGAGCGTCGACGAGATTGCCAAGATCTCCTCTGAGAAGCAGGAGGCCAAGAAGCCCCTGGGGCTGAAAGGCCCAGCGCTGGCTGAGCATCCAGGGGAACTCCCCGAGCTGCTGCCACCCATCCACCCAGGACTGCTTCACCTGGAGAGGGCCAACATGTTTGAGTACCTGCCCACGTGGGTGGAGCCAGACCCGGAGCCTGGCAGCGACATCCTGGGCTACATCAATATCATCGACCCCAACATCTGGAACCCCCAGCCCAGCCAGATGAACCGCATCAAGATCCGTGACACCTCCCAGGCCAGCGCCCAGCACCAGCTGTGGAAGCAGAGCCAGGACAGCAGGCCCCGTCCAGAGCCTTGCCCTCCCCCAGAGCCCAGTGCCCCCCAGGACGGTGTCCCAGCTGAGAACGGCCTCCCCCAGGGGGACCCTGAGCCATTGCCCCCCGTGCCCAAGCCCCGGACAGTCCCTGTGGCAGATGTACTAGCCCGGGACAGCAGTGATATTGGCTGGGTCCTGGAGCTCCCCAAAGAGGAAGCTCCCCAGAATGGGACAGACCATAGGCTACCCAGGATGGCAGGCCCAGGCCACGCCCCACTCCAGCGGCAGCTATCTGTGACCCAGGATGACCCCGAGAGCCTCGGGGTGGGGCTCCCCAATGGGCTGGATGGGGTGGAAGAAGAAGATGATGACGACTACGTAACCCTCAGTGACCAGGACAGCCACTCAGGCAGCTCCGGCCGTGGCCCTGGCCCCCGACGGCCCTCAGTGGCTTCCTCTGTGTCAGAGGAGTACTTCGAGGTGAGAGAGCACTCAGTCCCTCTCCGGAGGCGCCACTCAGAGCAAGTGGCCAACGGGCCAACCCCACCACCGCGCCGGCAGCTGAGTGCCCCCCATATAACCCGAGGGACCTTTGTTGGACCCCAGGGTGGCTCCCCATGGGCCCAGAGTCGGGGAAGAGAAGAAGCAGATGCGTTGAAGAGGATGCAGGCCCAGCGCTCCACAGACAAGGAGGCACAGGTGGGTCAGGGTCCCTGCACACCAGGGGTCACGAGTCCCTCCCTGCCAGCCACCCAAGAGCTCGAGCTGTTGTCTTCTGGGCTACCATGTCCCTGACTCTGATGACTTCAATTCCCTTGTTACAGATGGGGAAACTTGATGAACAGGCAGGGGTGGGAACCGGCCAGGGCCATATGGAAGGCCATCATTAATGCTGGGGACTCTTGGTCCCAGCATCCTGAAAAGGCAACCTAAGAAAATGCACGTTTCCCCACCTAGAGGTCTCCAAAGCCTGTGGTTAGAGGATCTTGATGGCACCTGCCAGATGGGTGGCACAGTCCCTAGTTTGCAGATGAGGAAAAGGCGGGGCACAGGGACGTTCATTTACAGCCTTGAGGTCACACAGCAGTAAGTGATACCTGTCCAGACCTTGTGCCAAGCCACATCCATGTTAATCCCTTTGATTGTGGCCCTGAGGACCACTCTCCCCACTCCCCAGGTTGGGGAACAGTTCACATCTATCCTTTGCCTCTTCTTCTGGTGACGTTTGCAGGACAAGGTCCCAGAACCCTGGGTGCCCTGCAGCCTGGGTTCAGTGCCCGGAGCCCGTCCTACCTGGGAACAATGCGCGGCTGATCATGCCCGGCATGATGATCAGGCCCATGGGGAGCATCTTGAGGTAGCTGGCCAGGATGGAGCCCGCCTTGGCATGGTTCAGGTCCCGGGCTGACAGTGATCGCTGCACGATGACCTGGGGGTGGAGTGCGAGACGGGGTGAGTCCAAGCCTGAGGGACACTTGTGTCAGGATTGGTCCTTGGTGGGCCTCAGGGAATGGGCATGAGGCACGATGATGTCCCATTAGCCTCTGACCTGCCCAAAACAGCCACACTCAAAGCCCCAATACTGTCAGGGTCCCACCAGGAGAGCTCACTTCAGCAGGCCAAGCAGCGAGAGCCGAGGTACACTCATTCCCAGGGACTCAGTCCCCTGACCTGTCAATAGGGGAGGTGTGGATCCTGCCCAGCCCACCACCCCTGGCAATTGTCAGGGCTGGAGGAGACCCTGGGTGGGGTGGTATGGGGACATACACCCCTACCCTCATCTCCTGGACCCTCATGACAGCAGCTGGCACATTTATAGTGCCAGGAGCAGACACTGGCGCCAACTGTGTTTGCATGGCTGGCAGAGTTCAGGTGCTTTAAGACCTGGGGTTTTGAAAGCTTGCAGTTCAGTAGCAGAGGGAGGCTAGAAGCTATCTGAGGACACCGGCCCTTCTGGGAGCCTTCAGCAAATCCTAACCAGGCCTTTCCAGATTTGCAGAATGGGAGGAGGGAGCGGTAATTTGGACCCATAATGTCTGAGATCTCTCCCAGCACTGATATTACGATTCTACTTCAAAAGAGTTACTTTTTTTTTGAGTCGGAGTCTTGCTCTGTCGCCCAGGCTGGAGTGCAGTGGTGCGATCTCGGCTCACTGCAAGCTCCGCCTCCGGGTTCACGCCATTCTCCTGCCTCAGCCTCCCAAGTAGCTGGGACAACAGGCGCCTGCCACCACGCCCGGCTAATTTTTTGTATTTTTAAAATAGAGACGAGGTTTCACCTTGTTAGCCAGGATGGTCTTGATCTCCTGACCTCGTGATCGCCC